>NC_000002.12:105671436-105974466 GCF_000001405.40 Homo sapiens
ACTTCATGCAAGAAGGCCTTTCCAAAGTGTCATCCAGCAAAGGTGAGTGTGCTCCCCTGCCGTCTGCATTTCACATGTTGCTTTCCCCCTTGCTGACACTCATAAGAGTTTGTCTTTTAAATCACAGCTTTTTATCTTGCAGTTAATTTTCTCCTTTCATCCTATGCTGAAGTTGTATCCCTGGAGTGGCATCACTGAATTATGGCTGCTTTCATCCCAGCTATCCATGGCGGTGGATGCACTGCACTGTAATTTTCCTTGAAGGCTATGTGGAGGTCCAATGAACCCATCCCCACGGGCACATGGGGGAGTATTGTTCTGCACTGTTTGAGCGCCCACAGCATATGAGGCAGCAAGGAGGCCCTGGAGAACCACATTCACTCTTTTTTTTTTTTGAGATGGAGTCTTGCTGTGTCGCTCAGGCTGGAGTGCAGTGGTGCAATCTTGGCTCACTGCAAGCTCCGCCTCCCAGATTCACGCCATTCTCCTGCCTCAGCCTCCTGAGTAGCTGGGACTACAGGAGCCCGCCACCACGCCCGGCTAATTTTTTGTATTTTTAGTAAAGACGGGGTTTCACCGTGTTAGCCAGGATGGTCTCGATCTCCTGACCTCGTGATCCGCACGCCTCGGCCTCCCAAAGTGCTGGGATTACAGGCGTGAGCCACCGCACCCGGCCCATGTTCACTCTTGAAGAAGACTCCAGTCAGAGTAACCCTGGTGAAGAGAAGCCAGGGTTTCAGGAAAGAAGGAACGTGTTGCTTAAGACTCATCTTGTCTGGTTTTGGTTTCCAGCCTGATCAAGCGCTGCGGGGGAAGCCCTAAGCGGAGCCTTTCATGGTAACTTGTTCATGGAAGAGACTCTGCAGGATTGGTCAGGGAATATTCCAAAGCACCAGCTACACACCCAGCTCAGTGGGAAACCTTCACATGAGTGACCCAGGAGTCTTAGGCATAGTCTTTCTCTTACAGATATAGACTGTGTATAAAACCAACCTGCCCATACATGAACGTAGTAATATGAAGCATCACATCACAATACGGTTTAAAGTGCCAGGGGAAAGCAGAATGGAAAAAGTCCCTATGAGCTACAAAGGGAATGCTTTGTGGAAATGGAGGGAATTCAAGACAGCAAAGAGTAGATGTGACCAATAGAAGGAAGAAGCATAAGACAGGGGTTTGGTAATAAAGATGGTGATTTCAGCTTGAGCCACAGTAGTCTAACATGCTGGGCAAATGCCCCACCGCCGACGTAAAATTGCTTCCTCCCATTGAGACCACTGAGTTACACATATAAAAACTCCACAAATGGCAGCTTGAACAGGTAAGGGGTTTCTTTTTTCACAAAGCAAAGACTTCAGAAATCAGAAGTCCAGGGCTCTGTTGGAGACTGTCTCCTTGCTTGCTTCAGCAGCCTGTTCTCATAGTCACAGGATGGCTGCTGGACCTCTGACATCACCCCCGCAGAGCTGGTGGAATGAGAGGGACATCAAAGACAAAAGGCACGTGGTAGCCAAGTCTGTCCATGCTTTTTTTTTTTTTTTTTTTGAGATGGAGTCTCGCTCTGTCACCTAGGCTAGAGTACAGTGGCAGGATCTCAGCTCACTGCAACCTCTGCCTCCCAGGTTCAAGCGATTATCTTGCCTAAGCCTCCTGAGTAGCTGGGATTATAGGTGTGCACCACCACACCTGGCTAATTTTTGTATTTTTAGTAGAGACGGGGTTTCACCATGTTGGCCAGGCTGGTCTCAAACTCCTGACCTCATGATCCACCCACCTTGGCCTCTCAAAGTGCTGGGATTACAGGCGTAAGCCACTGCGCCCGGCAAGTCTGTCCATTCTTAATGGTAAGAAAACATGGCTTTCCCTGAAGCCCCACCCTGTGGTTTCCTACATCATCAGATCTACGTGGCCCTGATTGCTGGCTGCAGTGAAGCTGGGGAAGGGAGTGTTCTCACTGGGCTGCTCTGAACAAACACAGAGCTCTGTTAGCAAAGAAGGAGAAATCGGCATTGGATGCCCAACTGGTAGCGTCAGACACAGCCGCCATCCACTTTCCGCTTCACTTTCACCAAGCGAGTACTTTGTCTCCAGCACTGGGCGAGAGACTGGCTGAGAATGGAAAGATAAGAACAACAGCCACTGTGTGTTGAGCACCTTCATGTATTCAGCCCTGTACTCAACCCTTTGCTCACCTTAAAGTACGTGTGTCCAATCTTTTGGCTTCCCGGGGGCACATTGGAAGAAAAAGAATTGTCTTGGGCCACACGTAAGAGAGACTAACATGAACAATAGCTAATGGGCTGGGAAAAAAAAATCACAAAAAACTCTCATGTTTTAAGAAAGTTTATGAATTGGCCAGGCGTGGTGGCTCACGCCTGTAATCCCAGCACTTTGGGAGGCCGAGGCGGGTGGATCACAAGGTCAGGAGATCGAGACTATCCTGGCCAACATGGTGAAACCCCTTCTCTATTAAAAATACAAAAATTAGCTGGGTGTGGTGGCCTGTGCCTGTAATCCCAGCTACTTGGGAGGCTGAGGCAGAAGAACCTCTTGAACCAGGGAGTCGGAGGCTGTGGTGAGCCAAGATCGCACCACTGCACTCCAGCCTGGTGACAGAGTGAGACTCCACCTCAAAAAAAAAAAAAAAAAAAAAGGAAGGAAGTTTATGAATTTGTATTGGACTGCATTCAAAGCTGTCCTGGGCCACATGCGGCCCATGGGCTGTGGGTTGGACAAGCTTGCATTAAAGCATGCATTGTCTACCTTTATCTACCTAGAAGATTTTGTCCTTACAATGCTAAAAAAAAAATTGGAGCCCAGGTCAATCCTTCTCCCAAACTGTATTCTCAATATAAAACACTGTCTCCAAGGCAAATTCCTTGTTCTCAAGATGCTGACCAGGGAGTTACTGCAATTTGCAATAAATACTAATATATGTTCAAGAACTAGTTGGTGACAGAGAGGACCAGTCTGTTGCCCAAGACATTGTAGGAAGAATCCTAGGGGACATTTAGTCTTAAAGGATCAACAAAGGGGACCTATGGGGGCTGGGCAAGGAAGACATCTAATTTGCTAAGGATGTGATAGTGGGTGCGCGGGTGGGAAGGCACAAGAAACGTTTCTCATCCGGCAGCTGCAAATACTCCATTGTGACTAGTCTGAAAAAGAAATGTGGGAAGATAGCAGGAAATAACTTCTGGAGGCCAGGTCATCACCCAGCTGGCTCTTTTCAGGCGAGAAATAATGAGCTGAGAGCCAAAGCGAGGCAAGTGAGGAAAGAGGGCGGGGGAGGGGAGACATTAGGAATAACAAATAATTTGAACCTATTTTATAGATTTCTAACACAGGTGGCTGGGAGAAAAACATCTATAAGTAATCAGAGTGGAACTAAATTTTGTATTAGAGAGAAGATCATGAAATCCATGTTTTATCACGGAGCTGGGCTGACCAGTGCAAACAGGGTGGCCCCTTGGGTGTGTAGGGCCCTGGAAAATTCTACATGTCTCTGTGTGTATGTGTGTGTGTGTTTGTGTGTGTGTGTGTGTGTATGGTCTGTTCCTTCATGTTCTTGATTGTCCAACGTGCCACTCCTGCCTGATTTTGTACCTCCCATAGTGGCCTGCCCTGCAAGGCCCCTTTGCATTGGACAACATGCACTTCCTGTTCTTGCAGCTGTCCTACATCATTTACTCAATGCCAGCTCCGGTGACCCAGGATGCTGCGCCATCCACCCTCCCTGCGCCCATGAACGCTGGCTCCCATGAGCTCTCACGGTTTTGCTGTGCTTTGTTGATGACGGCCACGAGTGAAGGGGTTTCCCAGGCTTGCAGGAAACTGTGAATGATTGTTCATTTTCCAGTCATGTCACATTTGCCACTTGGTATTTTATAGCATAAATGGGAGACCATATATCTTCCAACCATGTCTTCTCTTGAACTCTCTGGTCCATCATCACTGTGTCCCCAGAACAAATGTCATTCAGTAGTGACCCCACCCCTGCCTCCCACGCAAGCCACCAGTAGAGAGGGAAGGCTACTCTTGGATCACCCAGCTGCCACTTTCACTACAGAAGCCTTTGAAGCCAAACAATCCTCATCCCCACCACATGAGAAGAGAGGTGTTTAAAAATCATTTACTCTAGGATAGGAATAGATGGTAATAGTCTGTTAAGTCCCAGGATGTTTTTTCCTTGCTCCTCTGAGGCATTCTTAAAGATAAATTCCATTTAACATTGGCTTACTCTTGAATATTCAACCAATCATGTTCTAAATGCCAGGGAAAGGAGTGTAAATAAGACATGCTCCTTATCACCAACGTCAGGATATTTAAAACCCCATATAACTGTTTATACTCGGGTCACTTTCTCCTGTCAGAGGCTGTTGGAACACGGAATCAACTCCGAGTGCTGCCAGAGAGGACTCCTGGGGGGCACTGTGGGGCCACTGCCACCTCTGATGGTCTGCCATGTGTAGTTTTATTATGGGCACCTGCCCTATATGGGAATATCCATATAAGCTGATCCCACCAGTCAGCGCGAGGCACTGGGCTCTGGTGGTGAAACCTCCACTCCTCCAGCTGCTGACGTGGAGCCTCTGCTGGGGTGAATAAATGCTTTGTCTGTGTGCACAGATGCCTACTTTTGTCTTTTCTTTTCTTCTTTGTGAGAACTCTGTCTTTTAGGGATTGTACTTAAAAGCTCTCTTCGGGATCATCTTCCACCCTGTCTCTAATAACTGAAGGAGAAACATGCAATGAGATTTTCAAGACAGTTGCTGCCTTTGTTTCTTGTAAACCAAAATACAGCACTGCCGATTTTTCAGCCAATGGGAAAATGCTTGTATCTTGATAGAAATAGTCTTTGGTTTCATATGAAGGGTACTGGAGTGAAAACCAGGCAACATATTCTCTAGATGCTGTTTCCAGGATTTTGGTCACTAGATCAGGAGAGGTCCTTGAAGTCCTGCAAACAAAATCCAAGAACTTCATACTTCAAAAATTGGGAAACCAAGTCCCAGCTACTCAGGAGGACCACTTGAGCCCAGGAGTTTGAAGTTTGAGACCAGCCTGGACAACATTGAGAGACCGTGCCTCTCAAAAAATAATAATAACAAAAGAAATTGGAAAACAAAGCTTGAGCTTCTCAATTCTATCCTAACACCTGAACCATTTCCTGAACAAAAGTGTTTCTCTCTAGCTGTTAGCCCAGCACATGGCTGCCACAGATGGAGGATCCCTCAGCACCTTTGCCTCATAGCTTTGCAACCATACACTCTCAGGTCCAAGGCCACTTCTGCTGTACACCTTCTCCCTCCCTCCCTCTCTCTCCCTCTCTTTCTTTCTTTCTTCCTCTTTCTTTCTTTCTTTTCTTTCTTTCTTTCTTTCTTTCTTTCTTTCTTTTCTTTCTTTCTTTCGTCTTTCTTTCTTTCTTTCTTTTTTGACAGGTTTTCACTCTGTTGCCCGCAGTGGAGTACAGTGGCATGATCATAGATCACTGCAGCCTCGAGCTCCTGGGCTCAAGTGATCCTCCTGCCTCAGCCTCCTCAGGTGCTGGGACTACAGGCACATGGCACCATGCCTGGCTAATGTTTTTTACTTTTTGTGGGAATGCAGTCTTGCTATGTTGCCCAGGCTGGTCTCAGACACCTGCCTTGCTGTGTCGCCCAGGCTGGTCTCAGACACCTGCCTTGCTGTGTCGCCCAGGCTGGTCTTGAATTCCTGGCCTCAAGCAAGCCTCCCACCTCGTCCTCCCAAAGTGTTGGGATTACGGACATAAGCCACCTTGCCCGGCCACATACAACTTCTCTTTGAACAGAGAATTCAAATACCTCCTAAGCACTCCTTTAGAAAAACTTGCTTCCTAACTCTCCTGCAAATTTGATTCATTTGTAGGCAATGGGCCTTATGCTATTCATTATTATAAAGTCTTGCTTTATCATTACTGTTGAAGAGAAAAGTATTGAACTTTGGCGTTTTGCATTTAAACTCTTTTCTAGGATCCTTGAGCCGAGTGAATGGAAACCTGAAGTCAACCTGGCTACTCTGTCTTTTTGCAGTGTCCCAAGAGCAGACCCTCAACCAGGAGTCTAGGGCAAGTAGTTTATCTCCAAGGAGAGGAGAGAAGAAGGGATGTGGGACAGGGAAAAGAAGAAACCAATAAAAGGTATGTGCTATGGATTGAATGTTTATGTCCTCCCTAAATTCGTTTGTGGATGCCCTAATCTCAATGTGATAGTATTAGGAGGTGGGGTCTTTGGGAGGTGACTAAGTCATAAAGGTAGAGCCCTCATGATGGGTTAGTGTCCTTGTAAGAACAGATGTGACACATGAGAGCTTGCTTCTCTCTCCTCCATGAGGGCAGAACAAGAAGGACCATCTATGAGCCAGGAAGAAAGTGAGCTCTCACCAGGAACCAAATCCACCAGCACCTTGATAGTGGACTTCTGGGCCTCCACAACCGTGAAAAATAAATGTCTGTTGCCCAAGCCCCCTAGTTCATGGGATTTTTGCTGTAGCAGTCCCCGCCAGGACAGAATGCTATTAAGCATTTTACCATTGAAGGCAACTGGTGTTCAGTGAATCTGGGGAGCTCTGACTTTCTGGAACGTGTGTCTCTCATAGGGTGGAGAGGGAGCTGGGGTGTCTATCCATCAACTCAGGTCAGTGGTTGAAGGTTGCTGGGGCTGGGTGGGGTATTAATTTGCTGCTTCTCTGGATTGCTGAATCTCGAGAGTCCAGGAAAGGACCAGAGATGCAGGTGCTGGCGTTGAACCATCCAAGGCTCTGGCTGCAAGGGTAAGGGCTGAGGAGATGGGCAGGGCACTGTTGTGCCTGCTGAACTTCCCCGTCACCAACTCATCATGACGTGCAGTCGATTTTCCTTTCTAAGAATTTGCAAGATATTTAGCAGGAAAGCTTTCTAAATTCCCTACTCTCATTCTGCAACATCATCTCCTAACTAAGACTGGTGGGTGGGTGTGTGTGTCTATATATATGTGTGCAATATATGCCTCTTCTCTTTCTCACATATGCAGTGAGTTATATAATACGAGTCAGGCAAATATCGTCACATGGCATTTGTCTGGAAAGCTCCTTCTCCCCGGAGGCCCTTCCCTCCCACTTCAGCCAGGTACCTCCTACTCTTCCTTCCCGTGTTAGCTCGGTCATCACTTCCTTGGTGAAGTCTTGCTAACCTTCCTTCCTGGTTGGGCTCATTCTTACTAATATATACTCTCAGCACAACGTATGTCTCTCTTTTGCAGTACTTATTGGTGCTGTGATTTTTGTTTTTATATTCCCTGGACAGTTTATTGTAACCTCTTGTTAAATCACAGGTGACCCTTAATATCTGGAGACATGCAGGCATTCTGATTTTCCTTTATAGGGGTTTGAGGGAGGAAGCAGAAGGTAGAAAGGTGAAGCTGGAGATGACCATGATGTAGAAAACCAGGGAAGTTGCTGATGGGTGTATTTGTCCACATACGTGAGTGATATATGTCTGCTGCTTTTGTCACATGTGCACTGTATGTAGGTGAGTCTTCAGATGACTATTATAATGTGGCTGTGTGAGTGCCGTGGGGTGGGGCACCATACTGCAAAGTGTACTTATCTGTTGTGAATTTCATTATCTTGGAAAGCACTAACCCAATCAATTGAACTGAGCAATTTCATTTCACTTACATTTACTCCTTTGTTCTTCCCAATTTTGTCTGTTTTCTCTTCACTCCTGTCTACCTTCTATCCTAGAACATCTTTACGATACTTTAATACTTGAAACCCCAAAAGTGATATGCAAGAAACTATGACACCGATTAGGAATCCTGCTTTTCTTCCATGTAATTAGATAAACATACACTTGGGTTGCAGGGCACCATATGTCCCATGTTTCCAGGAGCAGACTGGCAGTGAGAGTTACCCACCCATGCCCCTGAGCACCCACCATTCCCTGCATCCTGGAGACAAACATCTGAGCATTTTTCCCAAGGGCTTCCCTGGCAGCCAGAGACCATTGTGCCATGCTAAAGGCAGGCCAGGAGCTCATGAGAGTCGATCCCATGAGGAGGAACCCTCAGTTAATGTCCCTAATGGGACAGGGTAGATAGATCCCCAGCTCCCTGCCCCTCTGCTGGGGCACCACTGAGGCATGGCCAACACTGTCTATTGTACTTTCCCTGAAGGCTGAGCCGCACTGCCCACGGGATCACTTGCTTCATAATGCACCTTTTGTTGGCTTTTGCATTCCCTTCTCTGTCTCCTGCCCATGTTTCCAGGGATCCCCTTCCAAAACAAATGGTTAACTTTGAATCTTCGTCTCAAGGTATGCTTCTGGGGAAACTCAGGAAGAGGAAAGCGATTTACACAAACAAAAGGCCTCATTGGTTCTGCAGTTATCTGGCATCTTTTACTTGCTAAATGTGACCTGTCCTCAAAACCATAACTGCCATCAGTCGTGTTATTTTTCCACCTGCTACTTTGTTACGGTTCTTCCACTGGCTACTTTGTTATGTTCTTCTTAGCACAGGATGATTTTTAAAATATCCTGAACTCTTGGAAAGAAACTGTCATTACCCTAAATGGAATGAAAACCAGGATTTCCACCTAACACCTAAGACCTTGCAGACTCACTTCCATCCCTTGAGGTTCAGTCTCTGCCTGGGGATTTCTCACTACTTATTGCTGCTGCCTCCTCCAGCCTCTAGAAAGTGACTTCTCTCTTCACCACTCCGGTCCTCAGAATTCCCCAACACCTAGCTGAAGTCAAGCGGGATATTTTGACAGGACTTTGCAAATGCTACGCCATCAGCGGAATGCTTTTGACCTGTGGCCTCAAAGTCCCTTCATTCCCTTGACACATATCTAATGGGTAGCACTGTGCCAGGTACTGCTCTAGAGGCTGGGGAGAAAGCTGTAAATAAAAGAGATAAAACGCCTGCTTTCTTGAGCTCGAAGTAGGATGAAGCAGTAAGGGAGATTAGGGACTGTTGGGTGGTGCAATTTTAAATAAGATGGCCAGGAAAGTCCTAGCAGGAAGGCAACCCTGGAGCAGAATCCTGCAGGCAGTGAGGGACTTGCAGGTATCAAAGGGCAGAGCATTGCCAAGACCGGGAAGAGCAAGTGCAGAGACTCTGGGTGGAGCTGCCTGGTCAGTTCTGGGCAAGCAAGGACATCAGTGTGGGCGGAGTATGGGGAGCAGAGATGAGAGCTTAGGAAATGGGTCAAGTGGAAACAGGAGACCTGATTAGTAGGGTCTTGTAGGGCCTGAGGAGGACGCTGCCTTCGTACTTTGAGTGAAGAGACGTCATTGCAAGACTTGGAGTGAAGAGACGTCATTGCAAGACTTGAGCAGAGCAGTGGCCTGCTCCACTGCAGGATTTAAAGAGAGTACCTGCACTGAGACTGTACTATAGGGAAGAAGGGTGAAAGCCAGGAGACCCCTTAGGAAGCTAATGCAGGATGGTGCTTGGAGCAGGGTGTAGCTGGAGAGGTCACCAAAAGTGGCCCCATTGTGGTTGTATTTTGGAGGACAGTTGCTTTAGGATATGCATTAGAAAATGCGTGAGAAGCTTACTGGCTCAGTGAGCCCTGTTCTTGCTAATGGGCAGGGGAAATTGAGGCTGGGGTTGAGAACATCCACTGGGCTTTAGGAGACCTGGGGTCCAGTCCCAGTTCAGCTCTTACCAAAGATTTTGGTGACATGATTTGAGTCAAAACCATTGATTGCTTTGAATTTCAGTTTTCTCATCTACAAGATGATAGAGGTCACTTGGACTTCAAAAACCCCATGGTTCTTTCTCATTAGTAGCCTCACGAATAAGGCCAAAGCAGCCTTTGGAATGTGTCACTGCTACTAGGATTATCTGCAATGGCAGAACACCACTGTCCCTACAGCCTTCCAGAGCAACTCTACACCACTAAATTGGAAAACCTAGAAGAAACTGATAAATTCCTATAAACATACACCCTATCAAGATTGAAACATGAAGAAATACAAAACCTGAATAGACCAATGACAAGTAACAAGATATAATAGAAGCAGCAATGAAAAGTTTGTAGGGGCCGGGAGCAGTGGCTCATGCCTGCAATCCCAGTACTTTGGAAGGCCAAAGCGGGCAGATCACTTGAGGCCAGGAGTTACAGACAAGCCTGGCCAACATGATGAAATCCAGTCTTTACTACAAATGCCAAAGGGAAAAATAATTAGCTTGGCGTGGTGGTGCATGCCTGTAATCCCAGCTACTCGGGAGGTTGAGGCACCAGAATCATTTGAACCTGGAAGGTGGAGGTTGCGGTAAGCCAAGAACACCCACTGCACTCCACCCTGGGCAATAGAGCAAGACTCTGTCTCAAAAAAAAAAAAAAGTGTATAGAGGTAAAACATTAGCCATACAAAGCCCACATTTAGTCTTAGCTATTTTTAAAAACTCCGGTTTTGGGGAAGGTAAAGAACTAGAGAAGAGACAAAGGGAATATGGGTGTAGTGGCCCCCGAATACCATGTCTTCTTGGGAGACAGGAGGTCACATCTGTGGTGGATGGGACAAGAAATTGAGATTGAAGAATGTTTGTTGACATGCAAAGGCTACCAACAGAAAAAAGGAATAGAGGGAGAACCCTCTGCGGAGAGAGTGGAGGGAAACAGGTTGTGGTGTAGGTGAGCAAAATTCTTGTGGGTTGATAAACAAAGAAATCTATGTCAAAGTCTATGATTGAGAGGTATGTTGGTGGCCACATGGGTAACCACAACCAGAACAGGTCAAAGTGATTGTCTCTGGGGAGTGGGCTGGGCCCTGGGCTTTTCCAAACCTACACAGAGCTCTGAGAGCTGTGAAGAATGAAAAAGAGATAACCCGGCTAACATCCATGAGTGCTCACTGGCTGCCAGGAATGGTGCTGTGTACTGTCCACGGCATTACATCCTGATGAACCCATCATAAATTGAAAATATTGTAAGTCAAAAATGCATGTCATACACCTAACCTACTGAACATCATAGCTTAGCCTAGCCTACCTTAAACATGCTCAGAAAACTTACGTTAACCTACAGTCAGGCCAAATCATCTAACACAAAGCCTATTTTGTAATAAAGCTTTGCATATCTCATGTACCTTATTGAATACAGTACACTGTAGAGCACAGCATCGGTGGTTTGCCCTTGTGATCGCTTGGCTGGCTGGGAGCTGTGGCTTGCTGCCGCTGCTCAGCAGTGTGAGAGGGCATTGTATTGCACAGAGTAGCCCAGGAAAAGATCAAATTGCAAAGTTTCTACTGAGTGCATATCACTGCCGCACCATCACAAAGTTGAAAAATCATGTCAGCGACCATCTGTATTCACTTACTTCATCCTTTTCCAACCCTATGAGGTAGATATTACAGACCCACACTCCCTTTTTGGAAACTCTTACGGGCAAGATAGGTTTCAGAATGCAGAATTTTTCCAATTTTAGAGTGGAAACAGGATGCATATATTGTATGTTACCCAAGCCCCGCAGCAGAGTGTGGGGCAGCACTTCAGCCACACATAATAGATGGGGATTGAAACATATGGTATTTGTAGTCACTGGGATAAATAAAGAGAATAAATAGCCTCTCACTTGATCCTGTGAGGTTTTTCCTGCAGACTCTTAGTTTCCAAACTCTTTAGATTTCAAAATCATGAAACTGTGCCCCAAAGCATTAAAGAAACTGATGACTAACAGAAATTCTGAAGCTTCTTTTATAGGGAAGTAGATAGGAAAATATCTTGTTGAAGTCCCTTTCACTTACAAAGCAACAAAGTTGGCTGAAACCAGTTGTGTACAATATGGCTGACTGGAGTCTGTGCAGAATGAGCCTTTTGATGTCATAGGCCAAATTCCCACCACATTTCACAGTAACCCCTCCCCAAATTTACACATGTGACCCATGAAGAGACATGATGAGATAACTGTGCATGCCCAGGAGACTTTCCAAACTTCCCCTTTTCCTTCACCAATCACTAACCAACCCCAAAACCCTTCCCCAAGCATCCCTCCCTTAAATATACAGCTTTATAGCCAGTATGGGGAGACAGATTTGAGTCTGTCTCCTGTCTTCTTGCTCAGTTGCCTTGCAATACATCTTTCTGTCTGCAAAAATCCAGTGCTTCGGTGTCTGGCTTTCTGATGCATGCAGGCAAATGGACCCAGTTAGTTCTGGTAACAATCGCAGGTGAGGAATTAAAAGATAGTGATATTCCCATTTTGCAGATTATAAAATGGAGATACAGAGAGGTTATGTAAACCAAAGTCATGATCACAGTTAGAACAGGAATTGAGATTTGAGTCCAGTCAAGCCAGTTCCACAGCTCTCAGTCCTTAAGCTATGATTTCACACAAAACAAAACAAAAATCAAAAAGAAAACAGCTAAATTAACATTTATAAATGTTTTATTAAATGTCTACAAAACATATCGTTATGTTAACCTCATTAATTATTAAATTCAATATGCATGAAAATTTTAATATATTTGAAAGCAATTTGTAGATTTTTTCACTTTGCAATAATCCCCTAACAGATACCATGATTTCTGAGTCACCTGAAGATAAATAATCTCAAAAGTAGAATTATAAAAATATTTTAATATTTTAGAGCCAAAAATTACATTTAATAAAGATGAGGGTGCATTTTAATATTTCGGATACAGTATATGTTAGGAATCCCAAAAATAATTATACCTAAAATCTGTAAACTTCTTAAGACTTCTTTTGGAAAAAGTGGGACAGAAAAAATATTATCTTTTATTATGAACTCTTTATTCTCTTTCATTTTGAAACTGTATATTACATTGATTTTTTTAAACATGACAAAACCCTACAGCAGAGAGCATAATTGTGGTTGCCAGAGGCCAGTTTGCAGGAAATGGGGAGATGTTGGTTCAAGGGTATAAAGCTTCGGCTATGCAGGGTGAATGAATTCTGGAGACCTAAGGTACAGCATGAAGCTATAGTTACCAATACTGTTTTGTATACTCCAAATTTGCTAAGAGGATAGATCTTAAGTGTTCTCACTTAACAAACAATGAAACCAAATAGTAACTATGTGAGACGATGGATGTGTTAATTAGCCTGATTGTGGTCATCACTTCACAATGTATATGTCTCAAAACATCACATTGAACACTTTAAATTTCTACAATATTTATTTGTCAATTATGCTTCAATAAAGCCGGTGGGGAAAGGATATTAAAGGAATTACAAACTTTAAAAAATGAAACAGAATAGAGAACCCAGAAATAAATTCAAGTATTTACAGTCAACTCACTTTTGACAAAGTTGCCAAGTGAAAAGAACACTGGGAAAAGAACAGTCTTTTCAATAAATGATGCTGGAAAAACTGGATATCCTTATGTAGAAGAATGAAAATAGACCCCTCTCTCACTGTATGCACAAATTAAATCAAAATGGATTAAAGACTTAGGTGTAAGACCTGAAACTATGAAACTGCTAGAAGAAAATGTTACAGAAACGTTGCAGAACATTGGCCAGGCAAAGACTTTTTGAGTAAGATTTCAAAAGCACAGGCAACCAAAACAAAAACAGACAAATGAAATTACTTCAATCTCAAAAGCTTCTGCACAGCAAAGGAAACAGTCAACAGGATAAAGAGAAAAATTATAGAATAGGAGAAAATATTTGCAAACTGTCCATCTGACAAGTGATTAATAACCAGAATATAATGGCAGGGTAGGGTGGCTCACACCTGTAATCCCAGCACTTTGGGAGGCCAAGGTGGGCAGATCACTTGAGGCCAGGAGTTCAAGACCAGCCTGGCCAACATGGCGAAACCCCGTCTCTACCAAAAATACAAAAATTAGCCAGGGGTGGTGGCGTGTGCCTGTAGTCTCAGCTACTTAGGAGGCTGAGGCAGGAGAATCACTTGAACCCAGGAGGCAGAGGTTGCAGTGAGCCAAGACCATACCACTGCACTCCAGCCTGGGTGACAGAGTGAGACTCTGTCTAAAACAAAACAAAACAAAACAAAAACAATATAAAAGGAACTCAAGCAATTCAATCGTAAAAAAAATCAAATAATTTAATTTAAAAATGTACAGAAGATTTGAATAGACATCTTTCAAAAGAAGACATACAAATAACCAACAGGTATATGAAAAAATGGTCAACATTGCTAATCATCAGGGAAATGCAAATCAAAACCACAGTGAAGTATCATCTCACCTCATTTAAAATGGCTATTAGTAAAAAGACAGAAAAAGAGACGTTGGCAAGGATGTGGAGAAAGAGGAATGCTTGTACACTGTTGGCAGAAATGTAAATTAGCACAGTCACGGTGAAGAACAGTATGGAAGTTCTTTAGAAAACTAAAACAGAACTGCCATGTGATCCAGCAATCCCAGTACTGGGTATATAACCAAAGGAAAGGAAGTGAGTATATTGAAGAGATATCTACACTCTCATGTTTATTGCAGCATTATTCACAATAGCCAAGAAACAGAATCAACCCAAGTGTCCATCGATGAATGAACGGATTCAAAAATGTGGTGTATATACACAATGGAATATTATTACTATGGAATACTCTTCAGCCATAAAAAAGAGTGAAATGCTGTCATTTGCCGCAACATGGATGGAACTGGAGGACATTGTGTTACGTGAAATAAGCCAGGCACAGAAAGACAAATATCACATATTCTGACTCATACGTGGAGGCTAAAAAAGTTGATCTTATGGTGGTAGAGAGTAGAACAATGGTACCAGAGGCTAGGGTGTTTGGGGCGGGGAGATGAAGAGAGGTTGGTTAATGGATACAAATATCCCATTAAATAGGAGGAATAAGCTCTAGTGTTCAATAGCACGGTAGGGTGACTGTAGTTCACAACAATATATTGTATATTTCAAAAAGCTACAAGAGAAGCTTTGGAATGTTCCCAACACAGAGAAGAGAAAATTATCTGAGGTGACAGATATCCCAATTACCCTGGTTTGATCATTACATATTGTATGCATGTATCAAAATATCACAGGGACCCCATAAATATGCACAACTATTATGTATCAACTTAAAATATGAGAAAAACCTAGCCTTCATATATTCCATGATGACTCAGAATTACAACTCTGTTAATTAGCATAAATATTTTATGTTCTATTTTGATAAAATATGTATTAACTGCCTTATTGAATAACACACTGAATCTGAATGAAATCACGCAACAGCTGATCTGTGCTGTCTGTGGGAAAAAAAATGATTTAGGAATTTTTGTTTCTTTCTGGAAACATCCTGGTCACAGCAGTAACGGTAAGCTTCAGATTTGTGTGGTCACTCATTTGTCTTTCTAATCAGCCTTAACTCCGGGCCTACAGCAGGTGGAATGTGTCATAGTTTTAGAAGATAAACTGACACGTCACTAGTAAATTAACTCTATAAATACTGGGAAAATTAACTCTTGTTGCCTGACAACATATTGTCTGGTTTCAAAGTGGAACTTGTCTATTCCTTACTATGCAGCCATAAAAAAGGATGCGTTCATATTCTTTGCAGGGACATGGATGAAGCTGGAAACCATCATTCTCAGCAAACTATCACAAGGACAGAAAACCAAACACTGCCTGTTCTCACGCATAGGTGTGAGTTGAACAATGAGAACACATGGACACAGGGCGGGGAACATCACACACTGGGGCCTGTCGTGGGGTTGGGGGATGGAGGAGGGATAGCATTAGGAGAAATACCTAATGTAAATGACAAGTTATGGGTGCAGCAAACCAACATGGCACACGTATACATATGTAACAAACCTGCACGTTGTGCACATGTACCCTAGAACTTAAAGTATAAAAAAAAAAAGAACTTGACTATTCCTATCGTGGTACGAATGGAGCAAAGTTAATGTGTCCAATTTGTTCTAAATAATTTGAAGTCCACACACAAAAACAATTTCATGGATGACAATATAGAAGCCACCTAAGGGTGTATGCATGACAGAAATTTAGGGGGCTTCCTTGGCACCTGCCTCTCACATTCAATCCACCTGAAGATCCATGTGGCCCTCCCCACCTCTGGTCACATCAAGCCCCTGCCTCAAACCTTGTGCCTTTGCATTGTGTCGGGAATAAACTAAACCCCTCAACGAGGCCCACAGGAGCCCTGCAGAACCTTGGTCCTGGCCTCAGCTTTCTCCCTGTGCTTCCATCCCTTCCCCACATTCATGGCCCCTTCAGGCTTCAGTTTACCATGTACCGCCTCTGAGGGGCTGCCCAGACCCCACCCTCCACCTAAACCAGGCCCCATTCTAGTTTCCCTTCTCAGCCTACACTGTCCCTTTGCTAAGCCGCATATGGAAGAGTCTCTGCTTCCTGGGCATTTAGAGATGCACTTCTGGCCGGTTGCGGTAGCTCTCACCTGTAATCCCAGCACTTTGGGAGGCCAAGGCGGGAGGATCACCTGAGGTCAGGAGTTCAAGACCAGCCTGACCAATATGGTGAAACCCTGTCTCAACTAAAAATGCAAAAATTAGCTGGGCATAGTGGCGGGTGCCTGTAGTCCCAGTTACTCGGGAGGGTGAGGCAGGAGAATTGCTTGAACCAGGGAGATGGAGGTTGCAGTGAGTCGAGACGGCGCTGCTGCACTCCAGTCTCGGTGACAGAGCGATACTCAGTCTCAAAAAAATAAAAAAAAAAAAAAAAGAGAGCGAGAGATGCATTTCTTTCTTTCTCTCTTTTTTTTTTTTTTTTTTTTTTTTTTTTTCTTTTCTTGAGACGGAGTCTCACTCTGTCACCCAGCTGGAGTGCAGTGGTGCTATCTGGGCTCACTGGAAGCTCCACCTCCTGGGTTCAAGCAATTCTCCTGCGTCAGCCTCCCGAGTAGCTGGGACTACAGGTGCCCGCCACCACACCCGGTTAATTTTTTTGCATTTTTAGTAGAGACAGGGTTTCACTGTGTTAGTCAGGATGGTCTCCATCTCCTGACCTCGTGATCCACTGGCCTGGGCCTCCCAAAGTGCTGGGATTACAGGTGTGAGTCACACATCCGGCCCCAATGCATTTCTAATAAAATATTACTGTTTCCATTTATTTTAAAATTTATACCAAAATCTATGATATATTTGTACTGGTCCAAATAATTGCATCCTCGCAGTCATTATGACAAGTGAAAATAAAATTTAATGTTCATATATTGTTTTTGCAGAGAATCATGATAGAAAGACTCTCTGCATAAAATGTATTTCATTAGGATACAATTCTTTGGGGCAAATGGATTGGAAATGTGAGGCCAAAGGGAAAGACATTACATTTGTGAGTGTTAATTAACAGTTTGTTAGTGTGCTTTTGTAAAGGATGAAAGTAGGTATCAAATCTCAGTGTGTTTAGATTCCACTGGTACATTTAAGACGGTGATGCTACAGCTTTACAAATGCTGGAGATGGAATCCTTTGCAACTATTCAACAAGATGAGAAATGAGGGGAGACATGGAAGAGCAAAAGAGTATCAGAGACCCCTGGGCTGTGAGGTGGCTTTTAGGGGTTGGCTTTCAGCTTTATCTGAGCTCTCTGCCAGTGGGAACCCCTCCACCCAGGGCAGCTGTGCCCCCAGCTCAGCAGGGCTACCCTCTGCCCAAATCTGCTTGGGCGGAACATCCCTGATTGGCTCAGCGCCAGCCCCAGCACCCCCGCTCTCCCAACCTCCGAGTCCCTCCGTGTGGCACTGCGGGAAGTCTGGGTCCCTTCCACCTCCTCCAACCCCATAGCATACTGCCCGTGGAGCCCACAGGGCCGGTGGCACCTCCCCTTGTGCGACGTGGCTGCCCATGCTGTCTTTCCGGGCACAACACAACAACCCTGGGACACACATCAAGCTTTTGAGAGCCTTCCCCATACGGCCCGCAGCAGCTCCCTAGGCCTCAGGCTCAGCCTCTGTCAACACCCTGTGCAGAAATCAAGGGGACAGGGCCCCAGTCTTTCCCAGAGAGCTCCTAGAAGCCCACCTCCAGCAAAAGACCAGGGCAGGTCTCTCATGACAAGCCCACACTCCCAAGAGGCCCTAGAATGTGCACTTTCTGTGTGGGTGTGTGTGTAGTGTATGTGTGTATGCTTTGTATGTGTGTGTGTTTATGTATTTGGTATGTGTTTTATACGTGCTTTTTGTATGTATATTTTGTGTGTGTGTGTTTATGTGGGTTTGTATAACTCGTATGTGTGTGTTGACTGTGTTTATGTTTTGTATGTGTTTTTAATGTGCGTATGTGTATGTTTGGCATGTGCATGTTGTGTGTGTATATTTTATGTTGCGTATTGTTTCTGTATGTTTTGTACACACGTTTAATGTGCGTATGGTTTTGTGTGTGTGTTCATGTGTTGTGTATGTGTGTGTATGTTTTGCATGTGTGTATGAGTGTGTGGGTGTGTGTCTTGTGTGTTTATGAATGTGTGTTTGTGTGTGCGTGTGTGTTGAGAAGAATTGGGGCATTCTGCCTCCTATCCTGCTCTCAGCTCTAAGCCCTAACTTCTAACTCCGACACCAGGCAGCTCACATTCCTTACACCTTCATTCTCTTCATCACGTTTGTCAATTGTGTGTGTAATTTATTTATATATCAATTTGTTTAATGTACTTCCTCCAGTTGCTCCAGCAATGGATGGAAGAGTGGGTGAATGGTTGGGTGGATGGATGGATGGATGGATGGTTGGGTGGATGGGGGGTGGGTGGATGGGTGGATGGGTAGATGGTTGGATGGATGGACAAATGGATAGACGGACAAATGAACGTATGGACAGGTGGGCAGGTGGATGGATGGGTGGGTGGATGGGAGGATGGATGGATGGATGGATGGATGGATGAATAGATGAATGGGTTGATGGATGAAACCTGCATATGTCTTTGTATATAGATGCCACATGCTTTTGTACCTTTTATTTATTTATTAAACCAGTCATTGGTGAGGAGATAAATTTTAATATCATTCCCACCACTTAACAAGTATTAAACACCACTCATTCTAGACTACTTTTATGACATTGAAAGTAATGAGTTTCACTTCAATGTCTCTGATTTAGAAAAATGTGGAAGAAATGAAAAAGAGCCAGTTATCATTCTAATTTTTGAGAATTTTTAAATGATATGCCAAAATTAACACATGGCAGTAAATGAGAATTTGTGTGTTTTTCTATAAGGCTTTAAATTTTCTGCACTTGTCTTTTTCACTATGTGTCTCCAAAGAAATTCAGACCCATTCTTCTCACCATGCTTCTCAGCCATAGGCCTAACGACACACACCTGTCTAGATGATACCAAACATTTCTTGTGGGATGCGGATAAATATTGAGCAACTGTGAACTGTTGGCACAGGACCCTGGTGCTGGAAGCCCAGAGTGCCCCTGCTGTGATCTTCATGGCTAGGACCATCAGCAAGGCTTATTGTGAGCAGTCCCCAAATCTGTGTGTAAGAGAAAAATGAGTATGGACTTCTTTGGAAAGATTCTTTTCTTTCTCTCTATAAGATAACGGTACAATACCAATGAGGGTAAGTTGGCCTGTTCAAGAGGACTACGTATAAAAGATGTAAAATAATCTATTGCATATTTCATTTGTTTTATGTCCCCCAAAACTAGCATAAAGGACAGATATCAAGCAGGCCACTTTTGTCATGGAACTTGTACACATATTGTATCATACCTGATGGAGATTTACATGCTAAAACAATTATGGCTTTAATAAAAAGAAAGAAAAATGACTAACCCTTGAGCCACACTCTGGATTCAATTTTGCTTGTAGCAAAATAGACTTAAAAGATGTGACTGCCATTCTGAAATAGGGAAGTCAACAATGTTGTTGACTTTCACTCAGAAGTAAATGAATTCACACTGGTGTCCCAGATCTGATTTCCTATGGAACCAGGTGTCCTTCTAATCTAAAAAGAGAGCTGCAGCCTCTGTGTCTCTCTGCAGAATTCATCTCTGCATTCAGTTTGGCAGTGTTAACTGAGAGTCTACTCTGTGTCTGGTAGATGTTTGCAATGTCAGTGCAGACAGAAAATCCTTACCATTCATGGAGCCTTCCTTTTAGTCGGGGAGGGAGGACGAATGACAATAATGACCATAACAAATAAAAATGCACTTGAGGTCTTATGTTAGAAGGTGATAAATGTTAGGAGAACCTTTTTTCAAAAGTAGGCCAGAGAGATTAGACATGGGGGACAGATGTGGATTATAATTATTTAAAAATGGTTAGGAGGGACCTCAAGGTGACATCATCTGAGCGGCAGCTTGCATGAGGTGAGCCAGCTTGCATGGATATCAGAGGGAAGAATGTTCCAGGCAGAGGGAACGGCCAGTGCAAAGGCCCTAAAACTGAAGGCAAGGGCAACCCCAGATGAAGATCAGAGACAGGGTGTTAGAATCAGTGGATTGCAGACCCTGGTGAGGTCAAAGGGTTTCTGGAATGTTTGAGGCACTAGAGGGAAAAAGCAGGAGAGACAGGAGGAAGTTCATGAGCCTGACCTCTGCGTGGAAAAAAATGCCAACCTTGGTCAGGATGCAACTATGTTCTGTCCACCTCCTCTGCTTCAGCAGTGAGAAGTCAGGATGTGGAGTTCTGCTTAGTTTGCATTACTGACTGCTTATGCGGAACCCGTAAGGATGACCTATGCATCACCTCTTCCCTTTGGGAGAGAACAGCAAGTCTCTGCAGCCCAACGTACCGGACACTGCCTGTGGCTGAGCACCTCAGGGAAGGCCTGCTGGCTCTGAGCACCAGCTCACTTTGGTGCAAGAACACTGAGCTTCGCCCACAAAAACAAGCAGGTGTGTTCAACCATGATCAGTCCTTGGAGGCTTGAAGTCTTGGAATTCCCCTCAGCTTTCTCTACTTGCTGCTGACCAAAACAAAACAAAATGAAGCCTCAGTGTGAGCAGCCAAAGAGTGAAACTAACATCCATTTTATTTATCAGGAAACCTTCTGAATAAATGCATGACTTTCTGGAGTATGTTTTACTGGTACTTCCAGATCCTGGGTGTGGAAATGATACATTGTAATCACTACTTGTTTTCAAATAAGTCTTTCACTAAAAATGTGATGGGCCCTGCTCCATGCCAAAAAAAAAAAAGTTACTTGCAATTATTACAAATTATTGCAACAAACCATGCTTTTCAAAATAATTTAATCAGGGCATATTTTGAAGACTTGGTCTTGGCTGTTCGTTTGAAATCATGAAATGAGGCTGCTCTGTTGGACTTGGGAACCCCTCAAATTAAGATTCCGCGGTTAATAGCATAGCCTCTCAGCATGTCCCCTGCTGTCGGTTTTGTAAGTTTCAGATGTCCTTTAAATTGCTCTACCAGACTGACAAAACATCATTCCTGGAGAATATTTGCCTTCGTATGCTCAGAAAAGATAGAGCTAGGGAGATCTGAATTTCAAGTATTTTTTTTTAAACCAGATGCTGCAGATTTAGGGGCAATTTTTATTCTTATTTTAAATTCTCTGAGCTTTGGACCTTTCACTGCTTGAAAACGTGCTTCGTGTTTTAACACCGTTTTAGGAGACATTTTCAAATGTCTTGATTTGGTCTCTATTTTAGGTTCTGATATTCCAATATCAAGAGTTTTGTGCCCATTTTTCATGTTAAGTTGTCCCTCTCGTCTTTTGGCATTTGCTCCTGGAGAACAGAAAATTTAAGTTTACGAGTCATCATATCAGCTCCGAGATTGACATTTGGTCACACTAACCTTGGGAAGATTCCTGTGATAACAGAAGTGAAATGGCCTTTATCTTTTTGACAATCCCACTTGATTTTATTTTATTTTATTTTATTTTTTTGGCCTTCAAAGTGGATGTCCAGACTTGAGAATGCTGAGTGAATTTTGACCTTCAAATTTTTAGATCAAATCAGTCCAATACTTTTCCATCAACCGTGGAATTGTTAAAGTATAAAAGGTAATCCTTCTGGCTTATTGAGGCTAAAATGCCATCCATTAAAAATGACTATATATTTACACATATATATAGCAACTGAAAACTATATATTAAGTATGAGTAGAAAAAAAGTTTTAGATTGAGAGTAGTTGCATATGAAAATTAGTCATCTATTTTCCATTTTTTTTTTTAATGAAAGGAAAGATTACTTGGTATATTAAGAAATCTATGAGTTCTTCCTGGGCAATTAGCTCAGAGAGAAAAATTGGTGCTTCATGGATGAGTAGAAGATAAAATTGTAGAGCATTATGGCCAGAAGAGATGATAAAATTATTTAGCCAAAGCCCCTTCCCCAACAGAGGGACAGAAGCGCAGCGGGGCACAGGTAGTACTCTCATCCCAACGCCCTTCATCTGTGGACCCATCCATCCTGCCACTCTCAGACCCAGCATGGAATCCATCCAAACAGGACCAGCATTTGTGAAGAGGCCTCGCTCTGCCTTCATGCTCAAATTGGCTTGCAAATTTTGAGCCCTCTCAGGTCAAAGGCTCTCCGCCATGACCTGTCTTTCCCTGTTGCAATGGCTCTCAAGTCTGCCAGAGCAACTGCACTGTTTGTACTTTACTGCTCGTTACTGGCTGCCCATGTGAGGCTTCTCCCCAGCACTTCCAAGGCCCACATCAACATTCTTTCCAAACCACCATACTGCTGGGAAGAAGTAATACACAGACATGGAATAAACAGATCTTCAACCATCGAAGGCCATCTTTCCAAAGGCCACTCTGGGCTCACCCTCTCCATCCCTGACTCAGGAATTCACAGGGAGACATCATGGCGGCTGCTGCCCCATGGCATGCTCGCTCCCTTGCGCTCCAAGTTTCACCAGTCTTGTACCTTGTAAAGCAGAAACATGTGGTTTTTTTCTCCCTAGAAATCAGAAATCCCATTTTGAACAAAACAGTTCCGAATATTCTATGTCACTTGACATTGTCCCAAAGCAACTATCAGAGTATTTTCATTTCGCCCACACCCCTTACATCTGCTTTTCCAATTAGTTTTCACTTCTAATTTGCCTTCCCCATTGAGTGCAGGTGCTCACACAACAGGTGCTGTCTAATATTGTGCTTGACAGAGCATCTCTTTTCACATGTTAGCCATGAATGTGGAGTTAGGCTTTGCATCTAATTTTGCCTATGACATCCTTGGTAGTTGAACACAGCTGACTCACACTGGGAGGAAGATATTTTTTGGTTCCCATAGTTTCATCCCTCAAGGATTTCTAAAGTACATTCTCACCAAAAGATCTATCCTGGAGGACTCAGGTCTGAGAGCCATCCTAACAGCAGGTATTTCATGGCAGGCTCTCCTAGGCTTGGTAGGCACGTCAAGGAGGTTTTGTTTAACCGCGTCTTTATGAAGATGTGGGCTGAGAGTCAACCTCTCTGCCCTCCCCATTGCGTTCTGTCATCCAATCTTGGTCATAAGTAATACAGAAAGAAGGGGAGATTTGGCAATTAGCCAGCTGATTTGATTAATATAGACAGATTACTAAATGCAAATGGATTTTTTTAGACACTAAGCCACTCTACCTTGCTAGTCATGTACATCTATCAAATTAAGTGGAACAGTGCCAAGACTCTACTTTATGTTGTGCTGTGAAGGTACAGCCCAAGAAATGGACCAGATCCTGGGTTACTTGAGGTCTGCAGCAAGGATCGGATGATGATTTCAATTCTGGATCCATACTTAAAATTAGGGCATCATTTTTGGGGTTTTGTTTTTTTATTTTTATTTTTTGCCCAAAACTTTCACACTGAGTCTTAGTTGTAAAATCCTCATACAAATGGAATTTTATTATTTTGTTTTTGGGGTTTTTTTTTGAGGTAAAGTTTTACTCTGCCACCCAGGCTGGAGTGCAGTGGCATGATCTCGGCTAGAATCACAGGCGTGTGCCACCATGCCTGGCTAATTTTTGTACTTTTTTTTTTAAGTAGAGACGGGGTTTCTCCATGTTGGCCAGGCTGGTCTCGAACTCTTGACCTCAAGTGAACCACCTGCCTTGGCCTCCCAAAGTGCTGGGATAACAGGTGTGAGGCACTGTGCTCCGCCACAAATGGAATTTTAGAGAGTAGCCCAAGAGGTTAATGGAGCTGCTCTGATTAGCCACAGACAAAACTCTCCCTATCCCCACAACTCCCCGAAAAGTGTATTTTGAAATGCACTAATTTACACAAAATTTATCATTGACCAAATCCAGTCATACAGTCTGTGGGGGTCAGGAAAAACAAGAAGGAAAATAGATGGTGCACTCAAACAAGGATAATGGGAGGAGGTTTTATTTACAAAGGGACCTTTTTCGAAGGCATGGTGAAGGGTAGGGAGCCATGAGGGGTAAGCACGGGAATTCAGGCCAACAGCTGCAAGACTGCCATCCAGCTCCCACCTCCAGGCCTGGCGGGAGGAGGGGAGGGAGACATCGCAGAGCCTGGGAGGGGAGAGAGTCGTGCGGAGCAGGCCACTTTGAGAGGACCATCATGCCTTTTTGTTAATGTGGGGGGAACCAGGAAATAAATATCCCAACCCCTTTCCTGCTCCTTCCTTCCAGTCCCCTGCTGGGCTCCTCATTGGCTAAAGCCAACCAGATGCCAGAAGGCATGGAACCCATTGATGCAAACCGGACAGATCAACTTTATGGGGAAGCCAGCAGAGTGACGTGGAGATGGAGCTGGGGAGCCCACTTGTCTTCACTCTGTCTAGTTCTTCCTTCCCAGTTGCGTGGCGTAGTCTCATGAAGATCTATTGGCTTTCAGCACTGAGTTATTTCAATGGCTTCACAAGAGGCCTTCCCACTTCCATCTTTCTATCACACCATTGTGGATGGTATGATAGTATGATGGTATGATTGTCTTCAAACATCATAGAAAGACAAGGTTGCAAGCTCCTTAAGATGTTCTAGTTTGTCTCACTTCTGATACTTGAACCATGCTAGAACATCTCCATGTGTAATTGTAAAGCCAACACTTAAATCCCTCTTCACCCCAACAGAAGCCGTATCAGCATTGCAGAACTTGAGAGTTTGATAGGTCCCCTGATGTTGAGCTAAAATCTACTTCTCAGAACTTCTCTGTATTGTTCTTAGTTACAGAGATGCAGAGAAAAGCCAATTCTCTCTTTCACACAAGAGCCATTTGCTCATACATCCTAATACCCAGATACCCAGATATCCAGCGACCACCTGCCTGGATATTCCTGCCTGCCCTTCTGAGGAGTAAATCCCAGTCATCTCTCTGCATTCTGCAAACAGGCCAACTGATTGCTTATGGCTTTGAATTGATGTTATTGGCACACAGAAAGCCCACAACAGATATTGCTTAATGAATGAATATATCCTGTAAGTGATTTCTTCTCGGTGATACCCTCCTATTTCAATTATTTAGGAAGCTAAGTAATATGCAACTGCAGCCTGAGGCTCCTGCTGTTTTATTAAACACCGGGACTTGTTATCCTGTAGTGTTATTCCGAACTCCAGTGAATAAGCTTTTCTAAATATTTTTCAAGTCAAAGAATAGACTCTTAGAAAGATTGAGGGGGTCTTAGCCAGACTGGGTGGCTTAAGCAACAGAAGTTTATTGTCTCACAGTTCTGGAAGC
This sequence comes from Homo sapiens, assembly GCF_000001405.40. Lineage (NCBI taxonomy): Eukaryota > Metazoa > Chordata > Mammalia > Primates > Hominidae > Homo > Homo sapiens. The sequence continues at coordinate 105,696,969 of NC_000002.12, forward strand.
TAGAAGTCCGAGACCAAGATGGTGACAGAGTTGTTTTCTTCTGAGGCCCCCTGTGCCTTCACATGGTCTTCCCTCTGTGTCTTAATCTCCTCTTCTTATAAGGACACCAGTCACATTGGATTAGGACCCATGCAAAAGACCATGTTGTAACTTAATTACCTCTTTAAAGACCTTAATTCAAACAAGTTTACATTCTAAGTTACTAGGAGTTCCCAGGGCTTCAACATATGAATTTGGCATGGGAAAGGGAACACAATTCAGTCCCTAACAGAGGGTCACCTAACCTGGTCATTGCTCTAGTGCCCTTGCAGGAATGCCTTCCAAAATATCAGTCATAAAAGTAGCTGCCAGACATCTGCTTGGGTCCTTAAAAAGATGAGGAGTTCACCATTTCATAAGACAGCCCTTTCCTTTGCTGGGCAACTTTGAGTGTTGGAGTTTTTGCACATGTTGATCGAAAACAAGGATCTGTATAATATTCCCTTTTAGTTTGGTTCTTACTCCAAGAAGAGCATTGGGAGTTCTTCCCTCTCTTCTACATGTTAGCTCTTCCTTTATGAATAGACTTCACCAGCCCATTTCAGGCAAAAGAAGATGCCTTGATTGGATCCCCAACCGCAGGCACTCAGTTCTGATAATCTGATTCCCCAATTCATAGATGCTCATTACTGAAAAGCCTACAGAGGAGTTTTTCTCATTCAAAAGTGGAGAGACACATTGCTGGACCAGAATTCTCCTCCCAACACTGCATTTTCCCAGGGTGGCTTCAGTTGGAAAAGACCCCCCTCCCACACATCCCTTAAGGAACCATCCATTCCTGAGTCCCACGCAGGAATCCAGAATCGACATGCCCCTGTGTGTTCGCCAACATTTTCCTAGTGCTTTCATGTTGATGAGAGTTGAATCAATCCCATAAACCTTGGTTAATTCCCTTAGCGACTGGAAGAATAATTAACAGACAGGGCTTTGTTCTTCAGAATAGAGTATCTGCAGCAAGCTCAAACTGCACAGGCAGGCCAAGGTCACGGCAGCTGCCAGCAGATCGCCCACACTCCCAGCCATCATTATCAGCCCTGGGGAGAGCCTCTGACCTGGCAGAGCAGCGCCAAGGCTGGCGTGCATGCAGGAAATCTCCTGCTTCCTCCTGGCCTTAACCAACCTACATACCAATATTTTCCCTCACTTACATTAATTTTAATATCATGACAGTTTAAACATGTTAAAAGCATGGCTCTAATCACAATCCCACTCAAAAGCCTCCAGCGGTTTACCATTGCCTATTGAATTTAGGCAAAACTTCCAACCGTGCCTTTAGTGTTGTGCTGGTTATAATCCATTTGCCTCCCTCCACCCCACCCCATACTCATCCCAGGGCTCTAGGAGGCTGATCTCTGAGGGCAGAATTGCCTGGGCTTTCTCCCCTGTGGCTTCTGGTTGGGCTCAACCAACTGGAAGAAGCAACAAGAGATTGATGGACAAGAAGAGAAAGAGGTGGCGTTTGTCTTGCCCACAACTTCCCTGCTCAGTGCTACTGAGCAGTGACTGGATCCCCTCAAGAGCACAGCCCTGCTGGCTGGCCCCTCCTCCAGGGTTCTGCCCCTTCCTTCCCCAGATCTAGGGGTGAGGGGCTGCTCCCTATTGACACTGTCCCGATGCCTTATTATCTCTTGAGTCCCTTAATGCTGACCACAACCTCTGAATCACCAGTCTCTTGACCTGACTTTTCCTTCTAGAACAAAATGAGGATAAATGCCCCCAGGTAAATGAACCCAATCCACTTCTCCATTCTGCTCTCTGATCTTCCTAACTCGTAGCCTGAACCTCAGTTACACTTTTCTACCCGCTGTACCAAAAGTCATAAGTCTTTCAACTCTGACTGCAGAATAGAATAACTTGAAAAAAAATTAAATATCACTGTCTCAACCCCAGCCTCTGAGATTCTGACTCAGTGGACCTGGAGTGGGGAAGAACTGCATGACTGTGCACCAGCAGAGCCCGTGCCAATGGCAAGGATCTGGCTGGGCAGGGGAAGCCCCCAGCACAGGCATGGCTTGTTTAAAGCACTCCAGGTGATTCCCATATACAGCCACGACTGAGGGCCACTGTCCTATAGATCAGGTTCCCTGCCACTTTGCATTAGCACATGATTTGCCTCCTCTGTGGAATACATCCATCTGTCCTGCCCATCAGCATGTCATGCAGTCCCACCTTCAAAGCCCATCTCAGATGAGCCTTTGCATGAAGCTTTTTAAGTCTGCCCTCAACCCCATCCCAACCAGGTCCACATGTCTGTCCTTTGAAGACCAGTGGCTGTGGGATTTTTTTTCCTCTTTACTTTATATGAGAGTTGGTGACCCAGGCAGCTTTTTCACACAACGGTCTCCAATGATGCTATAGGCATGTACAAGTGAAAGACCTGAGTCCTCTCATCCAACTTCCCACTCAGTGCAGGAAGCGCAGGCTAGGGCGATACTAGGTCAAGTGTCTCTGGTGCCACAGACTTGCATCCTGCCACCACTTTTCCAAATTAAAAAGGCTGGAATTGATTCCAGTTCAAATTCTAAACCCAGCCTCCTTACATCTTCCTAGCTATTTAACTTCACATTCCTTTAAAATGTTTTGTAGAAAATCAATTCTATAATCATGTTGTAGAAGAGCAGTGTTTTGTTTAGCTGTTACATCTGAGTATTAATTAATTGTTACAAATCACAATCAATAAGTACAAATGCTGTGTTCAAAACAATTCAACATTTTCTGTGAAAACCTTGATTTACTTAGTTTTCAGGCCGTACTGCAAATACAAAGAATGTGCTTATTATTTTTTAAAAACAGCTTCTTTGGTTCTGGGAGATGAAGCAATATGACAATTTTTCATGCCAGTCCAGGGCTAGATCCTTCCTCAGTTTAATGGTAAATGAGGCAGCCTCATCATCTTTTTTTTTTACCTTCCTTCTCCTCCTCAAACACTTTATATCCGTCTCACCTTGCACTGAAGCCTGTGTGCTAGGCTCTCATGCCATAATCACAATTAACTGTTAACAGTGAGTGTGAACAGTGGCCACCTGCCCCTCATTAAGGTCCTCCATGCTTTTCTCACTGGTAATAAGTATTCATTCTTCATCACATTGAGGACACCAGCAGTTGTAAGATGCACCATTATTTTCTGTGCCACTAAGGAAGAAAAAAAATCGCTGATAAATAAACTGTGGCAAGCTGTCAACTGGAAGGTGTTGTTGATTGCAGTACACATCACAACGTCAGAGATGTTACTATAGGAAAATATGCATGTGTTGGAATCTATGAAATACAGCATTCCACACCGCTATTGCCTCCTTCCTGTGAGCTCCACAGTGATCCTATTTCTGCCTCCAATTATTGTCTAAAGTGGATTCTGGACACCACAATCCTTAACTGTAGCTGCATCACCATCTTCCTCCTCTTATATCTGTAATATCTCATTAGGTTACCTTGCATCCAAAGAGAGATCTCTATTTGGATCTCTCCAAGGGGTAAATTTTCATTGACATGAGAAGCTTATCTTGTATGGTTACAGCATAGTCAAGGGACTAGAAGACATTGTCTTTGAAATAGTCAAGTTCATTGGCAACATGTTTCAGTCCTGGGGGAGTTCTGAAATACTCAATGACTTTTGGGAGAGTAGCTAAAGTTATTTACTATGACAGAAATGTTCATTACATTATTACTATTTTGAAATGTCACAAATTATTTTTTAGTTGAAAAAAGAGTAACATATAAAAGTGCATATTTATTTTCATGTTACCCACAAAGCTGAAATGATTTTTTAATGTTTTTATCTAAACTTTTTTTTTTTTTTGAGACAGAGTTTTGCTCTGTCACCCAGGCTGGAGTGCAGTGGCCCAATCTCAGCTCACTGCAGCCTCTACCTCCCAGGTTCAAGCAATTCTCATACCTCAGCCTCCCGAGTAGCTGGGATTACAGGCATGAACCACCATGCCCGGCTTGTATTTTTGGTAGAGACGGGGTTTTGCCATGTTGGTCAGCCTGTTCTCGAACTCAGCCTCCCAAAGTGCTGGGATTACAGATGTGAGCCACCTATGCAGAATATAATCGAAAATCTATTTTTTCAATGCCTGCAATTTTTTTTCTTATAAGACTTCCCACAGGTGCTAAAATAGTCAGAGACATTTAAAAAATACTGAGGACACAGGAATGTGTTTTACGTGATTTGACATGGAGGGGCGATTCCTAAAAATAGAACTAGATGCCTATTCTAAGCAGCATGCTGCATCAGATGCTGCAAGCAGGCTTCAGTGCTGAGGCCATCACTTGGCAGCAAATTTAGATTTCTCTTTCCAAACTTAGGTCATGTTCTCTTTTGATGTTTATTATTTTTAAACTGTTTAATTTGCCCTCTACAGTGCTAATTTCTGGTAGAAGAAAAGTTTGAGAACTTGCAAATTAAGTACTTTTTTTTCTTGCAGAAGATACCAGTGAGATAGTCTACATTGTGGCTAGGAGTTGGAGACCTGGATTCCGTTCTAAACTCTTCCGATTACAAGCTGTGTACCACTGAGAAAGTTGCTATGAGAACCTCAGTTTCCTCATCTATGTAATGGTGAAAATAATAACTATTTCATTTGGTTGTGGTGGTCATAAAATGGGTTATATAATCAGTAACATCTGTCAACATCTTAAATGCACCTTATCTTTGGTTCAGTAATTCCAAATGTAGGAATTTGTATTACAGATATATTGGCACAATTGCACAAATGTTATTTATGGAAAGATTTGATATGCTTCTGAATGTGAAAAAAAAACAGAAAGAGATTAAAAGGCCACCTATAATGTGGGGAAAATCTGGAAAAATGATATTTAATACATGAAAGCTCTTAAAATTAATTCAAGAAAAAATATCATATTAGAAAAATGGGCAAAGAATATAAGTATTTAGATAATTAAAGAAGAAATTTAGTTGATTGCTGTGTTAATATTTACCAGGAATAAACAAACACGCACAAAAAATATAAAATAACTATATACCATTTGTTCATTATAAAATGAGCAAGATTTATAGAGATAATAATAGTCAGCATTTGCATGTGGAACTAGATTTCTCATGCTCTGTTGATGGGGCTATAACCTGCATAAGCATTCTGTATCATATTTTAACAATATGTAAACATCTTAACTTTGTTTTCCCCCTGGTAAAATAGTTCCTCTTCTAGGAATTTGTCTGAGGAAATAAATACATATGTACTCAGAGAAGCACGTACTTCAAAACAGCATTGACAATAGAAGATAAAAAGAAACAAGTGAAATGTGTAATAAGAAATTGGTTCAGAAAGGATTATGTCAATCATGAAAATACACAAAAGTACAAAACTCACTGTTAGAGCAGATACAGAAATGAGAAAGAGAAAGGAGTCAAATGTTATCACTATAAAAAAACTAACAATTGTAAGGTAGGTAATAAAAGAGAAAGAAACAAAGGATAAACAAAATAATCAGAAAAACAATTAACAAAATGACAGGAGTAAGTCCTCACTTGTCTATATGTAAACGGTTTAAATTCCCAAATTAAAAGATGTTAGACTACTGAATGGATTAAGAAAAAAAAGACCCAACTATATGCTGACCAGAAGAAACTCACTTCACCTATAAAGACACACAGAGACTGATAGTGAAGTGATGGAAAAAAATATTCCATGCAAATGGAAACCAAAGCATGCAGGAGAAGCTATATTTATATCAGACAAAATAGACTAAGTAAAACAACAACAACATAAAAAGAGACAACAAAGGTTATTATATAATGATAAAAAAATAAATTCAGCAAGAGGATATGACAATTGTAAATATATATGCACCCAACGCCAGAGCACCCAGATATATAAAACAAATATTATTAGAGCTAGAGAGAGAGAGAGAGAGAGAGAGAAAGATCCCAATACAATAATCGCTGGGGACTTCAACATCCCACTTTCAGCATTGGACAGGTCATCTGGACAGAAAACCAACACAGAATTATCAGATTTAATCTGTCCTATAGGCCAAATGGACCTAACAGACAATTACAGAATAGTTCATTTGGCAGCTGCAGAATACATTTTCTCAAAAGCACATGGAACACTCTCCATGTTAGACCACATGTTGTCCACAAATCAAGTATCAACAAATTTTAACATATTGAAATCATATCAAGTATCTTTACAGATCACAACAGATGAAACTAGAAATCAATAAGAAAATGAACTTAGGAAACTGTCTAAAAATATGGAAATTAAACAACATAATCCTGAACAACCAATGGATCAGTGAAGAAATTAAGAAGGAAATAAAAAATTTATTGAAACAAATGAAAATATGAACACAACATATCAAAACCAATAGGATATAGCACAATCAGTTCTAAAAGGAAAGCTTATAGCAATAAACACATCAAAAAAATAGAAACATTTCAAATAAACAGCCTAATGTGGTACCTCAGGGAAATAGGAAAGAAAGAACAAACCAAAGTGAAAATTAGTAGAAGGAAAGAAAGGAACAGGGCAAAACTAAATGAAATAGAGACCCCAAAATAACTACAAAAGATCAATGAAATAAAAAGTCTGGTTTTTAAAAAGAAAAACAAAATTTTAAAAATCATTAGATAGACTAAGAAAAGGAGACCGAAGATACAAATAAATAAAATCAGAACTGAAAAATGAAACATTACAACAGATACTGCAAAAATGCAAAGTATCATTAGAAGCAATTATGAACAACTATATATACCAACAAATTCCAAAACCTAGAGGAAATGGACAAAATCCTGGACACCTGTAACCTACCAAGATTGAACCAAGAAGAAATAAAAAACCTGAAGAGACCAGTAATTAGTTACAAGATTGAATCAGTAATAAAAAGTCCTCCCAACAAAGAAAAGCCCAGGACCAGATGGCTTCACTGATGAATTCTACCAAACTTTGAAAGAAAAACGAACACTTCTCAGGTGTTAAAGAAGAAACAATTCTTCTTCAACTATTCCAAAAAATGGAAGATGAAGGAATTCTTTCAAACTCATTCTATGAGTCCAACAATACCCTGATACCAAAACCAGAGAAGGACACAACAAAAAAAAGGAAATACAGGCCAATATCCCTGATGAGCATAGATGCAGAAATTCTCAACAAAACACCAGCAAACCAAATGCAATAACACTTTAAAAAGATAATACATCATGATCAAGTGAGATTTATCCTAGGGATGCAAAGATGGTTCAATACAAGCAAATTAATACATATATTACATTAAAATAACAGAATGAAGAAGAAAACATAAAATTATGAAAACATAAAATTATCTCAGTAGATGCAGAAGAAAATTGATAACATTCAACATCCCTTCATGGTAAAAACTCTCAACAAATTATTCTTTTAGGGAGCATACCTCAACATGATAAAGGCCATATATGACAAAGCCTTTCCTCTAAGCACTAAACAAGGATGTCCACTTTCACCATTCTCATTCAACATAGTACTGCTAGTCCTAACTAGAGCAACCAGATAACAGAAAGACATAAAAAGCCTCCAAATTGGAAAAGAGAAAGTCAAATTGTCCCTGTTTGCAGATGGCATGATCTTATATATACAAAAACCTAAAGACTCCACCAAAAAAGAAAAAAACCTCATAAGAACTGATAAATGAATTCAGTAAGGTTGCAGGACATGACATCAACACGCAAAAGTCAGTAGTATCTCTATATGCTAACTGAACTATCTGAAAAAAATATCAAGAAAACAATCCCATTTACAATAGCTACAAAACATAAGACACCTAGGAATAAATTTAACCAAAGTGATGAAAGACCTCTATACTGAAAACTATAAAACACTGATGAAATGAATTGAAGAGGATAAAAAGAAATGAAAAGGTATTCCATGCTCATGGATTGGAAGAATTAATATCAATAAAATGACCATACTACCCAAAGCAATGTACAGATTTAATATGATCTCTATTAAAATATCAATTATATTCCTCACAGAAATAGAAAAAACAATCCTAAAATTTGTGTGGAACCTCAAAAGACCTTGAATAGCCAAAGCAATCCTGAGCCAAAAACAAAACAAAGCAAAAAAACAAATAACAAAGCTGAAGGCATCACACTACCTGACTTCAAAATGTACCACAAAGTTATAGTAACCAAAACAGCATGGTATTGATATAAAATCAGACACATAGACTAATGGAAAAGAATAGAGAACCCAGAAAAGAGCCACATATTTACAGCCAACTTATTTTTGACAAAAGTGCCATGAACATTGGGAAAAGGACAGCCTCTTCAATAAATGGAGTAGGGAAACCTGATATTCATGGAGAAACCTGATATTCATTCCTATTTCTCACCATATTAAAAAAATCAACTCAAAATACATTAAAGACATAAACATAAGACCTCAAACTATAAAACTACTAGAAAAAAATATGGGAAATGCTTCAGGACTTGGTCTAGGCAAAGATTTCATAGCTAGGACCTCAAAAGCACAGGCAACAAAAACAAAAGTAAATAAATGAGACTGTATAAACTAAGCCACTTCTGCATAGCAAAGGAAACACTCAGCAGTGAGAAGACAGCCCGTAATATAGGAGAAAATAATTACAAACTATTCATCTGACAAGAAATGAATATCTAGAATATTCAAGGAACTCAATTCAGCACCAGAAAAGAAAAATCCCATTAAAAAGTAGGCAAAAGTTTTGAATAGAAATTTCTCACAAGAAGACTACAATTGACCAACAGGCATATAAAAAATATTCCACATCACTGATCATCAGGGAAATGCAAATCAAAACCACAATGAGATATCATCTCACTCCAGTTAAAATGGCTACTATCAAAAAGATAAAAAAATAAGGCCGGGCATGGTGGCTCATGCCTGTAATCCCAGCACTTTGGGAGGATGAGGCGGCTGGATCACCTGAGGTTCGGGAGCTTGAGACCAGCATGACCAACATGAATAAACCCCATCTCTACTAAAAATACAAAATCAGCTGGGCATGGTGGTGCATGCCTGTAATCCCAGCTACTTGGGAGGCTGAGGCAGGAGAATCGCTTGAACCCGGGAGGCGGAGGTTGTGGTGAGCCAAGATCGCACCATTGCACTCCAGCTTGGGCAACAAGAGTGAAACTCCATCTAAAAAAATAAATAAATAATAAAAATAAAAAAGATAAAAAATAACAAATGCTGGTGAGAATGCACAAAAAACTCATCAACAGATGAATAAAGAAAATGTGGTCCATGTACACAGAGCAATACTATTCAGCTACAACAATGAATGAAATCCTGTCATTTGCAGCAATGTGGATGGAACTGAATGTTAAGTGAAATAAGCCAGACACGGAAAGACAAATATCACATGTTCTGACTCATATATGGGAGTTTAAAAAGTTAATCTCATAGAGGTGGAGAGTAGAATGATAGTTTTCAGGGACTAGGGAAAGGTGGGGGAGGATGAAGAGAGGTTGGCAAATGGGTACAAACATATGGTTAGATAGAAGGAATGAGTTTTAATGTTCAATAGCAGAGTAGGGTGACTATGGTTAACAACAGCGTATTGTATATTTCAAAATAGGAGAGAATGTTTAAAATGTTATCAACACAAAGAAATGATAAATGGTTGAGGCTATTGATATCCTACTCTGATCACTACACATCATATGCATATATTAAACTGTCAGATGTACCCCATAAGTATGTGCAATTAGTATGTATCAATAAAAAATTACAATAATTCCAATTTTTAAAAAAGCAATTAGTTCAATAGATTATATTGAAACACTATTCAGCCACTTAAAATGATGCCACAGAAAGTACTTGTTGATGAGAAAATATGTCATAATTTATTCATGAAAAAAAGAGGAGGAGTTTCCAAATCTGTGCATGGGCATAGCCCTCCCTGCCCCAGTGCCTTTGCCCAGGCTGTTTGCTTCAACTGGGAGTAGTCTTTCCCCTCATCTCTCATCGTTACTGTGACTCTTTGAGATCTGAGCTCGCTCCCTGAAATCCAGGCTACGAAAGCTTCCTATTTCACATGCTTGCTGCATTCTGTATGTCTTCTTGGAGGCATGTTACATAATAGTTATTCAATAATCATTTCATCAATTGGTTTTGATGAGTGACTCCTTCCGGAGCACAAGCTCTAGCAGGGAAGACAGAAGCTGGCTCCGTTTCTCTCTGGAGTAGCCCAGTGTCCACAGTTTAGCAGGCATGGAGGAGATGAACATTAACATGATTCATTCCAGGGAGGAAAAATCTACGTGTGTAACAAGAAAATACTTGGAAATATCACTCTGTGTTTTCTCTCACAAAGTTTTCATTTTTTTTCTGTGCTATTCTTGCACATCTTTTGTTTAATTCATTAGTGGGTATGTTCTTTTTTTTACTATTTTAGGTAATATCTTCTTTCTTAAATTATATTTTCTGTTTGTTGTTATTGTTATATAGCACTGAAATCTTTTAAAATATAGAACTTTTATTTGGCAACTTGATGAACACTCTTTATTATGTAGACTTCGATATTATATGTCAAGAATGACATTTTTTTCTTTCAAATCCTTATACTTGGTATTTGTTTTTCTTGTTGCGTTGGCTAGGACTTCTAGTACAATGTGGATTACAAAAAGTGAGAGTGAACATTCTTGCTTCTTCCTGATTTTGAAGGAATATTTATATTATTTCATCACTAAGTATAATTTTTGCTATAGGTTTTTGATACCTATACTTTATCACTTATGCTAAGAGTTTATATAATAATTAGGTGTTGAGTTATAATATATGCTTTTGCAGTCACATATTAAAATGATCTCTGGTTTTTTCTTAATCTGTTAATATAGTAAAATAATAGAATCTACGTTTATGAGTTTGGCCTATATTTCTTCATTCTTGTACTTTTCCTGTCAAATTTTAGGGTCAATGTTATGCTCACCTCAAATATGAGCTGGGAGTGATCCTTTATCTTCAGTTTTCAGAAAAAGTTTGCATAAGATTAGGATTCCTTGAATACATGGTGGAACCTACATGTAAAACCATATGGGATTGGTGTTCATTTTGTGGGGGGATTTTAAACTACTGATTCAATTTCCTTAACAAGACATTCCAGTTTTCTATTTCTTTTTTGTCAGTTTTTGTGATTTTATGTTTTATTGCTTTTCTTTTTTCTTTATTATATTTTATGAGTTCTTTTCAGAATATTCATGTGGGAAAGGAAGAGTGGTGTGAACTAGCAAAATTTGTATCTTAATCAAAATGAAGGTCTTTATAATGCACAATTGATTGTGTGTGTGAGAGAGAGAGAGAACAGAGAGAGAAAGAGAGACACACGTGGTGGGGGAAAGCAGGTGTTATTGTAATCTTTACTTTTTCAGCCCACGGAAATCAGCAACTCTAGAGCTAGTCACAATTCAGACTCTGTGTCCTTTATCCAGCCTTACTAACAGCCTGCTTCCTACAAGGATGGCATGTTCATATGCTCTCTCCATCACTGTCTTCATCTGGGACACAGGCAGGCCCTGTGAGGAGCTGTCAGTTTCCCTCCCGCACTTACACACTGTGGAGACTCACGCTCTGCTAACCTTGCCTGAGGCATCGTGTCTCTGTGTCTTCTCCCACTCCTGATTCATCTTCAATGCACTTTTTAGGTCTTGATTATAAATTTTAAGTGGGATTTACTGATGTTGTCTACTTTCTTTTAAAAAGTGTCTTATATCAGTTCTCCTATTGTTTGGGAGATTTGCAAGGGGAGAATGGAGTACAAGGGGAGAATGGAGTACAAATTCAGAACATCACCTTAAAACTGTATGTCACAGTCTGTGTTCTTAAAAAAAAAATCTTGCATCCAAATAGTATGCCTTGGTCTTGGCACTCCTTTCATACACTATTTGCCCCAATATTTGTGACCAGTTCTCCTTTTGCACTACTCTGTCATTACAAGTACTGTGATGAGGTTTCTATTTGCCTTCTCACATTGCCTGTCCCTCTGAGAAGTACTAAATCACATAATAAATTCCTTCAACCTTTCCTACTTGCCTTCTTTATTTACAAACAAACATTGAAGCATCTGCTGTGCTGATGAATCCTTCCTTTTCAACAGTTCAGATGCTAAAATTTGACCAAAGATGACAAGGGGAAATCACACCAGTGTTTTTCCCCATGAAGAGTACTAAGAAATGCAAAAGGCTTGAATCCTAACCATCTGGTTTCAAATTCTATTTCCTCCACTTACAGCCGTGGGATCTCCTTTAGGTCCTTTATAAAAAGTTTTCTGAGCCTGAATTTACACAGTTGTAATGTAAGGGTAGCAATGATGCAGATTTTTTTTTTTTTTTTGAGAGTCTTGCTCTGTTGACCAGGCTGCAGTGCAGTGGCACAATTTCGGCTCACTGCAACCTCCACCTCCTGGGTTCAAGCGATTCTCCTGTCTCAGCCTCCCGTGTAGCTGGGATTACAGGCGAGTGCCACCATGCCCGACTAATTTTTGTATTTTTAGTAGAAACAGGGTTTCGCCATGTTGGCCAGGCTGGTCTCGGACTTCTGACCTCAGATGATCCGCCTGCGTTGGCCTCCAAAAGTGCTGGAATTACAGGCGTGAGCCACCGCGCCCTGCCAGAAATGTGATGAGGATTAAGTGAGGAAAGTCTGTACAGCGTCTAGCACGTAGGTGCTCAGAAACGTTCCCCTTCTTTTGTGTTGTCACACCTCAGTAATTCTGTAATACATTCTAAAGGACAGCCTTACGCTGTCCTTTCCCTAGCTATGGAGTTTAGCATCTCCCTGTGCCTTCATGTGCACCCAGATATGAATGAGTTAGCAAGAGCACCAAGGAAAGGAAAGCCCGAGACCCGGACATGCGAAAGGAAAAGCGCAGCTGAGAAGCAGGGGAGGGATTCTGAAGTTCCCACCGCCTCTGCCCAGGAGCTCATTCTGCCTGAAGGGACACAGGGGAACGTAGGGAGCAGACCCTTCTTCTGCAATCTTTGCAAAATGAATTTATCAGTAAAAGTCATTTTATAGAACAGCCAAAGACTCCCCACAGATTCAATTATATGGAATAGAATCTGCTGGTGAATGTAAGAAAAGTGTTGCCTGAACTGCGAAGGGAAAATAAATGATTTAATTCCCACCACCTCTCAACAGCTACCTTCTGTTTTAGAGACACTGGTAAAACTTCTGGGGCTCTTACTTGACATACCTACATCGTATTATAGGCCTATTGGTTTTATCAGAATAATATGCTTTCCTCACATAAGTTATTTCTTTCTGTTACTTGCTTGCAGTACAGATTTAAAGGGGCATTCAGGCAGCCTCCAGATGCCATGATGGATTAACTCTCATGTTACACAGTAATGTAGAAGCTTCTCTTCATTCTCAGACTTTATCTGACAATCACTCCTGTATCCCCACCCGCAGCTGAACTTAACCTGAGTTGTTTTGTTTTGCTTGTTATTGTAGTGAAATATACATAACATAAAATTTGCCATCTTAACCATTGTTAACTCTCCAGTTTTATGGCATTAAGTGCATTCAAATTACTGTGAAACCATCACCACCATCAATCTCCAGAACTTTCTCATTTTTCCCTACTGAAACCATACACGTTCAACCCTAACTCTCCATCCCTCCTCCCCGCAGCCCCTGGCAGCTACCATTCTACTCTCTGTCTCTATGAATCTGACTGTCCTAGGGACCTCATATAGGTGGAATCATACCTCTTATTTGTTATCCTGTGACTGGATTATTTCACTTAGCGCAATGTCCTCAAGGTTCATCCAGGTTGTAGCCTGTGTCAGAATCTCCTTCCTCTTTAAGACTGAATATTTCATTATGGGTATAGACCAATGGACATTTGGGCTGTTTCCAGTCTTTGGCTACTGTGAACAGCCTGCTATGAAACATCACCTGACAAAAGTTCACTGGGTGACTGGTGTTTAACTACATGGAACATGGATGTGATTGAGCTCAGAGGACCACTAGGAAGAGATTCAGCTGTTTCTGAGCCTCTGTTCTTAGCCACTGCATTGACTCATCACTGGTCTGTTCCCAGTTTTCTTTTGGAAATTATTATAGGAGGAAATTATCTGGGGGAGGCTTAATGGAGGTCTACCATATAGTTGTGTACAACACTATCAAATAGCAGAATCAGCTAGAATTCACCGCAGAGGCATTGTCACGTTTGTCACCCAGGAGATACTGAGAACATTCAGACCAAACTTTAACAGCTAACATATTGGATATGAAATTCTCAGTGTGTCCTACCTCGATTCTGGCCATTTACCATTGTGGTTTAGGTTTATATTCTCTTTTAAAAGACAAAAATCAATTACAAAACTATAGCCTCCCATGTTATGGTCTGGTCAAATAGTACCCAAAGCCAAAAAGCAATATTAATATGAATCAGAATCCAAATGTTCCAGAAAGAGAGTCTTGTTTTTGGGGGCATTATAGAGATATGTTTAAAAGGTTGGTGATTTGGACTTTATTATATGCAATCAAGGCTTATGTGGAGAGCAAAGTCTGGGGTAGCAGAGATTTTATTAGCTAATATTTGTGTAATCTAGGCAGACTTTGTATCCTTGCAACAACTCTGTCAGGTGATTTTTATTATCTAAATCTTACAGATAAAGAATCAGACACTCCTAGTGATTAAGTGATTTCTCTAGTTTACACAGCTGGTAATTGGCAGGGCTGGGATTCTAGCCCAGGTTTCTCTGATTCCAAAGCCAATTTCTTTCCCACCTTTAATCAAGTGCTACTGGATTTACAAAAGGTAAAAGAAATTCACAGTCTATGCTTACATGGACCAGTGGTTCTCAAAGTGTGGCCTGTGGGCCAGCAGCATCAGCATCTCCAAGGAATTACCAAAAAAGCAAATTCTCAGGCTTCGCCCCAGCATTTTGATTTAGACATGCAGGGGCTTGGCCCAGCATCTGTCTTTGGCTTTTTGGGGTGTGTGTGTGTGTGTGTGTGTGTGTGTGTGTGTGTGTCTGAGACAGAGTTTTGCTGGAGTGTGGTGGCTGGAGTGTCGTGGAGTGTGGCTGGAGTATGGTGGCTCAATCACAGTTTACTGAAGCCTTGACCTCCCAGGCTTAATTGATCCTCCCACCTCAGCCTTCCAAGTAGCTAGGACTTCAGGTGCACACCACCATACCAGCTCATTTTTATGTATTTTGTAGAGATGGTGTTTCACCAAGTTGCCCAGGCTGCTCTCCAACTCCTGGGCTCAAGTGATTCACCCACCTCAACCTCCCAAAGTGGTGGGATTATAGGCATGAGCCACCATGTCCAGCCCAGCATCTGCCTCTAATAAGCACCCCACCCCCCTGGGGGTTCCAGTGGCCACCAAGTGTGAAAGGCCCTGGAGAGATGATTCCCCTGTCAAGGGGGAGCAGTGAGTCATCTGCTGTTCACTGCATTTGGGTACCAAGCAGAGCAGATGGGAATGGCAGGGAGTGCAACACAGGTAGTGTGATACAAATGCTGGCCAGACAGTATTTTGATCCCAAAGAATTTTAGCTCATTTAAGATTGCATTGCGAGTTTCACACGGGTAAGAGTGTTAACGCTGATCTAAATTTTAATTTAGCCAATTTTCCTCCTCCTCCTTCCCCACCCCAGCTGTCACTTCCTGCAGCGAGTTACCTCAGGCATCTGGCATTTATTGAATAGATACCACCTTCCATGTTTGAGGAATGCCAGTTTCATCAGCAAACACTCTCCTGTGGTCTTTTCCTGTGTGTACTCATGCTGGAATTTCTGGACACAGATTTTGCTTTTGTTCATGCACAGAGCTTAAGAGGGATCCCTAGCCAAGGAGACAATGCATAGGGACTACTGATAGAGCCATCAGATTCCTGCTGTTCGTTGACATTCTCTTGAGCATCAGAAACAATAAGATAGAGAAGTTCAAATGTTTGAACAAGATTCAGAGGCAATTTTTAGTGGGTCAGATGTCAACAGTGGTAAAAGAGATGAATATGGGGTCTTGATATTTCAAAACCATACAGACCTGAGGAGGTCTTTACAGAAATGCACTGAAATTTAACACCTTCCAGCAGAGCAGGAGCTGACTTTGACATCCTGACATGCCTCTGTTGAATGATTCAAGGTATTGACTCACCCATGCTGCTTGAGCAAAGTGGCCAGATGTGAGCTGGCGAGGTGCTTGGCAGAGACCGTAAATGATGAAATTGGAAGGAAAGCATTTTCTGGGGTCACTCCGTAGGGCTGGGGCTCAACAGAACAGAGGAGAGGACCTTTGGATACACAATACTTGTCCTGACAATCCTGCTGCAAAGCTAGCTTCCAGGAATGCTTTATTTCAGTTGTGCCATGTGTTTGCAATGTCACTGTGAGTCTAATAGTCAAACAGGAAGGGTGAAAATAGCTGTGTTACAGTCACAGTGAATTAAGATCTTTGCATGTGCCTAGTCAACAGGGCTGACTCAGCAGAGGCTACTTGTATATTTAGGAACTGGGTGTCCTTTGATAGGGACTTTCACATCCACAAAGACAGAGGTAATATGAACGGATGGGCATTCGCAGGAGGGTAGCATGGTGCAGTAGGGAGAGCCCGGGCAGCCTCTCCAAAACCTGTCTCTCCTGGTTATAGACTGTGCCATGTCAGGGTCCAAGCACCTCACCAGCTCACATCTGGCCATTTTGCTCAAGTCTCCCTGATTTCTTCCTCACTGTTAGAGGGGGATGTTCACCTCCATTCTCACCTCCTCGGACTGTCAGGTAAATAGACACAAGGTGCCGAGGCTCCCAGCTTGCATTCTGTAACTATCAGTTGTCATCATACAAACATTCAGCCCGGTTATTTGAGAACCAGGTGAGTGTTAAGCATCTCTGATATCAACAAAATCTTTTACAAACCACCTCAGGGTATGGATTTCTTGTATCAATAACACGTCAAATAGTATATAATATTCCAACGATAAGAAGGGAAATTAATATTTACTGTGAGCATAATGGGTCAGGCACACCTGTGTTCCAAATGCTCAAAGTCCTTGCACACATGCACAAGCCCGATGACAGTTTGTATTACCCCTAGTTTTAAAATAAAGACACAGAGGGCCAAATATTAAGAAATGTGTCTTGGGTCACAGAGGGCAAGAATTTGAAGCCAGGACGACTCATCCTAGACACCCTGGAGTTCTGTCACACTCCCTTTGACATGTTCTCATGCACATTTTCCCCCAGACCCACCTACCACCCTGGGTCCCAACCAGCCACCAGACAGGTAAACAAGTTGGGGCTCAGACTTCTCTTTTTACCATATGCTCAGAAACAAATCCGTCACAACCTCTTAAGCTCTGCTTGGGGGAATGGACCTTTCTGTCTAAGAGCTCAAGGTTTCATTTTGCAGAAAACACACAACTATCATTTTCGATTCGTTTATGAGTTGGCTCATCTCCAAATGCCATCAGAACGTTAAATCCCCAGCATTTCAGTGGAGGTCGAAGGAAGACAATCCCAGCGGTACTTTCATTATAACACAAATCTCTAGCAGGTGTATGTCAACTAAAAAGCCAACAGCCAGGTCAGACTGTTACAATCAAGCTCTCTGCAGTTAATTTGGAAGGAAAGAAAAATAATGTACTTTCAATAGGTAAATATGATGTTTGAACAATGTAACTCAACTACAGAATTCCTCAAAAATGCAGAAGACAATCAGAAGCCCATACCATGGCACAGCTTCTATCATTTGGTGATATTTACCTTTGTGTGTCTTCAGTCCTTTCATTGACAAACATGTAAGAAGATGAGGGAGGTGGCACTTGGCATTAGGGAAGCCTGACAGCCTGAAAGAAGGCTGCCAATGTGGGGGACACCCAGGCTATTTAGAGGAAATGGGGGAGATGGGTCTGGGTGAGTTGCAGAGGGTACAATGGGGACAGTGGCCTAGGTGGAGCTGGAAAGGAGCTCAGGGAAAAGGAGTAGTGTTCACTCTGCCAGCCCATTTGATGCACCGTAGACACAGCACCCAGGGTACAGACTCATCTGGACCTTTGAGACCCAAAACTGTAGGACTGTCTCTAAAATAAAAGGAAAACTGCAATGGAAGCAAAGAACGTAACGTAATGCTAAGGAGTCAATAATAACCCAGGCCTTCAATAGTTAAATATTGATATGAATATTTCTTTAAAATGCAGCATGGCTGAGACGGGCAGATCACGAGGTCAGGAGATGAAGCCCATCCTGGCTGACAAGGTGAAACCCCATCTCTACTAAAAATACAAAAAAAATCAGCCAGGTGTGGTGGTGAGCGCCTGTAGTCCCAGCTATTCGGGAGGCTGAGGCAGGAGAATGGCGTGAACCCGGGAGGTGGAGCTTGCAGTGAGCCAAGATAGCGCCACTGCACTCCAGCCTGGGCAACAGAGCGAGACTCCATCTCAAAAAAAAAAAAAAATGCAGCATGGCTGTGTCTCATCCACCTGTCTACTCAACATCACCACTTGGAGGTCTGGTAGAAATCTAAACTTCACACATCCACCGCAGTTGGTGACAATTACGTCCTTCTAGTTGCTCAAGCCAAAGTGCTTGGAGTCATCCTGGCTTTCTTTTCTCCACTCACATATATCATTAGGTATATGTAGATCTACCTTCAAAGACAGTCGAAATCCAATCATTTCTTACCACCCTAGTGTGAACCACTACCTTTCACCTAGATGTCTGGAAGAGTCCCCAAATTGGTCTCCATGCTTCCACCATTGCCTGCTTGGTGCCATCCTTAGCCCAGGAGAGGAGCTCTTCCAAAACCCAAGTCAGAGCCCCTAAGCTGCTCAGATCCTGCAATGCTGCCCATCTGCCTTGGATCAGAGCCTCGATGTGCCTGCATGACCTGGCCTCATCTGCCACTATGCCCCGGCCCACTCAACCCACTCCAGCCACAGTGGCCCACTGTGGTTCTTCCACACGGCAGGCACAATCCCACCTTGGAGTTCTGCTCTGGCTGTTCCCTCAATCTGGAGCGCTTTTCTCTCAAATACTCACTTAGCTAACTCCATCACTCCCCTTAAGTCTTTCTTCCAATCTCCCCTTCTCAATGAGTTCCTATTCTGATTGTTCTATCTGATATAATGACCTGCTCCACCCCCCATCCAACTGCCCTGAAGTGCCTTCTAGCCTACTGCACAGTTTTTTGACTTGTGTTTATTGTTTGCCTCCCACCGCCCCATCCCAACTCAAGCATAAGCTCTGTGAGATCAGAAATCTTGATTTTGTTCAGTGAAGTAGCCCATGCCTCTGGAACTATTCCTGGCTGATGGTTAGCACTCGGTAAATATTTGTTGGATAAACAGTGAGCAAATTAATTTGGCAGAAGTGTGGAAGATTTATTGGAAAAGGATAAGGCGTATACAGGTAGAGATAGGTACCTGAAATTCAAGATCATGCTGAAAAGACAGAACTGGGCTGAAAATATGGAGTGGACAAAGTAGGCATGGAGAGTGTGACAGCAAAATTAATGTATGTGCAGTGTTGAATCTTGCTTTTTCCACTTAAAAAAAAATCAATCTTTTTGCTATTTGTTGCAGTTTTCATAAGCATTATTTTAAATGACTGAATTCCCCTAAATGGATACATAATAACCATTTGTCTTTCGTTGGGCATCTTGATTCTAATTTTTCATTATTATTAACGGTATTGTTATGAATGTCTTCATGCATATAACCTTTGCTATATTTTGGATCATTTCATTATAATAGATTGACAAAGGCTAGAAAAAAATAGTTTTATGGGTCTCCTGAAGGGTTATACCCAACTTCACCATTTCAACCTTGTTGGAACATATGCATTACACCATATTATTATCAACATTGCCAATTAATATATGGAAATGTTGGCATGGTGTTTTCAATATGTATTTCCTTTTCTGTATGATTTTTATTTGTATCCTTTCCTCATTTATTTACTCGAAGCTTACTGTTTTTGTTTTATCAGTTCATATTAATTATTTGCCAATCTGAGAGGTTAAAATGCTATTTTAATTTGTCATTTCTTATTAAGAATAAATTAATGTTCTGGTATATGCTTAAGAGCTATTCCTGTTTCCTTTCCTATGAACTGTCTGTTTCTTTTGTCTGTGGCTTCTGTTTTTTATATTCAATTATTAATTCCATTTCATAATTACTTTGCTATACGATGCTAAGAGTTGTTAAGGGAGGAGGTCAGGGCAGGATAGGAGGCTCTGTTCCATAAGATCATCCAGGGATCCAAGCCCCTTCCCTCTAACTGCTCTGTCATCTCCCAGATTTTTGTCCTCATCGTCATGGCCACTGCTGGTTTGCCACTGGCAAGTCTGAATTCTAGGTGCTCTGCCATGGGAAGGCAGAAAGAATGAAGACCATGCAGTTTCCTTTTTAAGAAAGTACCCAGGAAGTTGCACTGTTTACCTACCTGCCAGAAAGCAGGAGGAATGCAGCTGGGCATTGAGGTGCCCTACTAAAACCCAGAGGTTTATTGTTAAAGAGGAATAGGGGAATGAATACTGGGGAAATTACAAGTCATTGCTATAAGATGTAAGTGAATTTTTCCCGGCAAAGTGCCAAACACTTATTCCAACACAATTTATTAAACAAGACACTTTCTCCATTGTTTACAGATTATCCTCTCTTAATATACTATTGATTCCAATAAAAGAGGGCTGGGCATAGTGCCTTACACCTATAATCCTAGCCCTTTGGGAGCCTGAGTTGGGAGGATTGCTTGAAGCCAGGAGTTCAAGACCAGTGTGGGCAACAAAGTGAGACCCCCATCTCTACAAAAAATATTTTTAAAAGTAGCCATGCATGGTGGCATGCACCTGTAGTCCCAACTACTCAGGAGGCTGAGGCAGGAGGATCGCTTGAGCCCAGTAGTCTGAGGCTGCAGTGAGCTCTGATCACACAATTGCACTCCAGCCCGGGTGACAGCATGAGACCATGTCTCAAAAAAGAAAGTCTTGTTTTCTTGGACAATATTCTTATTACACCATTGTCATTACTTGTTAATATTTATCAGAGGAATATATAGCTTGTCAATTTACCAAATTTTGCATAATACTGTTGAGTCACCTGAATCAAATTATTTAGGTTGTCAAAGAGAGAACATTTACCTTTTTACAGATGCATCAGCAAAAGCAAAACATTATTTTAATCTCAGCGGATAATAATACAGACTTGAAAGACACTTTAAGATTCCAAACCTATCTTGCCAAGAAAATAATAACATTAATAAAATAAATGTGGTACCATATTTAGGGTAGGTATTAGATCCTCTATTTGAGCCTTGAGTAAAAAAAAAAAACATGAAACAAAGACATGTGCAGATAGGCTACATTAACTTTCTAAATGTGAGTGAATCGAGGTATCATTTCCCTTTACACTGAAAACGGTATTAAGGAATGGTGAGAGATTAATAAAATTTAAAACTTCCATAGCAGAGGTGGTAGGGGTTGATAAAAACTAATAGAAAGTTGTGTTTCTCCTGCGTTGCCAGGGTTCATGTCCGTCTCTAGTGGTTTCCAGAGTTCCTGCAAAAAAAACACCATCTTTGCCAGTGCTTGCCATCTTTGCCTGGGATGGGGGACACACTGGTTCTGGAAACAAAAAATCTTGACATATTGGTTGGGTTGATATGTGGGCTGAGACTGAACATTATAAGAGCTTTAAAGTAAAGGTCTATTACCTGAGATGAGCTAACTAAAATTTTGAAAAATGTAACTTTGTGGACTTATCTCTTTATTAAGCCTGTTAAGATTTTCCTTGTCTCCAGTCTGGACAAATGGCTTTCCAGATCCTAAAGTCACTCCTTTAGAAAGACTTTGAGCTGTCATCCAATTCATCTTGCTGCTGTAAGGCAGGATCATAATTAAACTGCTCAGAGAAATGGGAATCCATGTTCACTTTAACACTCTTCAGTGAAGACTAGTTTGTGAGGACTTTATCGACAGGTCTCCTCACTTAGGGATGCATCAAGCTCCAGGTGGCTGGAATGAGAGACAGGCAGAAAAGAGCCCTGAAGGACAAGGTCTGGGGAACCTGGATGTCCTCAGGAAGGCTTTCTGACTGTGTCCCTCCCTCAAGCAGAGGAAGCAGCTCAGACACGAGAGCTGTGGGCCAGCAGGGTGACCCCCACGTGGACTGAATAATTTTCACAATGGCAACTCAGAAGATAATTTCCAGGCTGGATACATCACAGCTCCTGTAACTTCCTGCCCCTCCCACTGCCTAAATTAGAAGGGTGCCCAGCGCTGCTCCAGAGCCTATAGATGACTGTGCCAGAGTATTCCCGTGGTTTCTAGCATAACACCGCCAACGTGATCAGCTCTTTAAGACAGCACAAAAAAAGGAAGGGGTGGTCACCCTGAGCACTTCTCTTCCTCCACCTGCTGCAGAATAGTTCCTATCTCTGCTCAAATAAGTGGATGAAGTTGGGCAGA
The DNA here is from genome assembly GCF_000001405.40 of Homo sapiens. Taxonomy (NCBI): domain Eukaryota; kingdom Metazoa; phylum Chordata; class Mammalia; order Primates; family Hominidae; genus Homo; species Homo sapiens. Next base: position 105,719,411 of record NC_000002.12, read on the forward strand.
TGTAAAACTGATATGGCACAGTGGAGGCCCATGAGACAGGGTGACAGAGGGGCTAAGAGGAGAGTCGGAGGAGGAAGAAGGGGGTCTTCACCTACTTTAGATTTCATTTGAAATTTTAGAAAATTTAAGCAGCTAAACACAGAACCTTACATTAAATGAATATAATACTTATTAAAATCCTGGCCGGGCACAGTGGCTCATGCCTGTAATCCTAGCACTTTGGGAGGCCAAGGTGGGTGGATCACCTGAGGTCGGAAGTTTGAGACCAGCCTGGCCAATATAGGGGAACCCCATCTCTACTAAAAATACAAAAATTAGCTGGAAGTGGTGGCGGGTGCCTGTAATCCCAGCTACTCAGGAGGCTGAGGCAGGAGAATTGCTTGAACCCGGGAGGCGGACTTCACAGTGAGCCGAGCTCGCACCACTGTATTCCAGCCTGGGCAGCAAGAGTGAAACTCTGTTTCAAAAATAAAATAAAATAAAATCCTGAGGGAGGAATACAGTCGTCCCTACGTATACTCAAGGGGTTGGTTCCAGCTTCCCTGAATATAACAAACTCAGTGCACTCTCAGGTTCCACAGATGGTCCCGTGGAACCTACCTTAAGGAAGGGTCGGCCCTCCCTCTGCATTATGTGGGTTTCACATTTCCGTGGATATTGTATTTTCTATCTGGGTTTGATTGAAAAATATCCAGATATAAGTGGACCCGTGTAGCTGAAACCTGTGTCATTCAAGAGTCAACTGTAGTTTCCTCAGCACAGAAGTAACACAGTAAATCATAAAAGAAAAATTTGACCATATAAATATTTAGCACTTTCCATGGAAAACCCAAGGCAAGAAAGCAAAGGATAGACTGGGATGAATGATAGAAAATTGCTCAACATATTTATTAAATAAAAAGAGGTCATATGAGAGCAGAAGAACATTGTAAACTTGACAGCTAAATCCCAAAGAATACAAGCAGATCATTCATGGGCAGGAAAATAGAACTAATCATCAAAATATGGGGAAAAACTCAGTGATTCTCACTTGTAATCACTGTTAGGTAAATAAAAACAACAAGGTGGCAACATTCTTTACTTTTAAAATTGAATTAACATTACGTATACATTACCCACTTCTAATCACAGTGTAGTGAAATCTGTACATTCATTGTGACTGTGTTGTGTGTTTTTTAAAGGAACTTGGAAATGTGTATAGCTTTTAAAAAATCATTTCCGTGGTCCAATAATCCCACTTATAAAATTCTAGTATAAGGGAATGTTCCCAAACATGGAAAAACATATATACAGGAAGATGATTACAAAAGAAGTTACGTGAAAACGTTAGAAAAAATGTCCAGCAGCTGGACTCTGGTATAGTCACTTAGTGGCACATTGTACACAGCAAGCAGTCATTATAACAATTAGAATGTAACATGAGAAAATATTGTTGAGTGAAACAAGTGGTGAGAAATTCTATGCAAGATAAGTGCAATGTCTTAGTCCTTTGGGGCTGCTGTAACAGAAATGCCATAAACTAGCTGGCTTAAAACAATAAACATTTATATCTCACAGTTCTGGAGCCACTGACAAATTCGGTGCCTGGTGGGGGCCCATTCCTCATAGATGGTGCCTTCTCCCTGTGTGCTCACAGGGCAGAAGGGAGAAGAAATGCACTCCTGAGCTTCTTTTATAAGGGCACTGATCCCATTCATGAGGGTTCTACCCTCATGACCTAATCACTTCACAAAGGCCCACTTCCTAACACCATCACTTTAGAGATTAGGTTTTAATACAGGAATTTTACACGGACACAGACCATGGCACATAATGGACCATGAATGTAACATGTGTTTGGAAAAAAAGACTCAAAATGAATATGCCTGTAATCCCAGCCCTTTGGGAGGCTGAGGTGGGCGGATCACCTGAGGTCAGGAGTTCAAGACCAGCCTGGTGAAACTGGTGAAACCCTGTCTCTACTAAAAATGCAAAAAAATTAGTCGAGCATAGTGACACATGCCTACAGTCCCAGCTACTCGGGAAGCTGAGGCAGGAGAATCACTTAAACCCAGGAGGCGGAGGTTGCAGTGAGCCAAGAGTGTGTCATTGCACTCCAGCTGAGGCGACAAGAGCAAAACTCTGTCAAAAAAAAGAAAGAAAGAAAGAAAGAAAGAAAGAAAGAAAGAAAGAAAGAAAGACAGACATATGCCAAAAAGATAGTAGTGGCTGGATTGTGGCCATGAAATGATCTGGGATTAACTTTCTTTATTTTCAAAAGTTTTGGTGTAAGGTTTATACCACATTTAATTTTTAAAACAGACTAATATAATAGATTCCTTGAAAGGTGGAAATTAGGAGATGCTGGTTACTCAACCAATCAGAGCATGCGGGAGCGGAGAGAGGCCCCCACTCCCTACCATGACCACCCCCACACCTCCAACAAGGTTAAACATCTCGAGTGACCCCAAATCAATGCCTTTGGTCCATTCTATCTTCAGATCCAATCTAATTGCTATAAAATTATTAATTCAAACTAGTTAAAAGATGCATGTATGAACTTCCCATGGCTGCTGCAACAAATTACTGTGAATTTAGTGGCTTAAAACAATGGAAATCTACTATCCTACAGATGCGGAGGCCAGAAGTCTGACGTGGTTTTATGGGTCTTAAAACCATGATGTCAGCAGAGCTGTGTTCTCTCTAGAGGCTCTAGGGGAGCACTGGTTTCGCTGCCTCCTCCAGCCTCTAGGATTTCATCCTCTGAATTCCTTAGATCTTGTCCCTTCGTTCGTCTTTGAAGTCAGCGTATAGCATCCTTTCTCTGACTGTGCTTCCCTCTGCCTCCATCATCACATGACATTTTCTTCTTTCTGTGGTCAAATTCCTTCTACCTCCCTCTTAAAATGACACATGGGATTGCACTTAGGGCCCTCCTGGATCATCTGTCCATCTCAAGATCCTCAGCTTGATCACATCTGCAAAGACTCTTTCTCCATGTGGGGCAGTAGTCACAGGTTCCAGGAATCAGGACGTTAGTATTTCTGGGGACTGTTACTCAGCTTACCACATGACCTTTCTATGTCTTCCAGCCACTGCGGATGTGGAAGAAGGAAGACCTGTGCATGATATGTTCATTTTTCTTGATGATGGTGATGGTTTCTTGGGTGTATAAATATGTCAAAACTATCAAATTGCATAGTTTTTAAAGGTGCAACTTACAAAATGTTAATTCTCCCTCAACAGAGCTGTTAAAAAATAAAGCATAATTTCATGTTACACAATACACATTCTCTGAAAAAATGTGACAATGTTATTTTTGAATTCGTTTTGTATAATTTTATGGAGTTGGGGAAGTTGTTGGTATCGCTTCACATAAGAGTCTGCAGGAAGAGCAGATAAAAATCCAAAACTCAGGGGAGCCTTAATTAGTCTTTAACTGAACTTAATTCTCTTTGGAGGGTACAGTCCCCCAGGTGACAGACACTTAACCACCATGACTTTAATGTGCCCTTAGCAACACACACACACGCGCGCGCGTGCACACGCGCACACACACACTTTTCCTGAGGTTGATCGGCATGTGCAGGTCAGGGGAAGGCACACAGGGCCCTCAGGGTGGTGACATCCATCAAAGCTGGCACTGCGGGGGTGTCCATCTTCCTGTGGATCCAGGTCACTGTGGAGCTTCACATCTTGCAGGGTCAGGCCATCCTTTACCAGTATCCATGCAGTCATCCTCCACTAGGTGAGCTAACGGACTGCTCCTGCACTCCTTTGGGCTATAGGGAGGATCTAGAAGCAATGAGAAGCTCCAGCTGATTGGCCACAGATGAAAGGGTTTTGCTGCTTTCTGGAGCTCCACCTAAGAAAAGTTGCTCAGGACCCCTTAAATCTCAGGACCCCTCAAATCTCAGGACCCCTCGAATCCTTACACCTCTGTGGGATTCTCTTCTTCCCACTGGGGCATGCTTAGGAGAAGCATGGCAGAGTTTCTCACTATCTTCTTGTTCCCTTCTATTTGCTGGAACAGGAAGCCACCAAAGAAACTTCCAAATCTAGTGGGTTTGTCCAGAATTGCCTCAGATTTCAGTACTGTGCTCGGTATCCTGCTGTGCCACCCTTCCAGGGACCATGATGTGGAGTGCCCTGCATGCAGAATGAGGCTACAGGGAAATGTGGAAAGGGATGGGGAAGCTTGGTTAGAGCTTCCCAAGACTCACCCTATCATGAGTCAGTTGTGTGCACCTGCTCGTCTGTGCCTCCTCTTACACTACACAACAGATTAATTTGACCTCAGCAGCTTACAGAGCAAAGGTCCATGAAGAATAAACTATTTATCCATTGATCTCTGGCATAAAGATTTCCATGAAAGGCCAGACGCAGTGGCTTATGCCTCTAATCCCAGCACTTTGGGAGGCTGAGGCCAGCAGATCACTTGAGGTCAGGAGTTCAAGACCAGCCTGGCCAACATGATGAAACCCTGTCTCTACTAAAAATACAAAAATTAGCAGGGCATGGTGGCAGGTGCCTGTAATCCCATCTGCACAGGAGGCTGAGGCACAAGAATCACTTGAACCCAGGAGACAGAGGTTGCAGTGAGCTGAGATCCTGCCACTGCACTCCAGCCTGGGTGAGAGTGCAGAATCAGTCTCAAAAAAATAAAAATAAAAAACAAAAACAAACCAAAACAAAAAATAAATAATAAAGATCTGCATGAAAGACAAACTTCAGAAATACTGAGCACAGGACATTCAGTATAAAAGAGTTTGATAAATATAAATATATCCTAGATTGCACCCTAAATACTATTTCAGTTACAAAAAAATACCAAAAAAAGTTAATTCTCTGTTTTGGCAATGCTGAAAATTTGAAGTTGGTTATGTCACATTTACTTTAAAAAAATACAGTTGTATTAAATAAAAATATTTGTTGTTATAAATATTTTTAAATTTGAAAATAGGAAGTGGAGATGCTTAGGAATCACACGAGACATAAATAGAGCAGCCCAGATTCAGCAGCTCATCCAAACTCTCTGTCTGCCTTCTGCTTGCTGTCACTCCCTTTCACATGGTTCTGCCCTTTCATCCTCTCTTGAGTTTTCCTCCTAACCTTTTTCCTTAAGCTTTGTCAGCCAGATTTCATTCAAAGTAGAATGATAAACTCCTGGAGCTTATGACAAGGGAATAGGAGAGCCCAGTAACTCCTATGCACTGACAGAGTTGAGAAGTCCAAAGTCATTCATTTATTTGCATGTTTATAGCAGCACAATTTGCAGTTTGCAAAAATATGGAACCGCCCAAATGCCCATCAATCAACGAGTGAATAAAGAAAATATGGTGTGTGTGTGTGTGTATATATATATATATATATATATATATATATATATATATACACACACACCATGGGATACTACTCAGACATAAACAAGAATGAAATATTGGCATTTGCAGCAATCTGGATGGGGGTGGAGACCATTATTCTAAGTGAAGTAACTCAGGAATGGAAAACCAAACATCGTATGAGCTAACCTATGAGGACACAAAGGCATAAGAATGATACAATCGACTTTGAAGACATAGGGGAAAGGGTGGGAAGGGGGTGAGGGATAAAAGACTACAAATTGGGTACAGTGTACACTGCTCGGGTGATGGATGCACAAAAATCTCAGAAATCACCACTAAAGAGCTTATCCATGTAACCAGACACCACTTGCTCCCCAAAAACCCATTGAAATTAAAAAAAAATGTGTGTTTGAAGAGCTACTTGAAGAAGAATCCTAGCAATCTTGTTGCTTCATATGGAGGATTTGATAGAGGATACGCTGCCAATTGTTTGTGTTATAAGCAGCTAATTACCATATTTCAGAATTTCCCTCATTCTTGGTCAAGAATGATTTCTAAAGACTTTAAAAGAGTGTTTAAGATGGACAAGAAGGACCCATTAACTTGCCCCAATTTTTAGTCTTAAGTTTAAAGTAATAAAAGTTTACATATTGGGGCTGAAATTAGTTGCACGTCTTTAGTTAATGCATAGAGCCTTAAAATAGTTCTTGACATAAGTCTTTCCACTCCCTGTAATCTGTTCTGAGGGGAGGCAGGGCAGCTCGAATCTTAGGGGATCAAATTGCTACTGCCACTACAGTCACCAGCATTCCCACAGAATTCCAAAAGCTCTGGCAGTTAGGTTTCATTAAGTCTAGTAATGACTGCAACACTGATGTAACTTTGAGAAAGAGAGGTCTTCACTTGGAGTAAGCCTAGGACCACACATCTGCACTGTGTGGTAATGCTAATCAAGGAGAAGCGAAGCCTTTTCTTGTTCTTTGTTGCTAGTCTTAACGGGGTGACATTTCATCTTGCATCTTGTCCCCAAATGGAGATTATCATCGCCTCTTGTCTACTCTGCATTTCAGGATATGAGTTAATTTATCATACCAGTCTTTCCATGTAAATATGCATTTTTCAAACATATATCCAGTCCTTTATTTAACCCCATCATGCAGATGCTATTTTTATTAGCAATGGCAACTGACAGGTGATAGAGCTTTGCCCAGGTGGTGTTTCTTGCAGCTGCTGCTGAAGCAGGAACCTGGGCCATACAGAGATCTTGTCACTGTCAGCTGCTGCTTTCAGTAGCAGCTGAAGCAAGCACAGGACTGAAATCTGGGTGCACACCAATTAGCAAGCTCTAGAAACTACCGAGGCAGCTAGTTAGGGCTGCGAAGGCTTAGCTGCAGGATACCTGCTGCATGTCAACCCTCATTTGTGGAAAGAATTCTTTTAACCTTAAAAAGTCATTGTATGTGCAGTGAGGCATGGTAACGATCTAACAGGTAGGGACAAGGTATGATTAGAGAGGCAGAGAGGTGCTCTAGGCATCTCATAGCATGCCTTGCAATTTCCACAGAGCAGAGTTTGGCTCTCGATTTCCAGTTCCTGTGGGACACACAGTAAGACTTGCAGGTGCCTGTTAGCTGGGCGTGGTGGCACATGCCTGTAGTCCCAGCTACTCGGGAGGCTGAGGCAGAAGTATTGCTTGAACCTGGGAGACGGAGGTTGCAGTGAGCCGAGATCATGCCACTTCACTCCAGCCTGGGGGACAGAGCGAGATTCTGTCTCAAAAAAAAAAAAAAAAAAAAAAAAAAAGACTTGCAGGTGCCTGATGACAAGAGAGCTGGACCCTTCATCACTGCCACCACCACCTTCCTGATCGACTTGGATGGTTACAAAATGCTGGCAGAATCAGCATAAGGGAGCTGTACTTCCTTCTCATTTCAGGAACAGATGAATGCCAGCCATCTAGGCCTACTGTGTGGTTCAGGGCTTACTTAGGTTACTGAGAGGTAGGAAGTGGACTGACTGGGCTAACAGGGACTGAGGGAGAGGCATGAGGTTTCTTCATAACATCTCATGGTAGCTGATCTCTGAGATGACCTCCAAACATCCACACCACCTGGGCTGAATGCCCTTGTGTAATCCACTCCCTGTGAGTGTGGGTTGGGCCTCAATACTTGCTTCTAACACATTGTATTAGTCTGATTTCATGCTGCTATAAAGAAATACCCGAGACTGGGTAATTTGTAGAGGGAAGAGATTTAATTGACTCACAGTTCCACATGGTTGGGGAGGCATCAGGAAACTTACAGTCTTGGCCAAGGGCAAACAGGAAGCATGCACCTTCTTCACAAGGTGGCAGGAGAGAGAAAAACGAAGGAGGAACTTCCAAACACTTATAAAACTAACAGATCTCGTGAGAATTCACTCACTATCATGAGAACAGCATGGGGAAACCACCCCCATGATCCGATCACCTCCCTCCCTTGACACATGAAGATTAGAGGTCCCTCCCTGGATAAGTGGGGATTACAATTCGAGATGAGATTTGGGAGGGGGCACAGAGCCAAACCATATCACACATAGAATATGAAAAAAGTGATAGGATGTCATTTTCACGATTAGGGTACAAAACATCTTTGACATCTGTCTCGGATACCCTGGCTTGGTCTTTTCCTTGGTCATTCTGAGCTGCCATGACCATGCCATGTTTTGAGCTGGTCCATGGAGAGGGCCGCAGGGAAAGGAGCTGAGGGAGGCCTCCAGACAACAGCCAGTGAGGAACTGAGGCCCCCAGCACAACAGGCTGTATGGAAGCAAATTTTGCTAACAATCAGCTGTGTGAGCTTGAAAGCAAGTCCTCTTCCTTCAGTGGAGCCTTCGGATGAGACCACAACCATGGCCAACAGCAGGATAGTAATCTCATGGAGATCTTGACTCAGAGGCTCTCAGCTAGGCTGTACCAGGAATTCTGACCCATGCAAACTGTGAGATACTACATGTGTATCACTTTAAACACTAATATTTAAAGTAATTTGTTGTATAGCAAGGGATAGCTAATACACACCCTGGGGGCAGAAAGCCGTGATCAGGAATACAGGGTATTTCAATTGTGTGATACAAGGTTTCTCTAGAATCTTTTCATCTCACAGATATTTTCATTTTGCAGCAGAAAAGACTAAAATATTGTCCCAGTCAATAATTCTAAAGGTTTACTCCATTAAAAGCTTTCTGTGAGGGTTAACAAAATACCAAAATTAGCTGCTTTCCTTTTTTTTTTTTTTTTTTTTTTTTTGTTCAAGATGGAGTCTCACTCTGTTGCCCAGGCAGGAGTGTAGTGGCACCATCTCAGCTCACTGCAAACTCCACCTCCCAGGTTCAAGCAATTCTCATACTTCAGCCTCCTGAGTAGCTGGGATTACAGGTGCCTGCCACCACACCCGGCTAATTTTTGTATTTTTAGTAGAGACGGGGGTCTCACCATGTTGGTCAGACTGGTCTCGAACTCCTGACCTCAAGTGATCTGCCTGCCTCGGCCTCCCAAAGTGCTGGGATTACAGGTGTGAGCCACCGCACCCGGGCTGCTTTCCATTTTTGTTGTTATGTGTAAATTTCTCCATTCATCTTTCAGCAAAAGTATAGATGAGCAGTGAACTAGACTCACAGCAACTAGCTTGAGGGAAGGGAAGTGAGGAATCACAAACTGGGCGATCCAAGAAGCTGGTACCTCTGATTCAGTGATGGTGGATGGCACCTGGATGGCATCAGAGAAGGTAAAGCTGAACTACAAGACAGGAACAGGTGTGTGTGTGTGTGTGCGCGTGCACACGTGCATTTTTGGGATATTTGTCTAATTTAGGTAATATTTCAGTCTTTTGGAAAATGTAGAAATTTGTTTCAAGTTCAAATTAGAGGAGTCAAGTCTTCAAAAAATGAAAGAACCTTAAAAATCAATTGGTCCAGGGATTTTCAAAATATATTTTACCCACAGAAGCTTTTTACAGAAACAAAACTGTAAGTAGAATTCCAATAAGCAAAACATAAAATCTTGTATTTTATTAGCATAAATGTATTTTATACCTTCAAATTCATAACATTTACTCATAAAGCAATTAATTGAGAACAGTAATATGAATACATCATTTAGAGATTGGGACTTAACAGACGTCAGATACAGTCTTATGGCCCCTTCAGTGTGGTTGTACAGTATAGAAATGATTGTGATTCATCAAGACAAGTAGTTCCAAATAGTAAAAGTTTTAAAAATAGCATATCTTGCAATCTAGGATATCTGTCAATTAAACGAATTCAGAAACTTGATACAGAAATAGGCAAATTATATCTAACAATATCAAATAAACATCATTATTTCTTAATACTTGTTAAATCTGAAGTAAAATACTTGTTTTAATCATTGCTGGGCAAAAGATAATTTTCAAATATACCTTTTGACAAAAAATATTTTACAAACATTAATTTTTCAAAAATCAGATAGAGTTATATACAGTTCTTTGTCAGATAATAATCTGAATAGTCTAATTTGCTTTGTTTTGCATGTTGTGTCCCAACTTTAGCTTTCATATTCACTGCTGACACTTTAGCTGTAATTTTAGACCTGGTGACATAGGGGCCTTACATTGCCAAATTTAGTTCTTTAAAAATATCACTAAGATATGCAAAGGAATGCAATCATGCTATATTTGAGAGTTTTAGCTAAAGATGCTTCTACTACACAATAGTAATTTTCTGTCTCATTTGAAGTAGTCACACTGATGCCTTGCTGCTGTATCACCAGTGAACTTCAATATGAAAAGTAAATGCTGGAATTCACCCCATTTATCACTGTAAATAACTGAAAAGTTTCCAATGTGAAGACAATCCTTTAATAGAGTTGTCAATTTGTATGACATTATCAAACACTTAAAACACAAAGTGGCCTTCTTTGTAACAGGCAGTGCTTATTATGCAAATACACTGCCTGCACACATACTGGCAATACTTTTATGTGAATTGTTTTTCTATCACTGCTGTCACCCATTATAGAGACATTGTTACATTTTTCTAAAGTTGTTTCTGGTGTTATTGGAGTTCTAACCAGTTAAAATGTTCTCTTAATAGGTCTGTGGTGAGTGTTTTATAAAGTGATAAATATCCCTTTCTTGCCTGCAAGAATATATACAAATACAATCAGAATGGGGAAATTACCAACATCCACACACTCATCTACTTGAAATTTAAAGATTTTACTAATCTCAGTCTTTCAGCAAATTATTTAAGAACCTTGGATCTTCACTCTTAGACTCTATTTTAGACTATGTTGGTGGACAATGGTGATTACTGTGTTGTGTAAACCTCCTCTCAGTCCACTTTTTATAGGTGACTCCAATGACACAGGATTCAGGGATATTTTCTGAACATTAAGTAGTGTGAAGGGTCTGAGACTTTACCCAACTTGTAAGCTAAACATTTAGCTTGCCATAGTTTTGTGAATGCTACACAGAAGACACGAGATTCCTGGGTCAGAGACAAAGAGCTTTAGTACTCACAGCACAGCAAGTAGCATGAGCTTCATGTCCACTGTGGTTTCCTCTGCCTCCTAAGTCCCATGGGAATAACATGCAGACACCCAGAGAGATACTGGGCACACAGTGTGTTTACATCACTCCTGAGGAACCCAGAGCTCAGGGAACTTCAATATCTTATAATCAGCTATAGGCAAACAAACCTGCTCACCATTGCACTGGACAGAAAAATTATCTTTATTACACTGAAAAGCAAACAAACTTATTGCTACATTGGGAGACACAGTCTCTATTCTCCAAGGCTCTTTGCTATACAACATCTTTGAAAAGACAATCTGAGACCAAGGTTGCCTGTATAGAGACCAAGATGTGCAGAAATGTGAGACACCCATGGAGAACTGTTCCTCAATACCCATCGGATTTCTCCCCTTCACCTGCAATTTCACAACTTAATTTGTATGATTCTATAAGTGCCTTTTCAATTTCAGATTTCACTCTTCTCTGGAGAATCTTTCAAGTACTTCATGGGAATCTCACATTTTGAAAATCACTGTTTTAGTACAAGCCCTTATTTTACAATAAGGAAACAGAGGTACAAAAAAGAAGTTAAGTGCCTTGTCCAGGTTACAGGTATTTAAGAGTCAACTCCAGGTAATGAAATTATAAATCTAAGAAGTAAGAAGATAACAGCCAAAATGTCCTCTTCTTTTAGCTAGAAATAAGCTATTTAAAGTGTGCAAGGGTAAATGACTTTCTAGGGCACCTTAATGTGGGTTCCTTTATACGCAATCTTTGAGACAAGGATTGGAGTACAAGAATGTCATTTGGAAAGGAAGACAATATAAGGTTTGTTATGAAGGAAGTTATTATTGAGGATACCTGAGGCTTAACCTCACTGGAGAGCTCTGGGACCTACTACAGTGTAGGCATCCCAGAGTTATAAGAGAGGGAGGAGCCAGGTTATTTATCAGCTAGTTCCCATCAGTCGTTGGTTGAGGCAACTCTAGGAGGTATAAATGTCCTAGTGCTCCTGCCTTGCCCTGCCTTTGGGTAGAACAGGCTGTGTTGGGCAGAGAGGGCCTGAAGGTAACGTGTTGCAGGTGGGGGCAGTTGGAAGTTAGGTCTGTGTGCAGGGAATGGTACATTCCAAGGGGATATGGCCAGGCACCAGCTACACCTGCTCCACTAGGCAGGGACCCCCCCCCCCGACTTAAGACTTAAAAAACATTTGAGTGAATCTTCCTTAGTCTAATTCTTCATCTCTGCATTCAGGTGAAGGTCTTCACATCTGATAGTGACACATGTGGATGGAGTCAAGATGGCTTTTTAATGAAACGGGATTACAAGAAGCAGGCAAAGAATACAGAAAGTGTTGATCAAGGTGAGGAAGGAAAACCAGCTGATTGGAATGAGGCATATAGGCAGGAGAAGAGAGTAAGATAGAAAAGAGGAAGTACGGGACAAGAATAGCTAGAACAAAAGAATTGATGGCATGGTCAATTCCAGTTAAGGAAGCTATTCTAGGGTTGAGGGGGCTGTGGACAGGAAGCAGATTACAGATTCTGTTCTTAGGTCCTGTCCGAGGAGACTCTGCTGAGTGAGAAATGTCTCTTTGTTACCGATGAGAACAAAGACTCCAACATTTTCAGGAGGAGGATGCCTTTTACAGAAACATATTTTTTTGAAGATCTTCATGTGTTTGTGATTGTATGTAGTTGAAATCTCCTTTGATTAAAAAGCATATGGATAAAAGCTACAATGAATTCAGTAACACTGCAAAATGAGTTTGTGTTTTATTCATCATCGCAGCATTGCCTATATTTGAAAAATAGTAGTGTATGCATGTGCAAAATGTGAGCTTTGTGCAGACCCCAGGCTGGGAGAGTGCACTGGTTCTGGGACCCACCAAGTGACCCTCCTGTGAGGACGGGCGACGATCTGAAGTCACGAGGGAGGAGCCTGAAAAATTTTCCCCCAAACTGCTTTAGAGATGTGCCAAGAAAACATTACGCAAGGCCCGGAGACAAACTCCCCTGAGTAATCTGTCTCCTGAATTTCCTTCCATCAGTCAAGATTAGTCGTGCACCCACATGTCTTTGTGTAGAACAATGACAATGGGGGAACAGAAAAAAACTGGGTGCAGAGAAACCAAAACTCTTGAGTCCATATGTGCATTCTTTTAAGAAAAAATGCTGCCCTTCCACCTCCCAACTTTACTCTGGGGTGGTGTAATGCAAGGCTGTGGGTTATCTGCCTTGGGATGCTCGGTGGCATTTTCTGCTGTGAAGAACCCCTGCTTCGTCAAACCAGGGGTGTGTGTGTGTGTGTGTGTGTGTGCATGCGTGTGTGTATTCTTTATAACAACTTTAGACACATGCTGTCTTAATTTGGGTTCCAACCCTGAAATAAGGATTTGGGTATAAGTAATTCAGTTGGCCGGTGTTATGGACAAATTGTGCCCCCTTTCCCATTCAGATGTTGGAGCCCTGACCCTCAATGTGAGTGTATTTGGAGATAGAGCCTTTAAATAGGTAAACAAAGTTACATGAAGTCATAAAGGTGAGGGCCCCTAATATAATAGGACTGATGTCATTACAAGGTGAAGACACCAGGGATGTGCATGCACAGAAGAAAGACTATGTGAGGACATGGCAAGAAGTTGACCATCTGCAAGCCAAGGATAGAGGTCTGTGGAAACCAGACCTACGGGCACCTTGATCTTAGACTTTCAGCCTTCAAAACTGTGAGACGATAAATGTCTGTCATTTAACCCCTTGATCTGTAGGTCTTTTTTCTGGCAGCCTAAGCAGGCTAATACAGTAGTTGTCCCAAGAGGCACAGGGAGTGCACAAGATGTGAGATGGGGAAGGAAGGAAGGTCACCAGTGGGTCCCAGCTTTGGACAGCTGGGGCAGTCTCACTGGGGAGTTTCCGGGAGACTGTATGGAACACACCACAGCATTGTCCCTCCAAGAGGAGAGAATGCTGGGCACTTATGAACAGATGCACATTGGGGTGTTCAGGAACGGTTGCTCCCTGGCACTGCTGCCCTGCCCCTACCTAAGGGCCAAGCACACGCCTATAGCCAGAGAAAGCCCCCAGCGAGAGCAACCCAGGGCTTGAGAGAGGAAGGCATCGGTGTATAAGGAAGTGGGAGCCCTGTCCAACAAAGCTGCTGGTGACCCCTAGGGAGGATGTCAGGCAGGCACTGACAGCACCTGCTACATACTTAATCTGCATTAAACAGTCATATCTACTTTTAAATTATGTTGGTGTTTATCAAATTAGTACAGGTTTTAGACTAATTTCTTCAACAGCAACACATTTCCCCCCTCCCTGCTTATACTGACTGGATAGGAGAAATAATTTATTGAAGTGAGACCTGCTTGTTTTCACTTTACCTTGGAACCAATCTTTGAATAACATAGAAATCTAGAGGTTTTGAGGTCTAAGGCAAACCACACTAGGAATGTGTGTATATTATTGAAATCAGGCTTAACCCATTTATGCCTAGTGCTTCATTATTGGAAAGCTAAGCTTGTGGGCATTATTTATATCCTGTTGTTCAAGGTCATTGCCAAAGTCTGATTTTTTACAAAAAAAATTGCAACCCCAGGCATAAATGGGTTAAATGATATTCAAGGTTAGCTTGGAAGAGAAGTTACAAAAGGTGGGCACAGCTATAGGTGAGACCTGATAGATTAAGACGGGGTTGAGGTGGGGTCTGAGGGCCTGGTGGGGTTGAGGGTCTGGGCAGTACCATTGGGCTGCAGACACGGGGGCTCCAACAGGCTGCTGACTTCCTGAATGACTCACTGTTAGCATCAGCAGCACGCGACCCTCAGACATGGTATGAATATCTCAATCAACCCCAAGGCAGCACCCCACAAAAGTTAGAGAAACCGCCCCCTACCTTGCACCCATTCAGTACTCCTTTCTTCAGTAATTCAGAGCAGTTTCAGAAGGTTAGCCTGCAAACTTGATAGCCACAGGGACTGTTTTCCTTGGTTCAGAAAGATGTAATTTCTCTTAACATCCAAATGGATGCCCAAATTGTTTCTGGACCAATCCCCCAGTGAGAACAACTAGGAAAAAAAAAAAACAGGAAAAAGTAGGAAAACTTTTGTCTGAAGACATGGCTATGGAGTCAGTGAGAAAATTTTGGGGCCAGTGTCTGGGAGGGAATATCCTTATAATTCTAGCTTTTCATCCTTGCATGTTTCACCCTGCCCAGGCTCTCCCGTTCCTCTCTTGGCATCACTCCTCAAACGAACTACTCACATACAAGCCTTTGTCTTGGGTTTTAATACCCAGAAATCAGGACATCTGAGGATTTGAGTCCCATCTGATTGGGACTCAAGGCAAAGCAAGGGTGCCAGGTCCCTCATGAGCTTAGAGCAGGCTCTGTTTCTTCTGATGCATCTTCTGGATTAAGCAGAACTATAGAATACACATTCCTCTCTTTTGACCCCAGTATGTAGCCAGCGACTTCGTCCTGTCCAGTGTTACCTCATCTGGGCCACACACATCCCTCTCTTTCTGCTCATTTCTAGTGTGACCGCCATGGGCAGGGTTCCTCAATCCCATCCAGCCCAACGCTGTGACCTTCACAGCTTCTGTCTGTCTCCACATTTCTTGCACACCCCCACCTGACAATCTTCGCAAATACATCATCAGCATTTCATGTTTTTATTGATAAATGTGACACACCTGCAGAAAACCACAGGAAGCAAATATATGGCCAAATGAACCATTGTAAAGCAAACACTCTTATGACCACAACCCCCTCCAAATCTCCATCTCTTCCCCATCAAGAGTTATCTCTTTCCTTTCTGTTTTGCATGCATCCTTAATCACTGTGGCTCATTTTCTTTTGGTTATTAAAATGTATTTTAGGTCTCTTAACCTACAGGTTCAATGTCCACCTTTGTTTAGTTTTCTTAGCAACATTGGTGGAAGAAGCCAGATCTTTTGTCCTTCAGAATACCACAGTCTGGATTTTGCTGATTGCATTCCCAGTATAGTTGGACGTGTTCTCTGTCCCCTGTGTTTCCTGTAATTTTGTGGTTGGATCCAAAATATCTTCTTAATGCCTCACTTCCTTGTTCAAGAAACCACCAGCCTCCCTAAACTCCTCTTGCCTCTTAGGTGGTGTATTAGTTTGTTTTCACACTGCTATACAGGACTACCTGAGACTGGGTAATTTATAAAGAAAAGAGGTTTAATTGACTTACAGTTCCACTTGGCTGGAGAGGCTGCAGGAAACTTACAATCATGGCAGAAGGCAAAGCAGAAGCAAGGCACATCTTGCATGGCAGCAGGAGAGAGAGGGAAACTGCCGCACACTTTTAAATCATCAGATCTCGTGAGAACTCACTATCATGAGAACAGCATGGGGAGAACCACCCCCATGATCCAATCACCTCCCACCAGGTCCCTCCCCCAACACACGGGAATTACAATTAGAGATGAGATTTGGGTGGGGACACAGAACCAAACCATATCAGCTGGGGTGTGTGACGCATAAATGGAGGTGGGCAAAATAAATGCCCCACCTCCTCTAACCCACAATGGTCATCTGGGCCAGGGCCTCCAGAAAGCACTCACAGGAGGATTGACGTGTCCTCATTCTCTTGTATACAGCAGGCTTATTTCCTCCTCAAATTCTCTCTTCCAGTGGTTCCAGAGGCCAGAAGCTCTCCCTTTCCTTCTCATCTTCTCAGTGGCATCCTGGTTCTGCCCATGCCCTCCATAAAGGATTTAAAGTCTGTCCATGAATAATGCTCCAGAATCATGACCCCTCAAAGATGCCCCTGCCCACAACCCCGGAGCCTGTGAATGTTCCCTTCCATGGCAATGGGACTTTGTAGAGGCTACAAACTTTGAGATGGAGAGACAGCCCTGGATTGTCCAGATGCCATCACAAGTCCTAAAGGGAGGGTGACTTTCCGGGCTGCAGTGAGAGAGACTCAGAAATGGAAGCAGGATCAGAAAAGACGCATCGCTGCTAGCTTTGAAGGTGGAGGAAAAGGCCGTCGCAGAAGGAGTGTGTGTGACCTCCAGAGGCTGGAAAAGGCAAGGAAATGAATGGTCCCCTAGAGCATCCCAAAGGTAACACAGCCCCACTGCCACCTTGATTTTAGCCCAGAGAGACCTGGGTTGAATTTCTGACTCACAGAACTGAAGGATCATAACTGTGATGTTTAAGGCCCCAACTTTGTGGTGGCTTGCTACGACAGTCATAGGAAACAATACCCCATCCAGTGTGGCTCTGAGTGCTGGCCTTCAGGAGGGGTCACTTCTCCAGAGTCCCTGCAGGTAAAGGTGTCAGTCCTCTCTAACACCTCCCTATGCCCTGAGGCCCCTGGCCCAATGCAGACATGGGAAGTGTCTGATAAAACTAGAGTAAAATGGGTGAAATCAGTAACTGTTAAGAATTCTCAACATGAAAGTGATTTAATAGGATATTAAAATAAGTGCAATTTATTGATCATGGTTGCACTTCTCAGATACTTTGTAAATCAATATTAGATATTTGTAGGAGACATCATGAGAAAGAAATCACAGCCATTTGTTTGCTTTGTGACCTTAGACAGGTTTTTTAAAGCTTTTCAACCTCAGTTTCCTTATCTATAAAATGGGGACCTTCATGCCTCCCTCACTGGGGTTGTCAGGATTAGATAGTGTGCTTGGCCAGTGGTAAGAATGCAACAGATGATAGCTATTAACAACTATTGTGTTAATAATAAAAACTTACAATGATATGTAGCTAAACCCATTTGCATTTTAAAAATGTTATTTGTAAATAGTATATTTTTATCCCACGCCTTTCCTTCAAGAATCATCATTAACTGCCAACTTTGTATGAGGTGTCAGTGAGATACTCTGGGGAAGTCAAAGAAATAATTTTGGTGGTTCATGCCTATAATATAATCCTAGCACTTTGGGAGGCCGAGGCGGGCAGATCACTTGAGGTCAGGAGTTTGAGACCACCCTGGCCAACATGGTGAAACCCCATCTCTACCAAAAATACAAAAATTAGCCGGGCATGGTGGCATGTGCCTGTAGTCCCAGCTACTCAGGAGGCTGAGGCAGGAGAATCACTTGAACCCAGGAGGTGGAGTTTGCAGTGAGCCGAGATCATGCCATTGCACTCCAACCTGGGCAACAGAGTGAAACTCCATCTCCAAGAAAAAAATAATAATAATAATAATTTTGTCCTGAATCAGTTTATGATCTTAAAATATCATATGGACATAAATTACTAGAAAACAAGGCATTTTTGGCTATACGCCCCGGCAGAGTTTCGGAGAATGAGAGGAACTCCAAGGAAAGAGAGCTTATAGCATCATGGATGGGAGGGAAGGCAATGCAGACCACAGACAGGAAGCTACACGGGATTATTCCTCAATGCAGCCTACTCTCCGCTGGATTTGCATTGAATTCACAGGAGAAAGCCATCCAGTGCACTGCAGAGTGAAAAAGAGATTATGTTACAGTGTCTCTAAAACATATCTTCCTATTAACCTATTTGTTCTTTAGTGAAGACTGTGATTTTAAAAAAAGCAACATCCCACTTACCAGTACTCTAGTTGAGAATTGCTTTATATTTTAGAAGTCTTCCCTTTCATTTTTTTTTTAATTTTATTTTTGAGATGAAGTCTCACTTTGTCGCCCAGGATGGAATGCAGTGGCAGGACCTCGGCTCACTGCAACCTCCGCCACCTCCTGGATTCAAGTGATTCTCCTGCCTCAGCCTCCCGAGTGGCTGGGATGACAGGCACGTGCCACCATGCCTGGCTAAGTTTTGTATTTTTAGTAAAGATGGGGTTTCACCATGTTGGCCAGGCTGGTCTTGAACCCCTGACCTCAAGTGATCCACCCACCTCGGCCTCCCAAAGTGTTGAGATTACAGGCATGAGCCACCGCTCCTGCTAGAAGTCTTCCCTTTTAAAACATGCAAGTAAGCACTGAATGACTAGGCTGTAAGTAACTGGAGCCCTCACTCAATGGCAATCTCCTGCTCAGCACTTTACTTTCAGAAAAAGGTAGCAAATGCAGGAAAACAAGCAAATTTTATTAACTTTTTAAAAAGTAATTTGAGCATGGCTCTGACTTAGTACAGATTCTTCCACTCAATCTTCTACACACTTAACACTATAAAATGAGGATGCATGTTCAGAATGATGACTCAGAGACATTATGAGGCACCCCACATCAAAAAGGGACTCATTTCATTTACTGTACTGTGCTTTCCAAGGTGAGATATCTGCCTACAATATACGTACATATATTTTTAATTTCAATTTATGTTCCAGCTGAAGGGAATTTCTGGTTGATCTTTAACCAACACGAAAATTTAATTTAGCAAAACAACTCCTTCCTGAGGCATTCTGATTAATTGAGGGTTATTGTAGCTAACATAAATGTCTCATCCATGATGTTCACCTAAGGTGGATTTCAAAATGGCAATTTGCGTAAAATTTTAGCTTTTCTAAAGGTACAGAGCTCTCTTAAAATTGTTCCTATCTGAAACTAACTCTACCCTGCTGCTAACAATCAAAAACAATGTAAAATTGTGATCATTTTTATTTTTCGGCTCAAGCACCTGTTAAATTTTAAAGTTATGATGTGTAACGTTGATCACCACAGGAAGTGTTTGACAAAACACATACTGAAAAACAGGTCGGTGTTTAAGTGCACTTCCGTTCCTTTTTTTTTTGATACCCTAACTTACATTCAACTTTATAGTGTTACTTCATCTGTTTTTCCTTTATTTACACAATTAGATAAAGCATAGTTACTTCCTGAAGTCCAGATCACAATTCTTAGAGAGAGGCAGGAGAATCGTATTGATCATCCATAGAGGACAGCCCACTTTTTTGGGGGGTGTTTATGAACTTTAACTCTTTGTAGTGGTGGTTTGTAAAAAGTTAATCCTGCCAGTCACTGAGAGATGGGTTTCATGTGTTTCTAAGCTGCCCCTTCTTGGGTCTGAAGAGGTAGTGAAAAGGTACTTTGTAGTTTGGGTATGAAATCACCGTGCCGTCTTAAGACTCGTCTCTTCCCCATGTTTTCATGTAGGTGAAATGAAATGCAAAAATCTATACGTCCACCGGTATCTGTTTTGAGATTCTCATAGCGAGTTCCTAATGGCCTCTTTTTAAGTCTCTTCACTAATGCTCTCTGTCCTCTTTGACACACTCGTAAGTGTGGAATTTCCATCCATCGTGAAAGATTTGCAAAGTGTCTGTTCTGTACTGGGTAGGCCGGAGAATGGTCGGGGCTGTACAGGAAAACCAGGCTTGGCTCCTGCCCTCAGGGCGTTCATATCAACGCTGAGATGAATGATACAATTAAAGAGCAATAGGCTCATTACTCCAGCAGGGTATTTATAGTAGTAATAGCAACTTTTCTAGCACAGAGGCACGTGAGGGCAGGAACTGTGGCTTGCTCATTTGTGTACCTCCTGCAGTGCCCTCTCCATGTAGTAAGTTGGCAATAACTATTCATTACATTTAACAAATGTACAAAAACAAAACCGTTCATCCCTCACAAGCCAGTCCTCCCCACTTTTCTGTTTCTGATCTCGGCACCGTTGTCTTTGCAGTTTCCCACATCCAAAGCCTCAGGTTATATTTGTGCCCCATTCTCTTTCTCTTTGGTCCCCCACATCCAAGCAGCTGCCAATTCATTTTGAGCCTCCCCTTCCATTTCTCCTAAAACACTTTCCCATCTACTCATTCCACCCCAGTTGGGGTTATGAACTCTCTTGGAAATGCGAACTTTTGTCTGCTCTTCCTGTCTCCAGCTGTCCTTCCGTGCATGCACCAAATGAGTGTTCCTGGGCTGAGCCCAGATGATGTCCACACTTAACTGCTTTCCTTCTTGGCCTCGCGATCCGCTCTGTGCAGCCTCTGCTCCATTTAGGCAAGTGGGCCATTCTCTGTCCCTACAGGGTCCTCCCACGTCCCCCTGTCTGCCTCAGAGTTCTGAACTCCTGCCGCTGGGAATTTTCTCCCTGTCTATCTCCACCTTTCAAAATCCTACCATTTGCATTATTCAGGGGTTTGGGTTCCAAAAAGAGGAAGTGCCTCTGGGTACCTTAAGCAGAATAGGAGAATTTACTAGAAGAATATCAAGTAGCTCACAGGGGAACTGGAGAGCAGAAGGGGTGAGAATGGAGCTGGCTAATTCCTGTGGGAGGGATGTGCTGGGACTATTTCAGCCATGGCAAATTGAATCTCACCCTCTCTTGTCCTTTTCACCCTCTCCAGTTTCACAGTCTTGAGTGGGAGGGTTCCATTGGCCAATCCCAGGCTGTTCACTCTCACAGGGCTTCTGGGAATGGAGGGACCAAGGTGCCTACTCTGCCTCCCTCCAGGGTTCAGACAGGCTTCTCTAAAACCAGGAAGGGGCTAGAGAGGGGGGCAGCCAAATTAAAGGCAGCTTCCCACCATGTAATCTCTCAAGGTCATTGCCAATGCCACCACCTTTCATAAAGCCTAAAGCTTCTCCTGATTCTCTAGACATATTTTCTTTGGTACTGTTCATATTTAGTTTTATATTATAGTTATTTGTATGCTGGTTTCATCCTTCCTTTTGGGTCTTTCCTCTCCATTTCTCCTAAACTATTTTCCCATCCTTTCACTCCACTCCAGTTTGCGTTATAACCTCTCTGAATAATGCAATCTTATATCTGCTCTTTGCACATCCAGGTGTTCTTTGGTGTCTGCACCAAATGAATGAATCCTGAAGTGGATCTTATAATGCCTTACAAATAGAACTACACCAGATATGCTTAATTGAATTGAGGGTTACAAGAGAAGGTCATGAGAAAGGAGACATGAGTGTTTACCATGTGCTGAACACACAGTTGAGACATGTTTATATTATCTCCTTTAATTCTCACAACGCTTTGCAAGAGCACTATTAATATCTGAGGCTCAGAGAGGTGAAATGACCCCAAGGCACAGGCTCCAAGGTAGGCTTTGAGCCTCTGACGTATGACTTGGACAACACCCTCAACCTTGCTTTGTGTTTTCCGTGAGTCTAAGGAGGGGTTAGAGAAGGCCTTGAATGGAGCTCTGAAAGAGAAGGACGGGGACAGGGAATTCCTAGCTGCCTTCACACCACAGAAGGCTGAAACTAGTGTGACTCAATGTGGCACTGTGGGCAGAGCTGAGTGACTGAAGCAAACAGCTTATACTGGACAGAGGTAAAAAGGAGATTGTATGGCAGGGCTAAGTTGGAGAGGCCTTTGGAAGAGAGATCATAAGATGTAATGCTGATGTGATTTTAGGCAAAAGTTTACTGCACCTCCTTCCACTCCATGTTTTTTATGCTTTCAATACTTTGTGATTGAAGACAGTAAAACAGATGTGGACACATTAATGGAGTAGAATGCAGAAAAACCTATATATTTTTAGATAAAACATAAGCTTCAAAGAAATGTCTCCCCCATGTTAAGCCTTGCAGTGGGTTGGATGTTGGCCCCAAAAGATATGTTCACCTGGAAGCCGAGAACGCGACCTTATTTGGAAAAAAGGTCTTTGCAGATGTTGTAAGATAAGGATGTCGAGATGACATCATGCTGGATTAGAGTGAGCCCTAAATTCAATGATACTTGTCTTTACAAAAAGAGAGAAGGGAAAGGACACAGGGAACCAGGTTGTGTGAAGACAGAGAGGCAGAGGTGGGAGTGACACTGCCACAAGCCAAGGAATGTCTGCAGCCACCAGAAGCTGGAAGAGGCAGGGAAGGATTGTTCTCTACAGACTTTGGAGAGAGGCTGGTGTCTTGATATCAGACTTCTGAACTCCAGAACTTTGAGAAAATAACCTCTGTTTTGTCACCTAGTTTGGGGTCATTTGTTAAGGCAGCCCCAGGAAACGAACACAGGCCTCTAAGGGCTAAATACCCCAGCCTCTCTGGGGGAAAATGCTCAGTCTTCAGTCATCAGATAACTTTTGAGGAGACTGTGGTGGGCAATGGGGAGCCATGAGAAGTTCTTGAGCACAACCAGGGACAAATGGAAACAATTTACAGGAAGGTTAGGATGACATTGATGTCCAGTGTGAGTCTGAGGGATTTAAGAAGGAAGTAATGGGAGACCAGTTGGAAGGCAGTAGTTGTGGGGAATTGAACAAGAGTTTTGGAGTCAGGTACATGCTCTGACCCCAGTTCTTTGATCCACTGTTCAAGTGATTTCATCTGTAAAATGGGTATAATACTATTGTGTGTGGATTAGAGATGATATATGTCAAGAATTCAATCAAGGTACATTATAACTATTGCTAGAATGATGTATAAGTTAGGATGCCAGTGATGGAAATGGAAAGAAAGGTGCAGTGGAAAAGATGTTTAAGAATCACCAGGACTCAGAACCATGGGGGTAGTCTGCAAGGGGTCTTGGTGTCATTCAGCGCTCTCCCAGCTTTTCTTGGGGAGAACTCGGAGAGAGGGAAGGAAAAGCCAAGATAACAATGAGATTTCTCCCAGGAGCTGAGGTGCCTGGTAGACTCTTGGCCAGGCCTGAAACCATGGGAGGAGGAGCTGGTCTGGGGAGCAGATGAGTTTCATTTTGAACATGGTGACCTAGAAGAGATGCTGCGCCATGTTTAGGGGGTGCAGATTAGCTGGGGAGCTCTGCAGATTAGCAGGGGAGCTCTCTAAGGCTACAGGTCTGGGGGTTAATCAATGAAGGTTTAGACAGGGAGTGTACAAAAAACAATCAACTCTCTCTTTAAAAAAAAAAGGTGCGTATCAGAATAAAAACAAAGGGCCACCATCTGCCTTGGGGATATCACTTTTACAGGGTGGGAAGACAACAACCTCTCTAGAGGAGGCAGATGGGCAGGTCAGAAAGGTAAGAGAATCAGAACTGGCTGTGTTTGATGAATGAAAAGATGATGGTGTTTCAGGAAATAGCAGAAATGCCACATATTTCAGAAAACTCCACAGGATAAAGATTGATAAAGGGCCACTGGATTTAGATAGAGAATGACATCGGTGACTTCTAAAGAATCAGAGAAAGAAGAGGCATGCAAGAACCACGATTCAGTGAAAGTTTACAAAGCAAACAAGCTACAAACTGGGTCAATATTGCTATACTTATTTTGAGTAAATTAATCTAAAATTGGGCAGACTGATGACTAGAATTCTTCTTTTCTTATTGTAAAGCTAGATATTAGTAACACAAAACTTGCACAAAAGGATGAACTGAAGTAGCTTCTTTCACAAGGTCAAAACAAGGAAAAATGAGGCTGTTCTGATTCCCTGAGCTTGTACCTGATTCCTGCTCAGTGTACTGTGCTTCCTTCCACTTACTGAGCTATTGAGGGCTACCTACTGCCAGGGTACTTCACATAGGAGGTAAGTAAATATTATCTCCCCATATGACAGATTTTAGAAAGGCTGAGGACCACCTGTGCAACGTTACACAGTTCAGGAAGTCAACAGTCAAACACTCACCTGTCTGACTTCAAAGCTACGCTGACTCTAGTTACCTATCCTTGGGTACTTCCCTTCTGGAAGGAAGCAGGAGATGAGTGAATCAAATAATACAGCCTTGTAACCTTGGGTAAATTATTATTGCCTTAATAGTAAGCAGAGACCAGGAGCCTAAGAAAGAATCTCATTAACATGGATGCAGGCTATCCTGCCAGGAAATCAGAATCATTTGAATATTAGGATTTCCTTTGGGAAACCATATGGGGAGGAGAAAAGACATCCGGATGCATGTGTCTGTGAAAGGGAAACTTGTGTCTTTCCCCTTGCTCTTGGGTTTTCATCTTCCAAGTTTGTTTATAGGCTAGCCACAACTCGAGGCTGGGTGAGCTGAACGGTCCCATCATTAGCGACACTCCTTCTAGGGGCACATTCGGGCAGCTCCTCTTCGGGTTCTGCCCCCACGGGTGTGCAACCAGGATTCCACAGGCTGGGGCTGGCCTGGATGCCTGGGAGGCAACAGAGGTCGAGTTTCTTCTTCTTTTAGGAAGTGCCTCGGACAGGGATGATGGACTAAAAATGTGTCTGGTTGGGAAAGTAAATAGATGCAAAGCAAATAAATAAAAATGCCCACAAGCAATTACAGGGAGGAAGTGACATTTTTATTTAAGTCACTTTTCTGATGGACAACAGGCCTGCTTAGCTGAGTGCCGTGGGAATGCTTCCGGGAGGGGGGCGGCTGCCCAGCAACTAGAGCTTCGTGATAAGAACAACGAACAAACAAAAAAGAGGACGCAAAGCCCACCCGGCAGTCATCCCAGGCTGGAAGTTGCCGTCTGTGTTTTCACTCTCCTCCCCACCCACCTACCCTGCCCCCCACCGCCCGCACGCAATTTCGGGCGTGGGGACCCTTTCCTGCCCCCGGCGCCCGGCCCGTGCTGCGCCTCCAGAGCGGAGCGTCCCGCAGCCCCGCGCTATCCCGGCGCCCGTACCGGGACCCGGGCGCGGAGCCTGGCGACGACGGGGGGCGCCCCAGGTGGGTCTCGGGTCCCCGCCCCGCGCGCCCGGGCCTGGGCCGGCCCCTGGGCGGCGTCACGGCGCGGCCGGGGAGGAGCGCGGGAGGAGGAGGAAGAGCGCGGAGGAGGCGGGCGCTGCGCGCCGGGGGAGGGTCGCCGCCGCCGCCGCCGCCGCCGCCGCCGCTGCCGCGGGGATCGTCAGGCCGGAGCCGCGCGGCCGAGCGGGCGGCGGGCGGAGGGGAGGGCTTGGCGGCCGGGAGGCTCGCGGCGCCCGGGCCGGCAGGGTCCGCCCGGGCCGGCAGCGTCCGCCCGGCGGCGGGAGGAGGGAGCGGCGCAGACAAAGAGCGGCGCCTGGGCGGGCGCAGCGCGGCCACCGCCCCGGGACCCGCGCCGCTGCCCTCCGGCTCCGCGGGCGGCCCACGGCGAGGTAAGCGCGGCTAGGCGGGCGTGGGGCGGGGGCCACAAACTTGGGGCCGTTGGGCGGAGTTGGGAGCGCGGCGGGGCTCGCGGGCCGGGGTGCGCCCGGGAAGGGGCCAGGAGAGCGGGTCCCCTCCGCGCCCCTCCGGTGCTCTCGGCCCTGCCGCGGCCTGGGCGCCCCCGACCGCGGACTGCCGGGCACCTCCCGGCTCTGCACCTTCCTGCCCGCCTTCCCATCCCTAACCCCCACCATCGGGGGCCGGCCCAGGGGCGGGGACGCCAGCCAAGGGCGCGGGCGAGGATCAGGGCAGGGGGCCCGGCTGCGGGGCCCGGGGACTGGAGACCCCCGGGTGCGCAGGCTGCGCCTGGCCTGCAGGCGGGCGGCCGGCACGGAGCTCGGGGCTAGCGTGGGACCGTGCGGTGGCCAGGGTCGCCAGGGCGCGTGTGCCGGGGAAGAATAGCCGCGGATCGCAGGGCCCCGGCGCAGGGACGGGGGAGGCCGCGATCGGCCGGGAGAACTTAACCGTGTTTATTACAACTATTTATGTTCGCGCACAAAGCTGCTGTCACATTGCATAAAGGAGGTCCTCGCTTCGGCGAAGGGAGCTTTTGTGCCCGGCTTCAGGCTCTGCGCCCTGCCCCAGATTTACAGGACTCTAACAGCCACCTGAATGAACCAAAGTTTCTCACAATCGCTCGGCTCTCTCGGTTTTTTTCAGGGCGATTTAATCACCGAGTGCTTTTGGAAAAATTTGATATGTGAGTTTTAAGGCATGGAGGGTAACTGCCTTATGAGCACAGTTAGCTTGGCATTGTGTGGAGGGGTTTAATTTGCAAAACGCTTTAATTTGTAGACAATGGGGATCTCTGTGAAGGTCTGCGGTGGATGCTAGGGGTCATTGGCTGGTGGACCCCAGGCACCTGACTTAAACTAGTATTGTAACAGCTTCAGGGACAAAGCCGAGCGTGCGTGGAGTCGGCCTTGGCCACTTCACACAATTCAGGTTGGCAGATTCCTCTTTATTTGGCTTTGTTTATTTTGCCAACAGGTTTAAGGCTGCTTCTGCCAAGTTTGCATCTGCATAATGGGATGAGCAGGCCCCAGTGTGGGCAGGAGGGGGCCTAAAATATCGCAAGGGCCAGCTCCGTCCCTCGACCCAGAAAGAAACAACCCTGAGAGGCCGGTGGGCGTGGCTTGCTGGGACCTACAGGTAGGGGAGTCCCTTCCTGGCCCAGGCGCAGTCCCCGCTTCTCGGAAGGGATTTTGTGTAGGAATGAAAGTGATTCAGGGTGTTTTTCATGCCTCTGTTTTAGATGTAGTTATCAAGTCTCAAAAGTGACTGAAAATGAAATTAACCTGGGCCGCTTTAACTTACCAAAACGGAACTGTGCGTGTGAACACTCCCTCAATTCACTTTGCAAGCTTCATAGATAAGCAGGTGAATTAGTAACAGGATTCAAGCCTTGCGAGTTTTACGTAAAGAGAATGGCAGTCATCGGACACGTGGAGAAGAAATTGACTTCACCTGGAGATTGGGCTAGACATGGAGGTTTTTTGACGTTTGGAACAGGGGTTTCCTGAGAAGCAAGTGTTAACCTGCTTGTGAAGAAGTGAACACGAGGGAAAATCCTACCTCAGTATATTCTGCCCTGGAGGTTGGTTAGATGTAGTTTTGATTGGAGAAGGTGGCGGAATCTTAGTGGTCTTCTGGCGGCTACTTGAGGCTGAAATGGAGAACTTTAGGCATAGGAAGCTGTGGAGGTGCCTGGCCCACTTCCTGTCCCGGAGGCCTCGCCTGGATTCTGAGCTTCTTTCCTGCTTCATAAACATTCAGGGGGGTTGGTCATGAAACACTGGATGAAATTGGGTCACAAATTGCCATCAGGAAGAGTTGGCTGCTGCATAACCCCCTCTGTCCACTTGTGGAGAAACTGACCCTGTTAACCGTCGGGCTTGCTGAAGGTGCCTTGCAGGTGGCTGTGCTCAGTTTTCATGCTTTGTGTTTTGCTTAGGACACGCTGCATACTTAAATCTTCTTCATCCTTGCTCTGTTTGACCCTGCCATATTCCCAGGCTTTGTCATTTACATTTTCGGTTATTTAGCTTTTCCAACAAACAGCAGATCTTATGTACACAGTACTATATTTGAGAAATGCACTACCATCCATATTAAATACACCGGAAATCTTCCTTGCATGTGCACAGACTGGATAACCTTTTAAAATACCCTAAGACTCCCGGAATGGCGCAGAATGCACTGGAGTCCTTTACTTGATCAGTTGCACTAGCTTAGTTTGCCCTGGATAGACCAGGCTGCGAGGCTCTATGGGACACCCATTTTTCTAACTGCTCAAACTGGCTTGCCGTGTGCACTGGGGGAGACAGGGCTTGCGGAAATCATTCTCTGACATTAAAAATGAGGCTTAAAGACTGAAGAGCTCAGAATTGCTTGCTGGAACTACAGGGGAGGATGATGAGTGATGTTTGGAAAAACAAGTAAGCTAACTTTTTTCACAAATGAACTGGAAACTCCCTACAGCTCACTTCAGATGCTTAGGAAATTAGTTTTCCCATCCAGAGGGTTTGCGAGTGGCACTTCCAAATGGTTTCTGTTTCCTAAAATGAGTGATGGAAATACTTCACGGCACGTTTTCAAAGGGCCTAAGCTAAAATGTGATTTCGTGTATCTTGTTCCATGCCTGAGTTAAGGCAACTCAGAAGAAGGTCGTGACGGCCTTTTAACGGGCTATCAAAAGTGTGCAGCTAAAGCAAAAACAGTTTTGCATTTCTTTAGGCCATTTAGTAGCACAATTAAAAAATTAGACTCTTTTCTTTTCCTGCATTTTCCTTTGAACATTTCCCAAAGTATGTTTATTTCTAAAGGTAAATGAACGTTAGCAAGTATTACCTCTGCCCAGTGACACACATCCACATGTGTACTGGCACATACATTCCTACCTCAAGAATCTTAGTCCTTGAAACTGTGGAAATGAAAGTTATTTTGATTGAGGTAGCAGTGTCACAGTGATGTCATACGGTGTCACTGTCCCTGACCAGCCTCTGTGTTCCCTCTCAACTCCTTGGCTCAGTCTCCTCCGTGTCCTGAGTTCTTACTCATCCCAAGGGTCGTCTCTTACTTCTTTTCTTCCCCACATCTTATCAACTCCAAACTAGAGGGGATGGCATCATCTTTAAACTTCCACAGCACTTTCTTTGTGTCCCTGATTTGTCATCTGTGACATTCTTTCCTGCAGTTGTTTTTTTTCTTTTTTTAAGGCAGGGTTTCACCCTGTCACCCAGGCTGGAGTACAGTAGCATGATCACAGCTCACTGCATCCTCGAGCTTCTGGGTTCAGGCAATCTTCCCACCTCAGGCAATCTTCCCACCTCAGCCTCCGAGTAGCTGGGACTACGGGTGTGCACCACCATGCTCAGTGAATTTTTTTATTTTTATTTTTATTTTTATTTTGTAGAGACAGGGTCTTGCTGCTTTGCCAAGGCTGGTCTCAAACTCCTGGGCTCAAGTGAGCCTCCTGCCTTGACCTCCAAAAGTACTGGGATTACAGGCCAGAGCCACCATACCCTGCCCTATGGTTTTTTTGCCTTCATCTTTTCTTTACTAGATTCTGAACCGCTTGGGGGCAGACTGGTCTTGCCACTTATACACAATGAGTGTGCAACAAATACTTATTGAATATGTGAATAATGAGTGCCCAGCCTGTTAATATTGGGGCTCTAGCCTCCCACTGAGATTCAAGTGGTAAGAGACCTCCAGCATTCTTGTAAATCTCAGAACTTCTGTCTACTGTGGAAGGCTTTGACCTCAGGATGTCCAGACAATGGGAGAATTTGGTCTGTTGGCCTCTCTATTTGGCAAATTTTCTGTCATGTGAGTCATTTGTAGTCCTGAAGCTACATTTAAAAACAACAACAGCAACAACAACAACAAAAAAACAAAGCCAACCCCATACTCAACTGTATTACCTGGTGGGCTGGCTGAATGGTTTACTTTTGTAGGTTAGTCTGTTCCTATCAACCTGAATTCAAAACGCTGGGCAGACCGTTTGTGATCCTGGCCTGGTAAGTTAGTTATTTGTGTCACCCCTTCTTTCTACTGTTGTATTGGTAATGTTTTTAAGAGAAGAAGCTTCAAGTGCACTCAGAATTTTAAGTATTGCAGTTGCTTCTTTTGAGACAATTTTGGAAGCTGGGGTGCTTACGTTGCCAAATTGTTAGTGAAGACCGAAAATGCCATGATGAGAGAATGACATGTACTAATGCATGCACGCTCATTCATTGTTTGCAAAGTCCTCTTCACATACACCATCATATTTAATAGTCGAATAACATGGTGCACTTGGTTCTGGCCCTCATTTCTAGGTAGGAGACTGGGGATGACAGAGCTTGAATTTAGGTTAAGTCCTTCTGCAGGCCATACATGAGGAACACCAACGTGTTGCTGGGTAGAGTTGTTTTTTTGTGAGGCAGTTTACAGAACACAGTGTCCTTGGGTATCTGCCTTTGCCGTGTCGCAGCTGTGTGTAGATATTGGTGGAGCAGATTCTGGATGTGAGTTGACTGAGGTTGAGCGGTGTGAGGGGAGGCCGGCAGGAGCAATGTCAGTCTCTCTTGTCCCCACATCCTGGTTATGGGCCAGGGTTACCCTGGAAAGCCTCCTCAAGTTCAGAAAGCTTATTCCTGTTTAGTGCGTGTATTAGTCAGCTCCAGCTGCCTTAAGAGAATAACACACAGAGGCCGGGCGCAGTGGCTCACGGCTGTAATCCCAGCTACTCGGGAGGCTGAGTCACGCGAATTGCTTGAACCCAGGAGGCGGAGGTTGCAGTGAGCCAAGATCACACCACTGCACTCCTGGGTGACAGCGTGAGACCCTGTCTCAAAAGCAAACAAACACACACACACACACACACACACACACACAAAACAACAACAACAGAATGGGTGGCTAAAGCTGCAGACATTTATTTTCTCACAGTTCTGGAGGCTGGAAGTCCATGACCCCGGGGCCGGCAGGGCTGGTTTCTGGTGAGTGTCTCTTCCTGGCTCGTCTTCTTGTGTCCTCACTCACGTAGCCTTCCTTCTGTGAGTGCACTGAGAGAGAGGTCTGGTGTTTCTTCCTCTTATAAGAACATCTGTCCTGTTGGATGAGGGCCCCACCCTTATGGTGACCTTTTTTAACCTTATTTATGACCTTTTTTAACCTTAATTGCCTCCTGAAGCGTCCTGTCTCCAAATATAGTCACTTAGGGGTTAGGGCTTTACCATATGAATTTAGGGTGGACAATTCAGCCACTCCCAGTGTGTCTGTCTAGGTTCCACAACAGGGCTGATGCTTTTAGGAAGACCTGGTGCTCCCATCATCCAGATCTGGGATCTCTGTTTATTTGGGGACACCTACCAGGGATGGTTAGAGTAGTCACAAGTAAGGAGGGAACGTCAGCTCTTTATATATTGGTTGTAGCACCCCATAACAGGGAACAAGCCTTGGTGCTGGCCTTCCAAAGGCTGGAAAGGTTTTAAGTAGAGTGATTGAAGAGAGAGAAAAATCTTGACTTGATTTCATTTATGGAAACTTCTCTTCAACTTAGGTAGGTAGACACTTATTTGGGGGTTGGTTTGTCTTTAATTGAGACCATGATAAAATATCAGTGATATGCAAAGGAAAGTTTTTTCTGAACCCTGGATGAAGAGAGCAAAGCAAGAGGTGGGGCCAATGGCAGCCAGGGTGGAGAGGCCGTCTCCTCTGAGCCTGCCATCTCTGTGATCGTGCAGTCTTTGCCACATGAGCAAACATCCCTTAGCAGAATGTGCATGACGGTGGTGAGGTGCACCCTGAGCGTGGCTGGAATGTTTCTGACCTAGGCCATTTTGCCTTGTTCAGACATAAGGCAGGGGCAATGCCTGCATGACTGACCTCCCTCTAGCTCCAGATCTGTATGTTCATTGATGCTTTGTTTGCTCATTCATTCACATTCATATGAATTATCCAAGTTCTTAGTGGTCATTTCCACCATCCCAAACCATTTGCAGCTTCTCCTGCAACCTGCCCGCCTTCTCAGTTATATTCCCCATCACCGACTCACTCGGTTATCCTTGAATTCTCCCTCAGCTCCCAACTAGTTATCAACCCCTATTGATTCTACCTCCAAAAGATCTAACATCTCAGCCCTGCTGTCCTTTTTCTGTTTCCCCTGGACATCAAAACCACTTTTTAACCATTCCTGCCAATCCATCCCAGGGTGACTGCACCCTGACAGTCAGGTCTGGCCATGACCTGCACACGGTGGCTCTCCATCGTACTTGGGTCAGTGACTCAAGTCCCCAGCATGGCAGTCATGGGCTTGCACGACTGGGCTGCCTCTCTGTTTCTCCCAGCATCTAAATATCCCCTTCCCCATATACACACATGCTGAGCTACAAGTCATCTGTGGCCACCCACTGATGGTTTGCTAATTGTGATAACAAAACTAAGTTTATAATCAGTTTGTTTTTAAAGACTCTCTCCACTGGGACTGGTTCAGGGTTCTCCTGTGCAGTAATGGCAGGGCTACCCCACTACAGCTTTGCATGGAACTGAGCATGGGCCCAGCTCTCTGTCATGGGAGGAGAAGAGACTAACTGCAGAAAATGGTGCGTATGTGTGTTTTAATATGGACTGTCTCCCTGCAAATGCCATTTGAACTGATGGATTGTCAAGAGCAGTGCTGACCCCTTGAAATACAATGTGAACCACAAATGCAAGCCCCAGATGTAATCATAATGTTCTGGTAGCCACATTAAAAATGTAAAACCAAACAAGTATTATTAATTTTCATCCTATATTTTGCCCAATATATATATAAACTCTATGTGTAATCAACATAAAATGTAATTAATAAGATAACTCATATTCTTTTATTTGCGTGAGGGCTTTGAAATTCAGCATATAGTATATACGTTTACTGCACCTCTTGGCTGCCTCTCGCTGCATTTTGATTGGCCTTGGCCACACGCGACTAGTGGCAGCCTTGTTGCGGAGTGTGAGTCTATACACTTTTCATGATTTAAGCCTCATTTGCTGTCTGTTTTCCAAAGTTGAGATAGCTAAAGAGACAAAGTGGAAACAATGTAGAATAATTATAATGGTCATTATTATTATGCTTTACTGGGAAAGGTGTAACCTTTTTAAATATGAGGAGTAATGTCATCCTTCAGACACTCAGCACATGATGTTTTAGAGCACTAAAATCAGATTCAGTTAAAACTAATATCTATCATCAAAATACCTTGTTCATTTTACAAATATCTTAAAATGTGGTTTGAATTCTAGAAGTTACCAGTGTAAAATAACATTTTTGTATATCAGTATTCAACACATTTCCTTTTAAAAAATGTGTTCAGCACCATAGGAAAGGTAAAAAACAACATTGTATACAGTGATGGGGTACAGGTGTTATTTTGTTACATAAATTGCCTAAGGGTGAATTCAGGACCTTTATTGTATCCATCACTCAAATAACATACATTGTACCCATTGAGTAATCTCTCATCATCCACCCCTTCCTACCCCATCACCCTTCAAGTCTCTGGTTCCGTCTGGATAATGGCCTCCAGTTCCATCTGTGTTGCTGCAAAAGATATGATTTCATTGTTTTTTTATGGCTGAATAGTCTATTTTCTTTATCCAGTCATCTGTAGTATTCATATTTCTGATAACATGTTAAGTACAAGCTAAAATCATGTATTTTTAAAGTGAACATTAGCTTCTCTCCCACACGGACACAGACACACACACACACATTGTAATCACTGTTCTAAGCACTTTCCATGTAATAACTCATTGAGTCCTCACCAACAGAACGTGTGGTACTTTCTGTTTGTATCTTCATCGCTAAGGAAAGGGAGGCACTGAGGCTGCCATGTCTTAGGTTCCACAGCTAGACTCTGACCAAGCTAGCCACCATCCCTTCATTAAGATGTATCTGAAAATACATAAAACAGAACTGTAAACTTTTATTATGGTGTAAGATTTGAGAAACATTGATGGAAAATCATTGATAGGGAGTGTAGCTTGCATACAGGTTCATTCTGGGAACGCCTTATCAGCCAAGTGGTTGGGGAAGGCCCTGGACTTTGGAAGGGCCTAATGAATAACTGGTACCTTGGAGGAGGGGAAGCCTTGGATGGTCATCACTGAGGACCATTGGCCTGGCTGCTCCTCTCCCCCAGCCCCCTTGCTATGTTCCGTAGGCTGGTGGTCCTCCACCTGCCCAAGTCTCCAATTCTGCAGGAAACACCAGCATTCCCTGGGGAGAACCGCTGCTGGAGGGAACTGCAGTGGCACTGGATGAGGGGGAGTATTTTCTGTTGTAGTCACAGTGTATTAGCTCAAGTGGTCATGCAGGTGCCATTGTAAATGCCTGTGTGATGTGCCTCTTCATCAGTAGCTGTGTGGTGGGTCCCCACCCTTGTCTCCTCCACACTGGGGGCTGAGAAAACAGGAGTGTGTGTCTTCTCACTCTTCCAAGTGGCCCCCGGACTTTTGTGCTGTTGGAATAGCTTGCACAAGGCCATTTTTGCTGCTTCTGTTTTTCCTTAATGAGTTGCTGTTGTTGAAGTGAAGGTAGGCAGGTAGGTTCTTGCTGAAAACCTTGTAGCAGGACATACCAAATCCTTTTCCTTTGTGCTTTTATGACATCTGGGAAGGTCTTGAAGAATTCCAAGGTGGCTTTGAAATCTGCTTCTGAGGTTGTGAGAGAGGCCAGGTCAAGTCCAAATGTAGATTCTTGGGAGACTGCTGCTACAGGTCCTGATGGGAACTCTGACACTGGCTGCTCTTCCAAGTGAGTTGTCTGTGCCAGCTTCTCGAACCTACCCTTTTGTGTTAGGAGGGCCACTGGGGCCATCAGAGTGTTGAGCAGCCCTCCCTGGAGCAGATGGGACTGAGATAGGACGGTGAGTCTGGCGTCTCTGTTGGGAGAAGCTCCTGCATGTTCCAAGTTTCAGAGGGGCTGCAATTTGGGCAGTTTCTTTCAACTCACAGGTTTAGATTTGCAGTCACACTACCTCTCATGTGGCCACTTCTACACGTAGCAGGTTCCAGGATATGTGGTGGCAAAGAATTGTTTACTTCAACATGCTTAATTTCCCAGCAATGGTGGGGGCAGCCAGGAAGTGAGAAGTGAAAAGTAAGTTAGAAAGTGGTGAGATCACAGGGAGATGCCTAGAAAGACGCCCATGCCCATCTTAGAGGACAAAGTCCATCAATGTCTCCTTCGATTTTCCTTAACGGTTATGTCTCCCATTTAATATCTTAAGAATTTTGGTTGCGTGTTTAAGGATGTCTGCAAGTCAACAAATATTTTAATTATGTCACTTATGAGCCTGGCTACAGGAGAGGAGAGCAGTTGCTGTCTCTTTCATGCTTTCCCTCTCATCAGCTGTCTTCATTTTAAGGACAATCACTTTAAAAGCTTGTATTCCTGTTTGTGTGTGTCTGTGGGAGGTTGGGGGGAGCTGCTGCATTGGTAAGAAAGCAGCTCCCCCAACAACTTTTTTTTTTTTTTTTTAAACTGCTCTGCATGATGGAAGCCAGCTTGGAGACATTGACATAAAAAGCACAAGCTACTTGAATATTTTTAAGAGACCAAGAAATAACAAGGGATTCAGGGAGTTATTTTGAGACAGTTTTTGGGAAATTTAATATAGGTGAAGAGTGAATTTTCATCAAACGATTAAAAAAAAGTGAAACAACCTTGGTTGCAGAATCTAGCAAGATGGTTATAGAAACAGATTTTTTTTTTCCAGCCATTTCCATTCTTTCTTTCCATTCTTCTGGTTCTCCCCTCACTTTTTTGTGTGTGACTCCCCTCACCCCGTCTCTCCCGCCCTGAACACCATTTATCTTAATAGTGTGTGTGTTTCCCATCTGTCTTTGTTACTGCCCTCATATGACTTTTCTTTTATGTGCTTCTGTTATTGTCTTCTTAGGAGCTTCCTAGCTTGGATTTAGAAGGTTCTCTTCCCTTAAATTAAGCCATCTGTCTTGCTTCAGTTCCCTTTTCGTAGTTTCCTTACTAGGTCTATTTTACATGGTTCGGTAGACAAGACCCAGCGGTAACTGTGAAGAAATGGTGGCATTATCATCTTTTTTAAAAAAGGAGGAGGGTGTCAGACATCGTGCTGTTGTGATTTTCATTTTGAAGCTTTGCTGGGTAGAACTAAAGTTCAGTTGATTGATCACCTATAGATTAGGTGTCTAGTGTTGAATTTGTTGCTTCTTAACTTGATTGTGCCGAGCACCTCATCCCTCAGCCATCCCAGTGGGTGCAGCCGATTCCGTCTTCCATAAGAAGTAGGTTCTCCTTTCATGAGTGCCTCCGGTTGGTGAGGGTTCCATGTGTAAGGAAGAAAATATGTTTTCAACACATTGCACGTTCATGCGTGTGGCTTCTCATTCATTTTAGATCGTATTAGTTATTAGACCTAGATTGGGAAGTAGAAACAATTTACTTGTGCAGGTACACGAATACCTTTTTAAATGTTAGTATTTTGAGAGACTTCATTGAGACCCGAACCCATGCCTATAAATTCGTGGTTCTCAGCTGGGGCAGTTTTGCCTAATCAAAGACATCTGTTTTCTTAGCTCAGAAGCCTTACGTTGGTGATTGTCTACAGAAGAAAATTTGTCTTTGTTGTTACTAAGGTTCATAGGATTCTAGGTTCAGCCTGATAATTTTTGAGCTGGTCACATATGTTAGCTTTTGAATGTTTAATTTCCTTCTTTGTATAGTTCTAAAATAAACTCCTCAGGGGAGAGAGACTAAAAATATCACAAATTAGACCTTACGAAGGGAAAAGGAAAGGGGAAATTCTAATCTGGCTGTTAGTCGCTGACTTCCAGTGTCTGCAAAGCTGCCTGTTACCTGGCCTAGCATATGACGTTGCTGTCTGAATGTTCTTTTTTTCTTTAAAACAGGCCCTTACTTGATCAAGTAGGATCAGCCTAGAGATGAAGAGAGCTGTCAGTTAGAAGTTCCCTTGGTCTTCTCACTGTCTGCTTTGTTTAAATTATTTCCTGTTCCATTATTCTTCCTTTTGACTTTGTTGTTTCTTACCCCTCTCTTCCTGTGCTGTTTCTAGGATAAACACGAAATCATCACTTTGCATAATTTTGAGCTTTCCTTGGTGGAGATAGTTAAAAGTACAATCAATCTTTCCCTTTCTTCAGTCATCCTATCTCATATGGACTGAGAAAGACCTGTGAGAAATTAATAGTAATTCTTTGCACAGACTGGAAAGTTCTGAAGTTGCAACTTTGGAACGATGTGTGTTTCTCTTATTACTTGCACACCTTGTATCATTTGATTCTAACTTTGTCAGGTAGAGGGAGGCCAGTGTTGTTAATTATCCCTTTTTTAGATGAGGAAAGTGTGGGTCCCTCACCAGGGCACACTGACTGGCCCACTGGGGTCCTGTGGTGAGTGGCCATGGGGGAATGTCAGGCCCAAGCAGTGTGGTATGTGGGATGGCCCAGCTCCAGAGCAGCAGGTCCTGGACTTCATTCTGGCTTTGTATTGATGTTATTGAAGTCCCCTCGTCCCTCAAAACATTTGCCTTCACGCAGTGACTGCTTGGCTTTCCATTACAATGGGAGCTGGATTCAAACAGTATCATTCTGAACTTTTTATTTTTTGAGACGGAGTTTCGCTCTTGTCACCCAGGCTGGAGTGCAATGGCACGATCTTGGCTCATCACAACCTCCCCCCTCCTGGGTTCAAGTGATTCTCCTGCGTCAGCCTCCCGAGTAGCTGGGATTACAGGCATACACCACCATGCCCGGCTGATTTTGTATTTTTAGTAGAGATGGGGTTTCTTCATGTTGGTCAGGTTGGTCTTGAACTCCTGACCTCGGGTGATCTGCCTGCCTCGGCCTCCCAGAGTGCTGGGATTACAAGTGTGAGCCACCGCGCCTGGCCCCATTCTGAACTTTATTAATGGCTCATGTAAATCTGAACTTCAACAATCTTGATTCTTACGAGGAATAGAGATGAGTCTCCTTTTCCTTTGCTACTAATTTGGCTAAAATTGCATAGCGAAGTTTTAAACTCTCCTGACCTCTGTTTTGTCTTCTGTGAAACTAGGGGTTGCCTGTAATGTACTTTCACAACCTTTTATAGCCCCAACTTTCGCTGTGTTAAAATTGAGATGGGACAGGTCCTTGATTA
The DNA here is from genome assembly GCF_000001405.40 of Homo sapiens. NCBI lineage: Eukaryota > Metazoa > Chordata > Mammalia > Primates > Hominidae > Homo > Homo sapiens. Next base: position 105,757,354 of record NC_000002.12, read on the forward strand.
TTAGGGATTTTTTTTTCTTCAAAGTGGCATGGGATGAACTGATCTATGTGTAAATTGATGTTGCTGTTGCTTTTCTCTGAGTGTAGTTAGGAGGGCTGGAAGTATATGGGTGCAGAGATGTAGAAAGGCTACGTTGTTCATCCTGCCACCGACAGGTCAGACTGTTCTCCTGGCTATGTTTTCACTCAGTTGTGTACCTGCAGTTCATACCTACATAGGACCAGCCATGGGCCAGGCACTGTGCTGGGTGCCGTGGGAAAACCACAGCAAACCAGACAAACACCAGCCTTTGGGGAGCCTGTAAACCAGTGTGGAGATCTTACAAGCTCACAGTCCACTGTAATCTTAATTAACAAGTATGGAAAATAACTTTCGCCATCTCTGGGTGGGGGAAGCACATATGGGAAGTCCCCCTCTAACCTCTAACCCAACCCCCAAGGCCAGGCAGAATTCATTTGAAGCATTCTGGAGGATAATATTTTCTTCAAGATCCTCAGAAGCTCTTCAGTGCACAGGCAACTCCCAGATACTGGAATTGTCACCTGAGCTGAGACATTCCACATGCCAGTTGTAAGCCAGGTCTCCACCACAGCTGGGGTGAAGCACCTCTATTCTCTCATGCCAGGGTGGGTGTTATTATTCCAGGGCCTGGATGAAGCTCAGTTAGTTTGCTTAGGATGAACACATGATTTGTGGGTCAATTTTCAGGTAATGTGAACTCTACTTACATGTTGTTTATTGCTTGAGAGCTTTATCTCTTAAAAATGAGTTAAACTACTTGGCGCTTTGAGTGGAATGCAGGTCTCAGGTAGCACACTAATACTTCCTTATTTTTTTTTAATTGATAATGGCATAAAGCCATTATGCCATCACATTTGATATAGAGATGTAAGTAATTGAATCACATTACTTCTCTTGGATTAGTAATGAATATTGCACATCAATCCTGTGCACACATTTTACAGGTTTGTTTTATCCTATTGATGGTTTCATTTGAACTGTGTTTGGAAATTTAGTTTATTTCTTACTCCATTGTAGATGTTTGTTTTTGTTGTTTTTGTTTTTTTTTTTTTTTGAGACAGAGTCTCGCTCTGTCACCCATGCTGGAGTGCAGTCGCTTGATCTCGGCTCACTGCAACCTCTGTCCCCGGGTTCAAGCAGTTCTTCTGCCTCAGCCTCTCGAGTAGCTGGTACTACAGGTGCGTACCACCATGCCCGGCTAATTTTCGTATTTTTAGTAGAGACGGGGTTTCACCATATTGGCCAGGCTGGTCTTGAACTCCTGACCTTGTGATCCACCCGCCTCAGCCTCCCAAAGTGCTGGGATGACAGGTTTGAGCCACTGAGCCCGTCCCGTTTTTGTATTTTTTAAATGCAGTGTTTGAAATTCTTGACTTCTACACAGTAGTCAAGACTGATACTTCTACCCAGTACCCAAATTACTGTACTGCTCTGACAGTAAGTTGTTACAAAACTATTTTCCAAAGGTTGGAACTGATTTCAGGGTTTACATTTAAGCTTTGTTTAACATCTGAAACTGAATTAATGCTAGCATTCAAAACTAGTAAAATCATTATTAGTGATTCGTCCTCTATTTGACACTGAACCAGCAGACATTTCCCTTAGCTTTTGGTGACATGGATTAAAGTAAAATGGTTTTGGTGATTTACTATAGTTAATTAGTGATAGACTATAATTAATGCTTAGTGTTTTGAATGAACTTAATTTGCAAATAATGATAATTTAAGATCTGAGTTTGATAAAATTTTAAAGGTTGATCGAATACCTAGATTCCTGGTTCTTGGGCCTTCAGAAGGAGAGAATTTCACGTGTTAAGTCCTTATTTGGTCTTATTCAAGGGAGCAAGATTTTTTGTTTGTTTATAAACACATGCAGTATATCGTTTTACGTATTCAAGTACACATAGTACGTTCTCTGGGGAAAGCAGAAAATTGTATTGCATTTCAGCCATGTAATACCCTCACGTTCGTGTATTAAGCTGATCAATAGGGGTATTTATTTCCTTTTGTTGAGCACAGTGTTTTAACGTTTCCAAAGTGTAATTTGTTATTGTTGAAAGTCAACCATGTTACCCTATGCATACAGGCTTTTATATAATAAAACATATGGTATATATTTTTAAGTAAGCGCTTAATTTTAGAATAGATTTTAAATTTACAGAAAAAGTTTCAAAGATAATACAGAGAATTCTGATATAAACTGTGTCTACTTTCCCCTGTGATTCACATCTTACGTTACTATAGTACATTGGTTACATCTAATGAACCAGTATTGGTACATTATTGTTAAGTCCATAGTTTATTTGCCCTGACATCCTTTTTCTGTCCCAGGATCCCATCCAGGGCACGTTTCCTTTAGTCTCCGTAGCGCCTCTGATCTGGGACAGTTTCTTAGACTCGCCTTGTTTTTAATGGCTTGACAGCTTTGAGGAGCAAAACTGCTTTTCAGGTGTTTTGTAGACTGTCCCTCAGTTGAGAGTTGTCAGATGTTTTTTCATGATTAGTGTAGAGTTACCGGTTTGGGGAGGAAGGCCACCGAGGTAATGTGCCATTTTGTATCAAGGGTCCATGTGATCAGCGTGGCTTATGATGGTTGATGTTGATCTTGATCACCTGGCCCAGGTAGTGTTTGTCAGGGGACTCCACTGTCAAGTGACTCCACTGTCAAGTGACTCTTTTCCCTTCTTTCCATACTGCTGCAGTCTTTGGAAGGAGGTCATTTAAGGAAGAGGGAGTTCAGCTGTACCTCCTGTAGGGGTTGTATTTACATTAGTTATTTAGAATTCTATCTGACAGATTTATCTATTCTCCCAAAAGGGACCAAGATTTTCAGTGGGGATAGAAGGCACTGTGGCACAGACAGCCCCTTGGCACTGTTGCGGAGGAGGTGATAGGATAGGATGGTGCCCCAGCATGGGGTTTCCAGAATGTGGTCCTGGGCTGTGGAGAAATGCAAATTCCGGGGAACTGCCTGACTTCCCGCGTGGGATAGGTTGGTCTGGAATTCTTCCTGTTGCACGAGTTCCCCAGGTGATTCTGATGCATATTCAAAGTTGAGAGCCTCTGCTGTGGATTAGCACTTGAACCCCAGGTGTGCCGGCCAGGAGTCAGGCCCTCACCTCCATCCTTGCCGTTCACACCTCTTCCCTGCTGGTGGCACCTAGCTCTAAGGCTCCCCGTGTAACCACTTCTCCCACAGTTTTGACCACCTCTTGGATCTCTCCATCTGAGGCTCCCTTTGTATCAACCAAGGGTCTTTGCTTTCTGGATAACTTCATCCTTCTTTTGGTGGGCCCAGAGTTCCAGTGAAGGGAGAAACCAGTTACAGCTGAGAACCCTATTGTGGAAAGGCCAGTCAGGGCCAGAGTAGGGAGGTCCCTAGATGCCAGGCTTCTCTGAAAATGGTTTTGTCACATGTGAGAGAGAGAGAGAGGCAGAGACACCGAGACCCCACGTGGACTGTGTTCAGGTTTGAGCAAATAAAAAATCACCGAAAAATCTTCATAGTTTCTACATGTGTCATGCCTTGCGCTTTGGGACACCCCTAGCTCTTGGGCACATTCCCTGGTTGAAGTGGGAGGGCAGTGGCCTGAAGAAGTTTCTTTGGGATTGGGATCTGGGTGGCCCTCATCCTGCTTCCGCCTGAGGAAGCCCTGGTCTGTGACTGGGCTCAGGAAGTGGTCCCGACCCAGTGTCTGAGGAAGGCATTCTCCTCTCATAGATGGGGGCCAGAGTCTGCTGTGAGGCCATGCTGGTGTGCCTGCCCGCCCACCCTACTGGGCCTCTTCTGGGCAGCAGGGTTGTGCCCTACCCGGGTGCTGGGAGGTTTGGGTGTGTATGGGAGCGGTGGTATGGACGGGGCAGGCGTTGGCTCAGAAGCTGGCGTGGGGAGGGTCTTGAAGTGGTCATTTTAACTCCTGGCTGACTGACTTCCAGAGAATCTTTTTTTGGGAGGGAGAAGAGTGGCTCACCTTTCTCTTGGGTACAGAAAAAGTCAGAATTAAGGCCATTAGCCTGTTTCTCTTTCTGGTCACTGCCTTCTCCCTCCTAGTGATGGGACGATTCCAGGCTTGGGTGGAAGGCCAGGTGGGGGGACACTACTTCCTGCTCCACCCTTCCCAAACCATTATACACAGATGAGAGAGACTCTGTTGTATTCATTCACATAGATATAATTTATAATAATGCATTTTGTTTATTAAAAAATGACTGGGCCAGGCAGAGTGGCTCATAGTGGCTCATGCCTGTAATCCCAGCACTTTGGGAGGCTCAGGTGGGAGGATTGCTTGAGCCCAGGAGTTCAAGACCAGCCTGGGCAACATGGCGAAACCCTGTCTCTACAAGAAATACAAAAAAATGAGCTGGGTATGGTGGCAAGTGCCTGTAGTCCCAGCTACTTAGGAGACTGAGGCAGGAGGATCACTTGAGCCTGGGAGGTCCAGGCTGCAGTGAGCCGTGATCAGGCCCCTGTACTCCAGCCTATATGACAGTGAGACCAAAAAAGACTGAATACAGACATGTGCGCTGACCCTTTTGAACATTATTTTCTTTTCAATCTCTGCCTCTGTGTTACAGTTTATGTTTTCTCTTTTGTCCTGCGGATTTTTGATACATTTTAAAAATATCTTGTCCTTTTTCTAAGTTTTTGCGTTGACTACAGTTGCAAGTGTGGGTTTTGGTGGCTTTCTGTAGATGAATCACTTGACCTGAAAACAAGGACTTTCGCTTTGCTAGAAAATTAAGGACAGAGTTTGTGGAATGCACTGCTCTTGGGTTTTCCTTAGAAGAAGCTTGTGAGAAGCACAGTTTCTGTGCGTAAGAGTGGGCTTAAACCAGGTGATCTCCGAAGATTTCCTTCAACTCTCAAGTTGAAAGAGGCCTTGCCGAGGAAACAGGCAGCTAATGGGCAGAGCATCAAACCAGGGGGGGTCTAGGTCCAGGCCCGGGCGCTTCCTGCTGTCAGACTGCCTCCTCACATCAGCAGGCATTCCTGGGATTCACAGCAACAAAAGAGCCCTCTGCTTTGAAAGGGGTTCAGTCTGTCTCTTCTGTAGTCTGGACTCTGGAATCTAGAGATTCGCTGAAGCTCATGTCCCAGGGTCTTGACGTAGTGTGAAGTTCTGAGTGATTTCCTAAAGACGGTGTCCTGAACCATGGGCCTGTGGTGGTGAGTGCATGGAGGATATCTGTGAACTTTGGGGTGGGAAAAAACATCCTTATTTCCACCAGCTTTTCACTGAAATTCAGTATTTCCTTCCTGCATGAATGTAGGTAGCACAGCCCATAGCATTTACAGTCATCAGAGAAATGGTCACTATTTTCCTGTTACATAATAGTGATGCACGTGTGTTGAAAGAGTGACTGCTTTTATCATTGCTCTCAAATTATGGTTGTTATTAGCACTGCTGCTACCCTCTCGTTTGGTGTGTTAATAAGGAAATACGTAGATTACTATGTCTCAAGTTTGTTTTTAAGTAATATATTAATAACTGTGTTCCACATAGTTGCATAAAATGAAAATCACTTAAAAGCAACCTGAGGCCAGGCGCAGTGGCTCACGCCTGTAATCCTAGCACTTTGGGAGGCCGACGTAGGCGGATTGCCTGAGCTCAGGAGTTCGAAACCAGCCTGGGCAACACAGTGAAACCCCGTCTCTACTAAAGAATACAAAAGAATTAGCCAGGCGTGGTGGTATGTGCCTGTAGTCCCAGCTACTCAGGAGGCTGAGTCAGGAGAATTGCTTGAACCCAGAAGGCAGAGGTTGCAGTGAGCCGAGATCATGCCACCGCACTCCAGCCTGGGCGACAGAACGAGACTCTTGTCTCCAAAAAAAACAAAACAAAAGCACCCTGAGGAGGAGTCCCTAGCCCTCACCATTCTGCCAAGGGGAGAGCGGGACCTCGCCAGGGACCAGGTGTCACTGCGTCCTCTGATGACCGAGCTGCTGGGACCGAGGCTGCTGGCCAGAGACAGTCTACACAGGCATTGCAGAAAAGTAGCTCAATTTTGCTGCCTAACAGAACTCTTTCCAGTCATGCAGTAACGACAAAACATGCCCCAAGTGGGTAAAATGAAAACCTGTTCTCAAAAGAGAATATAGAAAGAATTTTATTTAAATTGGATAAAAGCCTAGTTGTTGTTTTTATAAATTTTATTTAATTAAGTTGTCACAGTGGGAAATATTCAATTTGTTAGTTGAAAAAAATGTAAAATTGTGTTCTGGGATCTGTGATTATTTACTGTTACAGCAGTGGGGTTGGGGTTGGGTTGTGCATTGGGAACTTAGGGGTTTATAATAACTTCCAGTATCAGGACAGTGTAAATGACTTAAAATCTCTTGTGTGAAAAAGTTTGACTTTCTGATTCTCAGCCGTGTTGTGGCAAAATGGTCCCTGGAGTTTTTGACCCTGTGTTTAAAGAAATATGCTATAAAATAAAAAATAATTTGGAAGAAGAATTGGCTCAGACATTACTTTCATTGTGCCTTCTTGCATGTGGAACTATAAATACCAGCTGCTAGAAGTTCCCTTACGATGATGGACTGTGTGAAGGTACATTCTTAAAGTATTCATGTGTCAATAATAATAGCTGATATTTATTGAGCACTTAACGTGGCTGAGCATTTCATATGTGTTGCCTAATTTAGTCCTCTCTACAACCCCACGAGGCTGCCCTCAGCCCCGTTTAACAGATGAGGTAGCTGAGATGGAGAAGCTAAGCAATTTGTCCGAGTGCTAGTCCTGGCAGCTTCGCTTTGCAGAGCTTTCACGTGGGTGCATGCTGTTTGCACGCCTGTGCAATGATCCTTGGTGTGGGCCACAGCCTTGACCCTGCAGCACCTGCTGGCCTTCAGCACCTGTGGCACCACAGCCTTGACCCTTCAGCACCTTTGCATCCGCACCCTGCAGGTTAAGGAGAGCCTGTGGGCAGACATCCCACATTCTTAATTATTTTAGCCCCACAGCTCGAGTGGAAATGCTTCCTTCTGCAGGGCTGTCTGAGCTCCACATGTTTATCGCCGGCCACCCTCCTAGGACTGCATCCCTGCAGGAGCCTGCAGCCTGCTCTGCTTCGAGGCTCAGCCACAAAGCTGCCTCAAAACCTGATGGCCTGCCTCATCTGACTGAGACAGGTGAGCAGGAGGCAGAATGATACTGGTCACTTGGCTCTGGTCTTCCCAGGTGGGGTTTCAGCAGTACCAGGTAAAAAGATCTCAAAGTGCAAACCAAACACACAGCTGCTTTATGGAGACCTAGATTCCTGAGATGTATTTTTCTGGCATTGCTTTTTCTTGGTGTGAATTTACTTTTAAAGATAGAGATAATATACTGACTCTTAAGCATAGTTTTTGAAAAGCGAGATGCTTCCTGTAATCTCACCATCCTGAAAGAGAAACTTTTCATATTTGCAGCTCATCCTTGTAAGTATTTATAACTTTTGTATAATTTTCTATTCTTCTCACTCTGAATATTTTTTCCACTTTACTAGTTTTTCAAATCCTTTTTTTCCATGTTGTGTGATATCCCATGGAGTTGAAAGCGCCACACTTGCATAAGTAGTGTGCTCATTTGGACATCTAAATTTTTGCTCCTGTAGACAAGGTGCCTGTGTACGTCTCTGGGTATATTTCTCTTCTTCAGTGGAACCATTTTTTTTTTTTTAGTGTAAATTCCTTGGAGAGGCATTGCAGAGTTACATGGTATGGACATCTTTATGGCTCTTGATGCATCTTGCCATAACGCCCTTACAAAGGGTTATGCCAGTTTTCAGTAGTGTGGAAGTATCAATTTCACCCAAATAATACTGCTTTTGAAAGTCAGTGTAAATGGTCCCTCCATAAAGGCATTTTGGATTGATCTATTCTAGAGGACCGTGTCTCAGAGTGATGATAAAACAGTGTCACTGCTGTTTTGAAAACAAATTGACGAGAATTTGTACATACTGTGACTACCATGTCCTTTTAAAACAGGCTGACTTTAAAATGGCCCTTGAATTTCAGGGACTCTGCCAGTAGTGCTCACGGATTTAGCATTCCATCATGGTCATCCTGAGGCCGGCCCCACGGCCAGTTCTTGGCTTTTCCTTTCGAGCTGGTGGTCCCTTCTTTGAAGGGACTCCCTAATGGCAGATGGAACATTCTCAGCCATGGTATGACTTTTCCCTTTAAGGGTGACTTTAGTTTTTGTTAGACTGTTCTGTGGGGACTTGTTTGGGGCATGATGTCAGTGACAGGGCTGGATTATCGTATTTTTGGTCGCTGGCTAAAACAGAGACAGAGGTAGTGGGTAGTGGGTTTTTTTTTTAATTACTAATATGTTCCTTAAAGACATTTTCAGAAACAGTTGCAAATATTTTAGATTTTCACACCCGTAACAGGCAGATAGCCTCCCACAGATACAGCTTAGAATAGGGGGTGTGTGTGTGTGTGTGTGTGTGTGTGTGTCTGTGTGTGTGTGTGTAAGTCTGTGGAGGTATGTGTGTTAGCTGTCTTTCATTATATAAAAAATTAAGAGTCTAGGTAAGCCACACCCAAACTCCAGACCCACAGAGACAATAAATATGTGGGTGTAAGCTGCTGAATTTGCAGTGACTTGTTACATGGCAGCAGGTGACGCTTACACTGCACAGGTATGACCAGTTCCTGGTACTCTGGCCCAGACTTTGCTTCCTGCCAAGCAGGACTCCCTGACATTGCTACCATGGATAGTAGAAATCGCTTTATACTGTTCCCTTCAAGAGTGTTAAAGGAAACAAAAGAATGAGGGGAGGCGCAGGTGGGGCTGAGTGGGGAAGTGGGGCCTAGGAAGCACATTCTGGTAGCAGGAGAGCCCGGGAATGTGGGGACTTCCCACCTGGGAAAGTCTGTGTTCTGCATGGCTCTGGGAGGGCCTGGAAGGTGGGGAGAACCTGATGTATTTCTTTCTCCTTCTCTCACCTCTTTTAGGTTTTCTTTTTCTTCTTCTATTTAGGAATGGGGCCTTGCTCTGTTGCCCAGGCTGGAGTGCAGTGCCGCCATCATGGCTCACTGTGGCCTCGACCTCCTGAGCTCAAGCAATCCTCCCACCTCAGTCACCTGAGTAGCTGAGACTACAGGCATACACCAGCCCCAGTGAAGTTTTTAATTTTTGTTGTAGAGATGGAGTCTCACTGTGTTGCCTAGGCTGGTCTGAAACCCCTGGCCTTAAGGGATCCTCCCACCTCAGCCTCCCAAAATGTAGGGATTACAGACTTGAGCCACTGTGCCTGGCCTAGGTTTTCTTTTTCTCCACTGCTTTGTATCTGTTGACTTGTCACCTTTCAGGGTAGTCTGTGAGGGAGAATCCTGGCGGGGGCGGGGTCTGCAGGTGAACATCGAACCAGCCCTGGCTCTGTCCCCAGACCTTTCCTTTACTCGGCTATCCCTCCATCTTGTGGGCATGCAGGATTTTCGTTCCCTCCAAACTATTTCCATCTGTAGTGAGTAGTGTTAGTTTGACTTACAAATTAATATTTAAGCCATCAAATTAGTTTAGTAACTGGCTGGAGGCTTCTGGCTCCGTCTTCCTGCTGCCTGTGCAGTGTTGGTGAAACTCAGGAGTGAAGAGAAGATGTGAAGAGACACGCTTGGGAGGAACTCTTCTCACCTGAGGACACCTGCCCAGGTGTGTCACACCTACTCTTATGGTCAGCTACTCGTATGGTCAGCCAGGTTCAGGCCCACACACACCAGTGCTGGGTTCCTGGTGCCTGCTTATCTCTCTGGAGCCAGGGAGGCTCCGACCTGGAAGCCTGGACCCCCGTCTGTGTTTATCTCATAGATACCATTCCATATTCCCAGGTATATGCTTGTAATGTTATTCATGTCACACATACATGTCATGTCATTGAACCAAATGCAATTTGCTGTTAATGTAATACTGCTCGTGACGTGGCCTACTTGGATGTCTGATATGAGCTTAGAAGCCTAACAGGAAGTTCACCTGCAAAATTGGACCCTCCCTATTCCCTTGTTTCCACAATAACCTAGTTAGTATTTTGTGAAAGGTGTTCTTTATAAGTGTTACATTCTGGTGCACTGATGATACAGTAATTGATTTAGGAATATCTGTTACTCTTTGTGGTTACAGTAGAGGTTGGCAAAGTGGCCCATGGACCAAATCCAGTTCACCTGTTTGGGTGTGAATACAGTTTTATTAGAACCCAGCTGGGCTCATTCATTTCCACAGCATCTGTGGCTGCCCCATGTTGCAACAGCAGAATTGAGGAATTGTGACTATGTGGCCCACAAAGCCTGAAATATCAGGCCTTTTCCAGAAGAAGAACCGCAGCCCCTAGTGTGCAGCAAGGAACAGAAATCAGGAGAGCTGCATTGGAGTCCCTGCTTTGTCCCTTTATTGGCGCGAGGTTTGAGGTTTCCGTGCCCGCACCTGGGAAAGGAGGAGGAGGATACCCATTGTCTCAGGGGATTGCTAGCATGAAATTGTGGGACATACTGGGTGGTTCCCAGCACTTAATATGCACTTAATAAATACTAATTCCTTCCCTCTCTATTACTCACATCCCCGGCTCTCATCCTTAAGTAGTTGCTGTCTTTCTACATGTGAAAAATTTGAGACAAAAAAATGGACATCAGTACTTGTGTTTTCAGAAATGAAGACATCTCAAGCAGCACTGTCCAGCAGAAATAGAACATAAGCTGCCAGTGTGTGCTAGATGTGTAACTTCACCTCTCCCAGTAACCACATGAAAAAGGCTACAAATTTTAAGTCTTCTGTAGTCCAACATAACCAAAATATTTCAACATATACTCAAATAATTGCTAATGCCATTCATTTGCTTTCTTTGCCTGTCTGTAGAGTCCAGTGTGTGTTTGCCCTCACAGCAAGACATAGCTGGACTCACCACCCCTTGAGTGCTCAGTGGCCGCGTGTGGCCGGTGGCTGTGTTATCAAACAGGTCTCTGATTCTCTGACACCACCTAGGTGTCCCCTAATTTGGTTCAGTTCTGACACTAGCTTTTCAGGGTTCGTGCCGGCCTCACAAGTTTTGAGGGCTAAGTCCCACAAGACCATCCCCATTTCCGTCACCAGTTGCATGTCCTAAGCCACCTGTACTTCTGATCAACTGGCTGTAAATTGGGGTTCCCATGACCTCACTTCAGGTTCCATAATTTGCCAGGACAACTCACAGAACTCAGAAAGGCACTTTGCTTATTGTTAGTGGTTCCTATAAAGCTAGGTTGTCCAACCCGCGGTCCAGGATGGCTTTGAATACGGCCCAACACAAATACTTAAACTTTCTTAAAACATGATGAGTTTTTTTTGAAATTTTCTTTTTCTCATCAGCTGCAGTTAATGTTAGTGTATTTTATGTATGGCCCAAGATGATTCTTACAGTGTGTGTGGCCCAGGGAAGCCAAAAGATTGGACACCCCTGTTTTAAAGGATGCAACTTAGGAACAGCCCAAAGGAAGTGACACATGGGACGAGGGGTGGGAGTCCCCATGCCCCCTGGGGGAGACACCTCCTAGTGCACCATCCCAATGAGTTCATGACGTGGAGGCTCCCCACATCCCATTTTTCAAGAGTTTTTGCAGCCCAGTCTCCTGGCCCCCCACCCCTCCCAGAGGTTGGGGTGTAGGGGGTGCAGAAAGTTCCCACTCTCTAATCACACGTTTTGTCTTTCTGGCAATGACCAGCTCCCCTCCAGGCTATCTAGGGGCACCCCCCAACCCCACTGGTCACCTCATTAGCATAAGCTCAGGTGTGGTGCACTGGGGCTCTCTATGAATCACTAAGGGCACTCTTGTTGCTCAGTAAATACCAAGGGCTTTAGGAGCTCTATGCCAGAAACCAGGGACCAAGACCAGAGATCTTTTTTATTATCCACCTGGGCAGCCCTGTCAGCCTGCTGCCCCGCCCCACCCCTCCCCTCCCCATCCCCAGCTGGCTGCGCCCTATTTAAAGCCCTCCTCTCAGTAAAACAGCTGATGCGTGCCTATTTTACATTCTTTTCTACCCTGGGTCTGACGAATCATGACTCTCACTGTGCTGGTAACTCCCCCGTTCTTGCTTCTCAGGAAGCAAATGTAGGAAAAATATAGTAACATTTCTAAGGAAGCTTAGAGATACAAAATGTTTAAATGTAGCACAAAAATTGTGACTCTACTTATAATAACGTACAGAAGAATAACTCCACAGTAGAAGTTAGGCATCCATGGCTGCAGGTTTTCTAAGAAATGGGACGTGTGGGTGACCTACTGCACTGCCCACTGCCCTCTGGAGGGAACCATGGGGTAATTAGAGTCATTGGCCAAGAAGGGCCAGGGGTCCACGCAGCTTCCGCCCTGAGGAGTTGCACTGTGCAGTACAGCCAGGCGGCCACAGGAGCCACTGTGGCAGGGAATGCATGTGTCAGTGTGTCAGGCGTGGTCAGTAAAAGGAGTTGTAGAAGGTAAACCGGAGAAAAACTCAGATTTTAATCCCTCGGAGTAATCTTTGGCCTCTCCTCCTTCCGTGTGTGATGTTTCTTTGTTTTTAATTTTTTGACCTTCTGCTTTTTGATTCGGGATTTTGGAGCCAGAATGCCTTGGCCCCGCCATGAGGTCTGACTTGTGCTGGCTACTTTACCCTTGGTGCCTCCATTTCCTTCACTGGAAAATGGGTGATTGTGCAGAGTACAGTGAGTCAAACCATTGAGAGTGGTGCCTGGCACACAGCATTATTTAAGTATTTTTGCACTTAATTTCATGTAACATAAAGCACTAATAAGTAAAAAAAAAAAAAAAAAAGAAAAAGGTATATTGCAACAAGAAAAAGGATGGTGCTGTGGACATGGGGTGTGGTTGCTAAAGGAATTTCTAAGAATCAGACTTCAAAAAAATGTTAATATTCTGGACAGAATTCTTTTCTACAGAATTCTTTGAACTTTAAGAGCATGATTGAAATTTCTGTTACAGTGTGACTCCAGTTAGAGGTAAACTTAGTGGCTCTATCTAATGCTGAGATCTTTTTAAAGGATGATGTTTGCATCTGGCTTTGATCTTTTGAGAGGTAGATTTATGTGTCCTGATTAAAAAGTACAGTGCTTTTCTTACAACTAAGAAGGCCTGAAACTTACTGTAAGGTTGTGTGTGTGTATGCGAATGTGTGTTTACATAACTGATCATATTTAAAATCATTTTCTTAGAAGTAGAAGGCTATAGAATATCTGTCATTTTTAGAGTGTGTAGATATGCTCTAGAAACAGACCACTGATCTGTAAAATGATCAGGTCAGTGATTCGGATTTGATTCTTGTGTGAATCACAGAGTGCTATATTGCCTAGGATATGGATATCGATATTTAGTAATCTGAATTATTTTTCATTATTTTAAACTTAAAGATCTTTAACAGGTCAAGAAAAATAATACTTCTGAAAATGTATTTCTACCCCTTTAAAGTATTTCAGATCCAGGAAGTCATTTTGGGTTAAACAGTTTGGCATTTCAGTTTGCTTATCATTTCAATCTTCAGTGTTTGGCAATTCTGATGTTAATATCATGATTTCTTTTTGTTTGTTTGTTTGTTTTTGCTTTTGTTTTTGTTTTGAGACGGAGTCTCGCTCTGTCGCCCAGGCTGGAGTGCAGTGGTGCGATCTCAGCTCACTGCAAGCTCTGCCTCCCGGGTTCACGCCATTCTCCTGCCTCAGCCTCCCGAGTAGCTGGGACTACAGGCGCCCGCCACCATGCCCAGCTACTTTTTTGTATTTTTAGTAGAGACGGGGTTTCACTCTGTTAGCCAGGATGCTCTCGATCTCCTGACCTCGTGATCCGCCTGCCTTGGCCTCCCAAAGTGCTGGGATTACAGGCGTGAGCCACCGCGCCCCGCCCAATATCACTATTTCTATCCCCTTTTATATTTTCCATTCTGACTTTCTAGTAAAAAAACATGAGGGCTGGCGGGGTGGCTCACGTGTGTAATCCCAGCACTTTGGGAGGCTGAGGCAGGTGGATCACCTGAGGTCAGGAGTTCAAGACCAGCCTGACCAACATAGTGAATCCCCGTTTCTATTAAAAATATAAAAATTAGCTGGGTGTGGTGAGGGCGCCTGTAATCCCAGCTACTTGGGAGGCTGAGTCAGGAGAATCACTTGACCCGAGAGGTGAATGTTGCAGTAAGCCGAGATTGGGCCACTGTACTCCAGCCTGGGCGACAAGAGTGGAACTCCCTCTCAAAAACAGAAAGACCTAATTTAGACAAATATTTCAAGAAGTTTCCCATTGTTTCTAATCATGTCACTTAGGTAGAAAGTAATGTTCTTTTCTTATCAATAGAAGGCAGCTTTTTTAAAGCTGATGTTTCTCAAATAGAGGCTACTGAGATTTGCTTTGAGTTCATAAAGCTTTCTAGAAAAAGCATGTACCTGGGTTGACCGCTACTGGCAGCTTTTTCTAACCATTGTTTTCTTCTGTCTGAAGTAAAAACCCTCTGGTGTGAAAGCTGCCATTCCTTTGTGAGGCCTGCCCATCACTCAGATCTATATTTTTCTCCGCAGCTGTTCCCAGAAGCTTCCTCAGACTGACTTCCTCCCTCCCAGGGCTGTTCCAGGGCCTCATTTTCCACTCCCTCCCAGACACCCTTCAAAATTGGATATTGTCGTCAAAGTGTCCAGGAACTCTTCAGCTCTGAGTCTTTGAGAACTCAGCTTGTAAGCTGCGTCCTGCCTGTGGAACTGCCGATCCTGGCTCAGCCGAGGGCAGTGTCTGAAGGATGGCGGAGGGGGTAGCGTTTGCAGAGGCTGAGAATGCTGTGTTAGCAGTTTCCACCGGTGTCTTCCCAACAGCCTCTCGGAGCCTCCTGGGAACTCTTGATCTCTTTGGCCCTGAGTTTGAGAACCATAGATTTATTTAGACTGTTGATTTTTAACTTTCTCAAGGCTCAGCTCATTATTTGTTTATTCCCAAAGGAGAGCCTTCTGCCCCATGGAATAAACAGCACTAAGCATCCTTCCCATTTGCCTGTGTTTGGTCAGGATAAGAACCTAGAAAAAGGAAAATGTTCCTTTCTTTGTTCCCGGGGAATGTGGGCATAGTCCTGGGTTTCACTTTAGCCCACCTGATGTCCTGCCTTTTAGATAGCTGATCTAGCCTCACAGATGTGCTTCTCCAGAAGTGGCCGGATCTCTGGTCCTCCTCCCTCCGCAGCACTGGGGTCAGCCGCATGTTACTGATGCTGGGTTAAACATTGAGCCAGTACTTGCCTGTCACTGTTGGCTCAGCATGCAGTCATTATTGCAGAGGACATGGGAATAAGTCAATGACAAAAACACTGTGCTTCTGACTTCAGGGAGGCTCAGAGGCATTAGTGACCTCCTACTAGAGTTTTTCCCCGAAACTCTTCTTTCTGGAATTGACTTCTTCTCCCCTCCCATTTTCACAGTGAGTGCAGCTTCCTTTCATCTGGGAACCAGAGTCCTCCCTGTCCTTGCCCTGCATCTAGGTCTCCTGGTCCTTCCTTCACAGTGTGTTCCTGGCGACCTCCCACATCATCCCACGTGTCCACATTTTTTTTTTTTTTTTGAGATGGTCTCCCTTTGTTGCCCAGGCTGGAGTGCAGTGGTGTGATCATGGCTCACTGATGCCTTGAACTCCTGGATTCAAGCAATCCTCCTGCCTCTGCCTCCTTAGTAGCTGGGACTACAGGTGTGTAGCACCCCACTCAGCAAATTTTTTTTTTTTAATTTTTCTGTAGAGACAGGCCCTCACTGTGTTATCCAGGCTGGTCTGTAACTCCTGGCCTCAATCCATCCACCTGCCTCAGCCTCCCAAAGTGTTGGAATTACAGGCATGAGCCACCTACCATCTGGCCGTCACTCACCTTTTTGCCAGTGAGTGCCAAGGATATTTTTCTTTAAGAAACCAACATCAGCAATTGCAGTTGTTTCTCGAATCCTCTAACACTGGCTTAGTCCCCCTTGTCCCTCTCCTTTCCAGCCACCCGCTTGAGGCAGACCTGTCTTCTCGCCGTCTGGTACACGTGCCGGCCTCCATCAGTCCATGCACCTTTGCTCATGCTGGTTTTTCATCCCTGGAATGCCTCCTTGTTTCCCACATGCTCAGCTCAGGGCCATCACCACTGCACCTGGAACCTGCTGGGCAGGTAACTTCAGTGTCATAGAAAGACCCCATGGTGTCTGGCATCTGTGCTTCATACTTCATGTCTTTCCTTCCCCTTCCCCAGTCCTCTGTCAGCACCCAATACCATAGTATCCCTTTGACACTATGGTTCATTTCTTATATGCTAGAGCATCCTGGTTTATGGATATTTTTTCTTTGGAAGACTTGAAGCAGCAGTCACCCACTCAACAACTATTTGAGCACCTACTCTGAGCCAGGTGCTATTTCAGGCCCTGGTGATCCTGCGGTGGAAAAGGAGCACCCAAGTGCTTGCTCCCCTGAGCTTGTGTCTGGCAGGCTGCCTGGAGAATCGGTAGTGGTGTGGACTGTTGTCTTTTGTTCTTATGCAGTGTTTTGGGTAGTCCAGCAGTCTTTTCTTTAACTGTTTTTATTTGCCTTAAACAAGACAAAACCCTCTGTTTATAAGAAAGATGTCAGAGGTACCAAAATGAAGTGTGCATCTGGAAGTCCTCAGGTGGAAGATGTGGATTTTTCCAGCTATCTTTTTTTTTTTTTTTGAGACGGAGTCTCGCCCTGTTGCCCAGGCTGGAGTGCAGTGGCACAATCTTGGCTCACTGCAACCTCTGTCTCCCAGGTTCAAGCAATTCTCATGCCTCAGCTTCCAGAGTAGCTGAGACTACAGGCACGTGCCACCACACCCAGCTAATTTTTGTATTTTTAGTAGAGACAGGTTTTCACCATGTTGGCCAGGCTGGTCTCGAACTCCTGACCTCAAGTTATCCCCCCGCCTCAGTCCTCTAAAGTGCTGGGATTACAGGTGTGAGCCACTGTGCCCAGCCTCCAGCTATCTTAGTAACAGATGTTTTAGGTACCTGAGTCCTCCTCACAGTAGCTGAGCCCTTACAGCAAGCCTTAACTTGGCTGTGTGATGATGGTCTGACTGGTCTGACAGATGCTCAGTATTTTCTGTGTTGGCAAAAATAAAATTGATGTATTGGTCAGAATCTGGTGGCCCTCCCTGTGAATGGACCCCTTGGGCCCTGGTGTGTTGAGCCCCTGGAACAATGTATTTGGGTCCCAGAGTCAGATTTGATCGTCTCAATTTGGGCAGGTGTCCACTGCAGGTCTGGTCATGTGGCTGGGGAAGGCACACACACAACGAACTCTAGACCTGGCTGTTGGGGCCTGTCCACTCTGTGGTGCGGTAGGGAGAGGAGGTGTCAAGTTGTCTGGGGCCTGGATGACGAAATCTGTGTTCCACAAGTACACTCAATTTTTAACTCACGTTTATTTTGTAACTTTTGTGAAGCATTCATTGGACACTGAGTACTGGGTATCATCTATAAAGCCACTTTTCTTTTTGAGTTATGTGTTGAAAGAAATGTGGCTTAATGAGCCGTGTAGATGTACAGCTGAAAAAACGCTTTCTAAAATCATTACCAGTCCAGGCACCGGTGGCTTATGCCTGTAATCCCAGTGCAGGAGGATCAGTTGAGGCCAGGAGCCTGAGGCCAGCCTGGGCTGTATAGCAAGGCCCTGTCTCTACAATGATAATAATAATATAATAATAATAATAATTACCAGATGGATTCATGTAGAAATTGAGTCACACCATGGTGTCTGAATACCTTGTCATCTGATGTTAGCTAAACTTTAGTTTTTAAAAAATAGTAATAAGTGGTATTTGTTGAGGGGTGGTTTTTACGTGTTAGTCATGTTGTAAGTAATTTGCACTGTGTGTGGCATGTGGGTGCCTAATCAATGAGAATTTGCCTGTTTCTTTGTGGATTTTTAATTTTTCATGATGGGAAATTTCAAAATTTAAGAATCCTGAATCCTGGTGTGCCTGTCACTGGACATCAGTAGTTAACTCACCTCATTCCCTTCCCTGATCTCTGGGCTCCCTATTAGATTATTCAGATTCCAGGTAGATAGATAATTATTTTTAACCGAAATTTAGTTTTTAAAATTTAACTTCAGATTGATCTTGTTTGAACTTAATCATTTTTCCTCTGACTTGCTTATTTTTTTCAGTTGTCATTGTAGCACATTGATGTGTTCTTTCTTATCTCCTTTTGGGTTTTAAACATTATTTATGAATTTATGCCTTAACTTAAATTGTCTACAGCTTCTGCTGTAGACAAAGGAGCTGTTTGTTTCATGCAACCTTTCAAGTGAAGAATAATCAGCTAATTACAACTGTTTGAAAATTAGCTTCCTTTTTGTTTGTTTGTTTTTCCTTCCTACCCTGGGAGCCTGGCTGGCATCACTGGGAGCACCACACCTCCCGGTGTGGTGAGCTTGGGAGCTACCTTGATTCACTTGGATTCTTTTAATGTGTATTTGTGTTTTTGTGCACTAATCAGGCTCATTATTTTCTCATCTGTAAATGAGAAACTTGGAATAGCTGGTCATCAAAAAGTTCCTTTTTGATTTTGTGGTTACCAAAACCAAAACAAAGCACCACCACCAACAAAAAAAACAGTGCGAGGGATAATTGTTGACCGTCAGTTGCTTAGGGAGTTAATGACTTCCACCTGGGAAATAATTTGAAAAAATGTCCCCCTTGTATTTTGGTTTGGCCCAATTTGGTGTGGCCTGGAGCATGTCCCTTACTGCAGGCCACCTCTGGGGGTGTGGGTGCGGAGCAGGCCATGCCTGGCTGGGGACCTCCCCTAGGAATCTCAGTGCTCTGCCCTGCCATTCGCTCCCACTTCCTGTACGTTGCTACAGTGTCCTGGGTGGGGACACCCCAACTTCCGTCCCAGCGACAGAAACCGTACATCCTGGGTTTTCTGTAACACTCAGTTTCTTACCTTTTGCCCTTTATTTCTATAAGTCCTCCAAATATCTTAACATTTCAACATCTTCTGGAAGCAGCCAAAGCACGTTTGGGGGAGGGAGTTCAGAACCCCTGTCACCATGCATATACCAGGTGGGCCCATTTGACTGGGACAGGGTGGCCGCCCTCCAGGGTGTACAGTCACCCAGCTGTGGTTGGGGGCTGCTTCCTGTGCCATGCCATCTGCTAGCCTACCCACCCGTGGAGGGCTCCTGCATGCTGCCAGCCTTGGGTTGTCCCCTGGCCTGGCAGGGGACCTCTATGACATTTTGAGCATGATCAGAAAAAGGAACTTGTGGATTTTCTTTTAGGGTTAGCTGGTGAGCAGATGATGCCAGCTAGCAAGCCACCTTCCTCCTCCAGCCAGCCTCCCTCGTTTTAGCTCAGCCATCCCAGCAGGGCTGGACTTAGTCCAGGCTCCGGGCTCCCAGCTCCTGGCTGCAGGGATCTTTAGCAGTCGGACCACACGTGACTATTCGAGGGTACCATAGCCCTCTGGTTTCTTTCTGGTAGTCAGTACTGCTGACCTCACTTTTCAGATAATCTCTGCTCTCCTCTGGCCTTGGGGTTCTTCCTGACCCCTTGGAGCCTCTCTCAGTAAATGGAAACCTCCTAGGGGTTTCATATAGGCAGAATCTAGTATGGGGAGTGGCTTCACGAGAGTGTGAAGGGCTGGACAGCCAAAGGCATCTTCCCCAGAGATCAGAGACTAAGAAAGCTGCCGCTGTCCCTAGGTCTGAAGGGCAAAATGAGGCCTTGAGAGTTCCCAGAGCCTGAGAGCAGGTGCTCTCCTCACTGCTGCTGCCGCCGAGCAGGAATTCTGAGCCCACGGCCCTGCGGCTGTCACTGGGCACTCCACCGATGGCAGCTGGAACCTTCTACTCTCGTCACTGCTGCTTTAGGAACCTGCTGTCCCCATAGCCACGAGCCGGGGTGTTGCGGGGGGGCAACGCTTTGCCCTTCCTCCTGCCTTTTAATGTTGCACCTGGTTGTGTCTTTGACAGAACTTAACCAGAATCCAGCTGGCAAGGGTAGCTTTCAGGTACAGAGGAGGGCTGGGGCAGTCCTCACACCAGGAGGCCACATCTTGCACACAGACTCCTGAGAGTGTGGGTGGAATGAAATGACCCAGTGCTCACCACCTGGCACGGCGTGGGTGGAGAGTGGTAGGTGCTGTGCATTTTCTGTATGGATCAATGGAAATGGGATATTGATAATCATGCGGATTATACCCACACACCAAAATGGAAAAACAAAACAAATGAAAAGTTTAACATGACCTGCTTTGGCCAGTGGAAATGACTATAAATGACTTCAGTTGCAGCTGTTCTCCGGGTAACAGTCTGTGGACACCAATGCGCACAATTCCTATCAAGGTCCTGTGTGTAGAGCCACTGTGGACACTGTGGTTCTCTGGTGCATATGTTGTGGGTGGAGAAGCAGACCACTTGAAGCCCTGGTAGGAACTGTTTGCTCCTGTCAAGCAGGAAACAAACACGTGCATCTTGAAAATGCCGAGCTCCCTTTGCAGTTCTGTGCTCGTATTGAAGAGAGGATCGGTACTGGGGTGACAGCTCACAGGATTCCAGCAGCAGCACCTTGGTTTCGCCTAGCCGTTCAGCCTTTGCCTGTCTTCTTGTCATGGAAAGTTCTTTTGTTTGAGACCTGGACTTTGTGAGTCTCTCCTAGCTCCCTTATTTGCACCTGCCTTTTCTCCTCACCTTCTTCAGCTGTGCTTGGAGGAGCTGCCAAAGTGGCAGTAAAAGAAACCCCATTGAGCTCTGTGAAGTGAGAGAAATTTGTCCTAAGGACAAGATGTGTTGTGAAGGAGATGTTGGCAGGCCTCTGGGACTGGGTCCCGGGCTTAGAGGGGGACTGGGGACCTAGAAAGCCCCCTGCCTCTCAGCTCTATCCCTCTGCACATTACAGACTGGCCGTCCCTATCCCAGCACATGTGGTAGTGACCTTTGCCAACATCCTGGAGGCATGTGTCTCCAGCAGAGGCTGGAGCCTTCAGGATCTGTTCTGTGTTCTAGCCTTGAGGAAAGAGCTGCTTTGGCCCAGTTTGGTCAGCTGCCCACTCTGACCACATCTGCTGACCATCCTCTGTGGCGTGGGAAGTGGTGGTGTGTAAGAACACACCTGCCCTTAACACTGTGTGCATGGGGACCAGGGAAGGGCGGTGATGGCAGAGGGAAGAAGCCCTTGGTTCTGGGCAGCCTCTCCATGGGGATTTGCCGGCAGAGTTAACTCTCACAGAGTAATGCAGGATGCTGGTGGCTGCGTGAACCAAAGGTGCCCCTATTAACTGGAGTTTCTGCACATTCCTCCTTAGGCTGGGAAATCATGCCCTTGTTACTGCACTGGTTATGTGTATCAATTGAGATAATGGTTATTTTTTTCTTCTTTCATTTCTTATTATTTTTGTAGAGACAGGATCTCACTCTCTTGCCCAGGCTGGAGTGCAGTGGTGTGATCATAGCTCGCTGCAGCCTCAAACTTCTGGGTTCCAGTGATCCTCCTGCCTCAGCTTCCCAAGTAGCTAGGACTATAGGCACACACCACTATACCAGGCTAATTGAGATAATGGTTATTTTTTTTTTCAAGAGCTTTAAGAATATGCTTTAAGAATATCTTTTTTAAACTTGGAAATTCAATATTTAAATGTTAAAACAAATAATTGAGAATAATTTTCATTAATAATCCATCATAAGGCTGGGCACAGTGGCTCACACCTGTAGTCCCAGCACTTTGGGAGGCTGAGGCAGGTGGATCACTTGAGGTCATGAGTTTTTGGCCAGCCTGGCCAACATGGTGAAACCCTGTCTCTACTAAAAATACAAAAATTAACTGGGCATGGTGGCACATGCCTGTAGTCCTAGCTACTCTGGAGGCTGAGGCATGAGAATCGCTAGAAACTGGGAGACAGAGGTTGCAGTGAGCCGAGATTGTGCCACTGCACTCCAGCCTGGGCAACAGGGCGAGACTCCGTCTCAAAAAAAAAAAAAAAAAAGAATCCGTCATAAAATGTGTTTATTAAAATCACTCCTGAAGAAAACAGAAAACACCTAGACTTGAGGCTTTTAATCTTTTTTAATTAACTAAAGGGGATACTTTAAGTTGATTGCCATGTGACTGTTATATATAGAGCTTCAGTCTGTCTGAATATGGCTGCATCTCTGCCACCTACCAAGTGGTGGGTGGCTGCGTCCAGCTGAACTTGGCTTCCTGGAGCTGGGTGCAGCCTCCTGGCTGCAGACCTGAAAAGGACTGCCCATTCTTTGTGCTTTACACTTGGCCTTGTGGGCAGATGGAAAGGAGAGCTTGCTCTCCGCCCACGGGAGACGTATGCAGGTGGAGGAGAGGAGGAAAGAGCTTTGATTTTTTTTTTTCCCACTAATCAGCTTTTGAATTGAGCCTCTTGGTCAGACCATGATTTAAAACGCACACTCACATACATATACATAGTAATTCCCTAGCAGAAATGTAGCTTTGTAGAGTCCTCACGTTCTGTATGATGGATTAATTCCCTTAGTTATAGGAAGGAGAAACTGATATGGGGAAAACAGCCTGAATGCCATAGCCTACGAGACCGCCTTCACCCTCTCATTCAGGATAGCGTGTACATATCCACATACTTCACAGCTCAGCGAATTCTCAAGACCTCCTGTGTGTGCTTCCTTGGGTTATTTAATTCAATTCTACTCTTTTCATAAACTACTCTAATTTCCGTTTTTCCAGTTTTGCCTTTACCTTATTCAATGGCATTATTTTAACTGAGCATATTTTGGACGTACTAGAAATGAAGCATATTTCCTTTGTTTTAAAATTTCTGGTTGCAAGATTAATCAAGAATAATAAATATTTATTGTAGAATATTTGGAAGGTTTTTAAAGTGAAATTTCTATTAATAAAACCATTGCTTCTCAGCATCTAGATTAAGTTGGGACCTGATAGTCATAAATATTTAGATGTCTGTCACATTTATTTCCATAATATGGGAGAGAGATATATACACACACACACACACACACACACACACACACACACACATTCATCTAAAGGACACACACACATACTCTCTCCCTTTCTGGCTCTCTCATTTTCGTTTGGTATCTGGGTTAAAATTCTAATGTTCATCCTCAAATCCTGCTTCTCGCTCATGTCCTGTGTCACATCCATATAGATGTTGAATAAAGTGATAACCACATTTTTGTCATCTATACCTGGGCACTATTGAGAGTGGGAGGGGTGCTGTCTGTAATTATGCTGAAACATCAGTCACCAGTCAGAGCCCCTGGTCACTGATGTGGTCTGAATGTGTCCCTCATATGTTGAGATCCTACCCCCCAAGGTGATGGTATTTGGAGGTGGGGCCTTTGGGAGGTGATTAGGTCGTAAGAGGGGAGCGCTTGCAAATGGGATTAATTTCCTTACGGAAGACACCCCAGAGGGCCCCCTCACCCCTTCAGCATGTGAGGACACAGCAAGAAGCCGCCGTGTAGGAACCAGGAAGGAGGCCCTTACCAGACACTGAATTTCCTGGTACTTTGATCTTGGACTTCCAGCTTCCACAACTGTGGGAAATAACTTCCTTTGTTTATAAGCCACCATTCTGTGGTATTTTGTTACAGCCAGCCAAATGGACTACCACAGTCACCCAGCCTTGACTAAGTGACCCTCTCTTTTCTCATTGCCCGAATCTAGATTTTGTCTCTCACCTGGTCGTGGTCTTCCTGTCTTCTTGCTTTCAGATTTTTCTCCCTCCCACCCACCTATTCCGGGGTTGGCTTTCAAAGATACAGATCTAATTGTTTTACTTCTCTTCTTATAAACTATTAGCTTCCCATTTCCTAGAGGTGCCTTTGTGTTGTCAAAGCACCTTTAAAATCTGATCTTTGCTCCACCTTCTACCATTCAGCCCTTGTGAATTTTATGAACATGATTACTCTAGGTATTCCCAAGGGAGCCGTGCACTTTTTACACCTCTGTGCCTTTGCAGGTCCTGTTGCTGACACAGGGGCAGCCTTCTCCCATCTCCGCTTCCACCTCCACCACTCATCCCTTCCCACACTGCAAGACTTGACTAAATGCAATCTCCCTTTTGAAGCCTTCAGGATTCCCCCAGCCAGAACTAGTGACCCTCCTTGGCCTTCTAGTCCATGTACGTCTGTTTCGTAATATTTCTGCACTCATTCCTGGAAGGCAGTACAGCCTAGCAGTTAAGATCTGGTTTGCTGGCATGAATCATGACCTGCCATTGCCATAGTGTGACTTTGGGCTGGCAGAGGTCTTTGTGCATCAGTTTTATTATCTGAAAAATGGAGAAAATAGCAGTCTTGTAAGGTAGTTGTTAGGTTTATAATAAAGAGCAATGCATGAAAAGTACAGAGCCTGTGGCTTGGCAAGTGATAATCCTGCAATTTATGTTGTCTGTGACAGAGCTGTCGCCTCTCCGCAGTACGAAAATTTGTAGACATGTCTGTTTCTCCAGTTGGAATGAGTCTGTGATAAGGACTCTGGCCACGTAGTGATGCTCATTAGGCATTTGCTGAATGAACTGGTATACGTGCATATGTATTCTTCCCTCTTTATTTCTTGCCGTAAATGCTTTTAACTGAAATAGGTACATACAGCTGTCAGTTTCTTGACTATGAAGTTGAGAATGTCCAAGTGAGTCCAAATTACCTGAAAACCTGCGGCCCATCAGGTCCCTCAAGCTGAGGGAGGAGCTCCTAGACAAAGACCTGGTTTCCCAGGTTTGAGGTCCATTCCTTCCTTACTCTGTTCTTACTATGACTGCGGGAAGTTGCTTTTGGGCTTCCGCGAGAGTGGGAGCCTATCACCGATCATCTCTTTCCCCTCTCTTTATAGGAGTAAGGGGACAACCCTCCTGGTCTGGCTGTAGGCAGGCGGGGTGGCCGGGCCCAGGGACTCAGGGTGGCCCTTCCTTCTGGTGTAGATGGATGGATTATCAGGCACATCCTGCTGATGGCTTCCACCAGCCCATGGGGATTAGTGATCTGCCTTCTCTCTCTGCCACCAAAAATCTCCCTAAAACTAGTTCCACTCTCTCCACAGCAGGTGTCAGAGTTGGGTTGATGGCCATTTGAGGACTTGAGAAGAAACAGTCTATATAATGAACGCTCTTTTCTTAAGTATTAAAGTTACTTTAAATTCTACACAAAATCTCACTTGAGGAATGCTGGCTATGTGAAGTGTCTTATGTTTTCATCCTCTCACTCTTGAACTCCATGCATAGGTAGTATGTGGTTTTAGTACTTTTTATTTTGTTAGAGCAGTTTTGTTTTCATGGCTAATTTAGCTCTCCTCATGCAACGTCAAATGATAGAACCTGATCGTTTCTGAGAGTGGGGGATCCGGCCCGTTGAAATCATTTGGCAAAATGGGCTGCAGCTGCCTGTAGAGGCGAAGTGGATGTCGGGGAGAAGAGGAGGTTGCAAAGGCTGTTAGGCTTGTGCTCAGCTCTGGCAGCCACAGCACCTGCCTCTCAGAGCTGGCTTCCAGTGACTAGTACTCACTTACTGTCCCCAACGCTCCCAACTGGAGAGGCGTAGGGGGCAGTTACTCCAGACACTTGTGCTCACCGGCTTGGCGAAGAGGGTGGCAGCCTCACCTTTATTTCCGGTGTCATAACAAGCCCCATTTGCAGCTGAGTTGGTCGACTATCATTTGCAACAGGTAAGCCTTAAGGCCAGAGCCTTTTTGGGTACCTGGGATATAACCGTGGAACAAGATAGATGGGGAAGCTGCCTTAGAATAAGAGTTGCAGAAGGCCAGAGCCCTGGGAGGTGGTTTAACTTTCTCTGCAGCACTGCTTTGCTTTCTGCCGCAGCAGCTGAGGAAGCCAATTTAACCTTGAATTTTCTTTAAGATGATATGTAATCTTTTGAAGATGGAAAGTAATGGCAGTGGAATGTTCTGCGTGCTGTTTGTAGCCTCGCTAGAGCTTGGGTGGGCCCCCATCGCCCTCCTCCTTTGGGGAGCCTCTAAGAGTCACTAGAGGAGACTTCCCTGAGCTTCCTTCCTCGGAGTGAGGCATTAAATTGTGCCCGTGTTCTGGGGTAGCACCGTGAAGGCCCGCGTGGAACATGGTTTTTATTTAGAGTAAAAACAGCTCGATGCAGCGTTGCCTGTCTGAGCCAGACTTAGCTCTTCATCTTCACCTGCTTGTGGGAAGCTTCGTACACCACCAAGGCACAGGTTAATGTGCAGTATTTGCCACCGTGGGTGCAGTTACTAGGAAGGCAGCCGTTCGCGGAGAATAATGGTGTGTTTTTTCCACCTTGTTCCTCTGAGCATCATGAAATACCTTAGCACGAAGAAACCCTGTAAATATTCTGGGTAATAGCCCTACATAAATGTATTCAGATTATGTTTTTTTTTCGCTAATAGGTGAAAAATGATGACCTCCACTCTTTCCAAGAGGGGTGGCCTGTTCCTGAGCGACTTCAGTGTGCTTCCCCACAGAGAGGGTTTTGCAGCTGGAAACAAGGGCATTTCTTCCCAGAAAGTGGGAGTTGTTTCGCTTCTCCCTTTATAGTACTGCCTTGTAGCAATCTGAAATGTGGATATATTTGGAATTTGCACGAGAAAATGAAACACCCTTTCTCTGCAGAAGACAGAGTGCCATTGCCTTTGCAGGTCACTGAGTAAGCAGCAGGACCTGCTTCAGCTGGACGGCAGGTCCCTTCTGTGGCACCTGGTTGGCCTCAACACCATGCGTGGCATTGGCAGTGATGAAATTCATTTTCATTCAGGAAAGCGTCACTGGGAGCTTTTCTTTTTTGAGAGAGGCTCTCCCTCTGTCACCCAGGCTGGCGTGCAGTGGCGTCATCTCTGTTCACTGCAGCCTCTACCTCTTGGGCTCAAGTAATCCGCCCGCCTCAGCCTCCCAAAATGCTGGGACTACAGGCATGAGACACCACGCCCGGCTGTTATTTCTAATAGGAAGTTGCCATCCCTTTTCTCACCCCAGTGGCATTTCTGGGGAGCAGTTTTCCCACCTGCTGATCGGACTCCTTGTGGTGGTCATATGGGCTTGGGGTGAATCGGGAGGGGAGAGTTTAATTTGCTTACATGTCAAGCTGTTTAAAACAGCCTTTCAGGCTAGTAAGTATTGATGCTGGTTATATTGAGGTGAAGGGGCATGTTAAATTCAAGATACATTTGTGTTTCCACTATGTGGAGCCTCGCTTGTGGAGGGTACAATGTAGAGATGTATTCAGGTCTTTACAATGTAGGTGAGCATAAATGCATTTTTATCATTTCTATAATAATCACATTTAAATTGAGCATGTCTGTGGTTAGGCAGGCAGTTACAAATGCTTGCCATAAAAGATTCTCATTTAGTCTAGTGAAAACTATAACACCATCAAACTTGCCCCTGGAGGAGCAGTGTGTCTGTTGAGGTCCATCCGTTCCTCAGCAGCCACTGTTCCAGGCCCGTGTTTCCCACACTTCCCATTTCAACATTCTTAGAATATGCACAAAGAGTGTGTCCTCAGATACTGACAGAATAGGATACACGAGTAAAGTTAGGAACACGTGCATGCACTTAGGCAGCCTCCCAGTTTGAAATGCTTTCTGAAGCAGGTAGTTGTTTTTTATGTGTTTTTTTGTGTGTTTTTTCGTTTTTGTTTTGTTTTTGTTTTTGTTTGTTTTGAGACGGAGTCTCGCTCTGTCGCCCAGGCTGGAGTGCAGTGGCGCGATCTCAGCTCACTGCAAGCTCCACCTCCTGGGTTCACGCCATTCTCCTGCCTCAGCCTCCTGAGCACATGGGACTACAGGCGCCGGCCACCACACCTGGCTAATTTTTTGTATTTTTAGTAGAGACAGGATTTCACTGTGTTAGCCAGGATGGTCTCCATCTCCTGACCTCATGATCCGCCCATCTCGGCCTCCCAAAGTGTTGGGATTACAGGCGTGAGCGGCAGTTGGTTCTTTACGGTGTCACTGGGAGCCGAGGTGGCCATGCTGTGTGTGTCCAAGTGTAAAAAGAACCAGAGGACGGTTCCCCCGTCCTGGCCAAGGAGGCTAGTGGGAAGCTTCCTGAGATGTCTGTGGACACAGGAAAAAATTGTTGTGTTGTCCTACAGGGAGACATGTGAGTGTAATTCCTGCTATTCAGAAAGATAGAGTCCAAAGTGACACGACCAAAAGACCGCCAATACAAAATCTAATGCAGCCTGCCCAGTCCTCCTTGTAACCTGGTCCCACTGACAGGTTTCCCGCTGTGAACAGTAAAGGGAAAGGCCCAATCTCCAATAGCACCAATAGAGTGGAAGCCACAGGATTGGCTCTGAGCCACCTCAACATCCGCTCAGGTGTTTGCAGGTATGCCCAGCCAGGGAGTCTGGGGCAGCCCTGCCGAGGTTAAGTTTGCCTTTGTGCTTTATAAGCCGAAGCTTGGGAGAACCTGATCACACCCAAAATGTCATTCTGAGGGTCAGCAGGAGGTTGGGCGCAGGACTCCTAGTAAGTGCTGAGTCTATTTATTTAGCTGTTCTCATTTGATGTGCTGAAGAAAATAAATACGATATCTAGTAGCAGTGCAATACTTTTGGTCTAGATGATGGTCCAGGGAGGCCCAAATTATTTAACTTGGGCGACTGGTTCCCTGGACTTAATACCTTTTGCCTGTTTTTTGTGTTTTCGTAAACGTGTGTGTGTCCACTCTTTGCCCATCTGTCAATTTTCTCATTTACCTTCTGCCTTATTTGCCTTATTCTCACGTCCCTTCCACTGCACATCTCTCTATCAGTTAATTAATCCATTCATCCAGCCAGCCTTTTATTGATCATCTGTTGTGTCTAGGGCAGCATGATTAGCGTTGTGGACTGAACAATAAATTACAAACAATCCCAGCACCAGGGATGAAAAAATTATGTGTACAAATGACTCTGATAACAAATGATTATTTTGAATCTATGTAATAACCGTAGTGATCATTAGCTGAGCATGTGCTATGTGCCAGGCCTGGCTCTGAGCACGGACTTGTTCCATTAGCCCTGGGAACGGCCAGTGGGCAGGCTGGGGACAGGATGGGAGTTCGGGAAGGCTGGGAGTGTTGTCTTGGGCCTGTCTGGAAAGGTCTCTGCCTTTGGAGACCTGGCTGCCAGCCTTGGAGGTGGCCCTGGCCGCTGCTGGGATCTTGTGTCTGCTCCTCTCTAAGCATGAGATGCTGAGTCGGTTCCTTTAGCTCAGACTCATCCACACCTTTAGGAAAAGGAGGTAATGCCGGCCTCGCGCGGTTATGAGAGTGAAATTAAACTCCACATAGCTGGCTCAGGGTGAGGCCTGATAAGCACTGTGTCCCTGTGGTGGCTGTGGCCTGGCCTGACTCTCCTGGGTCCCCGGGCAGGGCTTCCTGTCTCCATCGCTGTCTCTTATTTCTCTGCCTCCTTCAGGTCCAGCTTCTACTCTCTCCTCCCTTCTGCCTCCCCCACGCATTGCTTCCTCCTGGGTTTGTTCCCCTCTGCCTCTCTTGGGCCAGTGCCTTCTACCAGCCCTGCTCCCACCCTAGCCTTAGGCTGACTCCCTTACCTCTGCTGCTCAGGCACCCTCCTTTCTAAAGCATGGTGATAACAGCACCGTCCAGACTCGAAGCAGGGGACCTGCGAAACTTCAGCTGGCGTGGTGCCGCACAGGTGCTCCCTGGCCTTGGTGGCTCTCAATGGGGTGAGCATGTGCCCTGCTTTCCTCTCTTCTGCCCTTTGCTGCGACTCCTCTGCTGTCTTGCTCTGCCCGCTGCAGGCGTGGTGGCACTGGGCAGCTGCTGTTACTCCCACTGCCCTCACCTTTGACCCTCAGCCCTGAGCACTCAGCTGGATTTCTCTTTTCTGGGTTGGTTGTCCTCACACTGAAGGAAGCTCAGCTCAGCGCCGTGGAAGGGGCAGGACCCAGTCTCAGCTCTGACATGGTCATATCTGTAGGCTTGGGCTGAGTCTTCCACCTGCAAGTGCAATGGACTGAAATTTTATGTCCCCCAGAAATTCAGGTGGTGAAGTTCTAACCCCCAGTGTGACTATATTTGGAGATGAGCCCTCTGAGGAAATAGGGTTGAGAGTAGGGCCCCCATAATGGGATTCCTGCCCTTCTGAAAAGAGACAGCAGAGAGCTCTCTCTGCCACCTGAGGACATAGCGAGAAGGCAGCCATCGGCAAGCCAGAAAGTGGCCCCCATCAGACTCTGCTGGCACTTGGATCCTGGACTTGCAGCCTCCAGAGCTGCGAGAAATGAATACCTGCTGTTGAAGCCCCCAGCCTGTGGTCTTTTGTTAGGGCTGCCTGAGCTGACTCAGGCAGTGAAGCTACCTCAGTCTCTCCCTGCGGTGGAGACTCCACCCCATGGGGTGTCAGGGTGCACTGGTGACCACTGCACCTTCCCCATAGGAGCATCTCCACTAGCCAGGTTCCTTCTTGCTGGAAACAAGGCCCATCTTTTCTTGATGACAGTGAGGGAATGGGTAGATGGGAAAATTACGGCCATAACTTGTTTTGCTTTAATTTTGGGCTACATCCATGTTATAAGATGATCTCATTCTGTTAGAAACACATGCGTATACCGCCCCCCACCGCCCCCGACTTGTAGATCCCTGGCCCATTGGCAGAAGTGAGTAGACCTGGGCTTCCTGCCCTCCTGGGCTCCACGTGCCACCAGCCAAGGACAAATCAGAGTTGGGATGTGTCTCCTTCCAAGGTTGGATCTGCTTGGATCCATTTTGGATGCAAAAGTGAGGGTGCTAGCTTTGAAAAAGCTTCTCAATTTGACTTTCCTTTCACTTCCGTAAAGTGTAGGGGATTAGAAGTGAGAGTTGGGGAGGAAGGAGGCCAATTCTAGATAAGTTTTTTCATCAGCTATGTGAATTGGAGACAAAAGTTAGAAAACCTAGGTACTAGTGCTGTCTTTTGCTTAAAGGATTTTTGTGCCCTTGAAACTTCTACACCCATAAAATGCATTTTCATGGAGTTAAAGCCATTGCTTAAAAGTAGGTTAAAAGGAGAGGGAAATTCTTTTCTCCATTTCTATCAACGCCATTTAGATGATGATGTTTCAGTCTTTTTTCCATGCTTAGGTTTCCTTTTTCCTCTGGTTTGTATATTTATAGTCATACTCTATCCAAATGAACTTTTCTCATTAATAGGGATTCTGAAACTACTGTTATCTCCATCTCCTCTTGAACAAGTAATACAAGCAATATATATTTTTGATATTTAACATATCTATAGTTGTACTATATTAATACAATTATTATACTGTATATTACTTATATGTAGGTTAAATAAGACACTTCTGTTGGCCAGTGCAGAACTTCCTCATCTCTAAGTGCCTTCTCCTAGAGTTTTCTATTTTTTTGTTTTCTTTCAATATGCTTTATCCATAGAATGCATAATTTTTTTTGTTTGTTCTCCTTCATTCGTTTTCTTCATTCTTATATAGCTTAAATCAGTTACAAACAAGCCACTGTAATCCAATACTCTGTACTTTAAACAAAAGCTATCTGTGTTAATTCTGTTGTGTTTTGACAGAGGGTGACTAGTCAGGGCAGCGGATCTCTTATCTGCTCGTTTGGGTTTCTAAAAATGTATTCTGGTTGCATTCAACTTTTTAGAATTCTAAACTGATATAGACAATTGTTATTTAAAACATGGTATGACTGTGAACGATTTAATGCACGCTTCTCTGCCAATCTCCCCCTCCTCCCGATGCCCGCAGCCTCACTTGTGCTCAGAGGGTTCCAGCGCCCAAGTGAGCCCCACCCACCTTCCTCAGCTGAGGGCCTGGGACCCTCGGCTCCCATAGCGGGTGTGAGAGGCCAGGTTTGCAGTTAGATGTGGCACTTCACACCATTTTTTTCTTTTTCTTTTTTTGGAGACAGAGTCTTACCCTATTGACCAGGCTGGAGTGTAGTGGCGCGATCTTGGCTTACTGCAAACTCTGCCTCCCAGGTTCAAGCAATTCTCCTGCCTCAGCCTCCTGAGTAGCTGGGATTACAAGTGTGCACCACCATGCCCAGCTAATTTTTGTATTTTTAGTAGAGATGGGGTTTCGCCATGTTGGCCAGGCTGGTCTCCCAACTCCTGGCCTCAAGTGATCCACCCGCCTCGGCCTCCCAAGGTGCTGGGCTTACAGGCATGAGCCACCTTGCCTGGCCTCACAACCTTTTTTCAATGAGAAAAACATTAGCCTTCTTTTGTTACACATAAGAGAGTTCTTTCTAGTTGAAGAGATGTTTCCCTGAGTCTTTCTGATGAAAATGATCCTCTTGCTACATAAAATCCTTATAGGAGCAATAAAACCTGCCTTCGGAACCAGCTGTAAAGCACTTATTGTCCATCATCATCTGCTGGTGAGGACCTTGCTCCCCGGCTTGTGATTCTCAAACCCCAACTTAGGCTTGCTCCCGGTTAACGGGAGGGCTTTTTCTGACACAGACTGCTGCCCCACACACCCCCAGTTTCTGCCTCAGTGGTCTGGGGTGGGCCCCAGTAATTTGCATTTTTAAAAAGTCCCCAGGTGATGCTGGTGCTGGCCAGGGCACACCTCACCATCAGATAACGAACAGGTTGGATATGAGTGGTCGCCAACTAAATGTTCACGAATGGATGTTGTGTTTTGCCATCACTGCCTGGAGGGGGCAGGGTAATCAGAGTCCAACACTAGCGTGTTCATGTATTGAGTGCAAGGGAGCAGAATTGGCTTGTCTTCAAAACATCTTAATTTTTATTGCTTCTACTTTGTGGAATGTTACTTCCTATTTGTAGAACGAGAAGAATTAAAAGTTGATTTGTGAGCTAAAAATACGGGCAGCCGTTTCTTCTTCATCAAAGCCCACAAATAGACCTGAACATTTAGACATAAAAGTAAACCGTTAGAAATAGTGTGCATGTCATTAGGATCTGTTGATTGGATTAAAATGACAGACTCGTTTCTTGGCTTCCTGCAGCTCTCGTCATTGCCCACCATCTATTTTTAGCAGATCTTGCCCTGCTGACTCAGAGTGGGAACAGTTGCTGAGCCCTGGGCTTCTCAATGCCATAGGCTGGCAAGTAGCCTGACTTCTAGGATGGGTAGCACTCTATGCCTGGGCAGCAGGAGAGTCTGTGCCTGTGAGGAGACCCCTCTGCAGGCAGCCTGGGAGCCCGGCCACCCCCGCCTGCCCCATTTCTTGTTACCTCACCCACTGAGAGGAGCCACCTCTGGAGCCCTGGTTTCCTAGGCCCTTTGAGAAGTGTGCCAGGTGTTGCTGCCTGGAGTGTCATCACTTGATGTGACATCTTACTGCATCCCCCGCACCTGTCCTCATCTTAGGTGAAGGCATCAGGCCAGGCCCTTAGTGCCTCCTTCCTCTGTTCTGGGCACCCCTAGGGGAGAAGTGTACATGGGTGGAGCTTGTCTTCAGGAGACTGTACCTGTTTCTTTAAGGCTGCTGTCCAGGTGGGTCTCTCGCTGCCAGCTGATGCACATAGGCAAGACTTGGGTGGAGGGAACGGCCTTTGAGCTGTGCCCGAAGAAGGAAGGGTGTGGCAGGTCAGCCCGAGGCAAGGGAGGAGAGTCCTCATCTGCAGGGCTTGGTGAGGAGCCAGCCAGAGTCCAACCCCTCCCCTTTATATCACAGATGCACACTGCTAGGGGAGTGCTCCTCGTGTTAGAACCTGCAAGAGTTGGAAGGCACTGCTTAGAGGTTGTCCGCTCCCACTCAGGAAACTTTGGGGCTCTGGAAATGCCCATGAGCAACACAGCTGAGAGGGTAGGTACTGTATGTGGGAGCCACTTGGAAGCCCCTGCGGCCCTGGGCTCAGCCACTCTGCACCCTCATTTTCTCATTTGTTAAATGAAGAGGTGACAGCGGAAGATCTCTAATCCTTCCTTCCAGGATTTAAATTCTAGTAATTCTTAAGAGAATGTTGATTCATCTAGAGAAACCTGAGGCAGTGATGTAAATTACAGCCACACTGATAAGAAACTGGTCATTTTTTACCTCTCCCACGTAACCTCTGTGCCTTCACGTTTTTCTCTTCACTCCAGAAGAAGAGTGACCAGGTGTGGTGGAAGGCTCGGTGGCTTTCACGATGGGAGGATATACGGTGTAAAGTGCCTAACAACAATGTAGGGAGTGCACCCTCGCCCCGTTGCCGTGCTTACCGGCCAGAGTGCTGCTGCAGATTACTCTTCGCTCACTGTCTTTGGGATGTCCTTATTTGTTCCGTGTATTACAGTGTAGTTTATTGTATGTTTTTAGAGCACTCTTGTGTTCATTTAAACTTCTCTAGAGCAAAGAGCATTTCGAACTGACTCCATAATAGATCTGATCATAGTGACCTCTTGAAGTGCTTGATACAGGGTTTCGTTTTTCTACTTGACAATTCAGGCAAATCAGTGGTATACATTCTTCGTAGAGCTTGTGAGTTTTGTCTATAATTTGATCCATGTAAAAATGACGCAGCTGCTCGTGGTGGTTGTGTTTTGATAGGCCACTCAATATTTTCATATCTGTTGTATATTTAACACCCGAATAACTTACCAAGATTTTATCGAGTGAACTGATTTTTCTTTTTGGGAGGAGCAGAGGTCAAGCTACCAAAAATGTTTTTTCGATGTTTTGAGTGTGTGTTTTTTAAGCATAATCAGAAACAAAAAGAAGAGCCTTAATGGGTTAGCGGTTGATTCTGAAAAGCAAGCTGTTGATTGTGTTGTGGGCTCTGCACAGAGCCGTGGGAACGCTTCCCCAGTCCTGCCTTGGTGACCGGAGAGATGGATGAGATTTTGGAGACCCCTCCTGCTCAGCCTCACCACTGACCCGCTCCATGCCCTAGGCAGGGAGGTGCTTTGCGCACCTTCATATGTAGAAGATGGTTTGCTGCTTGGGGGTTTCTGATGGCCCTTTCAGCTATCACATTTTATGATGATCTTGACATTCTTTGTAAGATGTGATTTCTTAGTTATCAAGATCATCATATTCAGTGTAGTCCTAAGGTAGAATCAGAATAAATTGCCCAGCTTCAGCAGTTATCAATTAATGGCCAATCCTTTATCTAAGCCCCTATAGACTCTAACAGATTATTTCTGAAGTGAATTCCAGACATCAATTCCTGTCCTGTAAATATTACGGAATTTCAATAACAATAACTACTTAACAAGTATGCAGTCAGTGTTCAAATTTTCCCACCTGTCTCAAAATGTTATTTACAACTGGTTGTTAAAGTCAGAATCCACGTAAGGTCCACACATGCAGCTGAATGATCTATTGATTTGTCCAAACTCGTTTGTTTTTTTTTTTCCACCTTCCCCATGCCAGTTGATTTGTTGGCAAAACCCGGTCTTTTGTCATTTGGGCTTCCCACAGTCTGCAATGTGCTGACTAGGACCCTGAACTTCCTAGAAACTGCACATCAGAACCAGAGCCAGTCTGGTGCGATTTTCTGGCAAGGCTGCCCCTTAGGTGGTGTGTGTGCATCTATCAGGCCGAGGCCCATGTGAGCAACCTGGATGGCCGTGGCCTCCACCTGTAATGCACAGGGGTTGCAAAGTGATGATTTTCTGATTCAGTCACTCCTTCTGCACTTGCTAGCCAGGTGAGGAGAGTACTTGTCAGCTATTACCCCGACGTGCAGTTTAGATGGGAGTCTTTCCCTTTCTCACCAACCGAGTCAGCTTTTCCCTAATGGTGGGATTCTTTCCTGTCCTGTGTCATGAAGCCAACCCATGAAACTGAAGGTGAGCATCAAGCAGTGCAGGCTTTATATAATGGCCGTGGAATTGAGAAGTGGCAGTGTGGCTCGCAAATTGGCTTCTCAGTCCATGAGAGGTGGGAAGCCACAGATGTAGGACATCTTTAATGAAGGGATTGGGCATTAAAAGCCAGGAGAGGAATATTCATGTATTTTCTGGGAATGGGTGGAGAACTTCTGGAAACCAGAGTGCTGCCTGTTTTTTTGTCCCCTTATGGTTTCTTGTCATTGTCATGGTGATTGTCAACTGTCATGGTCCTAGTGGGAGTGTCATTTAGTATGGAAATTAGATGATAATGAAGTTAAAGGTTCTTCAGAGGTCAGGTGAGCTGCCATCTTGGATCCCACTGGTTTCAGCTGGTCTGGTCAGGCAGGGAACTTCTGACCTCGGGCATCCTGTTTCTGAGACAAGTAGAGTTAAGGCAGGGTAGAAATTCACCTAGGTCATGTAGGCATTGCACTGGCTAACAAGTTTATTTGGCAGTTTTCAGAGTAAATAGTTCTGGTTCCCCAGTATCCACCAAAGTGAGCAATGAATTTGTTTATTTCTTTGTTTTGAGTAGCAATTGTGGAACTCTGATTTAAGATACTTTGTGTGTATTTTTACCCACTGCAGTTGACACCCTCATTGCTGCTCAGGCTGCCCCAGCCTTGGCCAGCGAAAGCTGCCTTAGGTGGCCTTCGTGTTCTCTTGCCACGTGCCTGTAGTCCTTAATAATCACACCGGAAAGCAGGGAGCTGTGGGGGTTTCAGGCTCCTTTAGACAGTGCCTACCCCAGCTGGGGTCTGCGTGCCTTCAAAGAACTGTGGGGACCACTACTGTTTATGGGTTGCTTCTGGTTTGGTCATTGTGTCTGAGCCTTTTCAGTGGATAAAAGCTTTTTTTCTTTGGTGTGGTTTGTTTTTAAACATAATCTATTATAAATTCACATTGATACTTATAACTCAAAATTAGGATTCTAAAATATTGTATCTTTCGATTTTTTTTTTTTTTTTTTTTGGAGACGGAATCTTGCTCTGTCGCCCAGGCTGGAGTGCAGTGGCGCCATTTTGGCTCACTGCAACCTCCACCTGCCAGGTTCTAGTGATTCTCCTGCTTCAGCCTCCCAAGTAGCTGGGATTACAGGCGCCTGCCACCACGCTGGCTAATTTTTGTGTTTTTAGAAGAATTTTCTAAAATTTCACCATGTTGGCCAGACTGGTCTCAAACTCCTGACCGCAAGTGATCCGCCCGCCTCAGCCTCCCAAAGTGCTAGGATTACAGGCATGCGCCACCATGCCTGGCTGAATCCTTTGATTTTATATTTCCTTTATGCTGAAAATCTTTGTCCCTAGGATCGTTTACGTAATGACTTATTTGCTTGCTTGTGTGTTTTATTTATATACAATATATATAAATGTTTAAAATAACCCCACCAATATAATTGCAAACCATATAAGTACTGAAAACAACAGAAAATGTTTTTGTCCTTAGGGTTTATCTCACAGGGGAAATACAGTCCAATTATTGTATTTCAAAGTCTTTCAGGATAATTCCTCTCTGTACTTAAGCCACCAACTCAATTTATAGTTTAGTTTGTTTCATTCTGCTTTTAATTTTTGGACTTTAAAAAAGTTAATAGTTTATTATTTTATTTATTTATTTATTTATTTATTTATTTTTGAGACGGAGTCTTGCTCTGTCACCCAGGCTGGAGTGCAGTGGTGCAGTCTTGGCTCACTGCAACCTCCATCTCCTGGGTTCAAGCGATTCTCCTGCCTCAGCCTCCCGAATAGTTTATTATCTAAACTGTTCGCATGGTTCCGCAGCCAAAGATGGTTATGTCCAGAGAATGATTATTTTGTATGACTACTCTCTCTATCTTCTTTTTTCCCTACTCTTTTCCATCACCATTTTTTAAAGATGTTTTTTTCTTTCCCCTTTTTATTTCTTGCTTTTTAAAAAAAGTTTTATTTTTTAGAGCAGTTTTAGTTTCACAGCAAAACTGAGCAGAAGGTACAGAGTTTTCTCATATATCCAGTTCCCCCACATGAACTAGCAACATCCCCGACAGGGTGCTGCATTTGTTTCTGTGGGTGAAACTGCACTGACAAAAACCAATCACCCAAAGTCCAGGGTTTATATTTGGGTTCACTCTTTGCGTTGTGCATTCCATGGGTTTGGACAAATGTATAATAATAATTATTGCTTTTTAATGTGAGCAAACACATATGTGTATACAGTGATATATTTTTAATTTTTTTTTTCCTCAAATAAGCAATAGCATACTCTATACACTTTTCCCAAGCAAGAGGTCAAAGGTGGTTTTCTAATTATATGGTATATTGTAACTTAATCATGATATTGAGTTAAACTGAATGGGCCTGTTTATTTAGTTATTTTGAAACGGGTAATTATAAAAACTGCTGCATAAATATTTGAGTCATATTCCAAAAGAGTTAGAAAATACATGGATATTCCTGTCTTATTTTTGCTTTAACAAACTTGGTCTATTTAGTTTACATGTATGCTCCGTCAGTGGTTCTCAGCCAGGGTGATTTCATTCCCCAAGGGATATTCAGCAGGCAGTGTCTGCAGGCGTTGTTGATTGTCACCAATTTAGGCAGGGTGTGGATTGTTGTTAAACATCCTACAACGCAGGGGACAGCTCCACGACAAAGAATTACCGAAACGTCTGTATGCCCCTGGTGAGAAACACTGCTCATGTTCAACCAGGTATTTGAGTCATTATTCCTCCCTCTAGACCTCTCCCTCCTCCCTAACTTCCTTCCTTCGCCGCTTCCTCTCATCTTCCACGCACCCTCCCCCCAGTCTTTTTCAGTAAAACTAGGTATTTACATCTAGGACTTTAGGAAAACATGAATCATTTAAAATGAAACACATCAACGATATATTCTTTATTACCAGTCTTGTAAAAAGAGCAAAACAGTTTAGCATTTGAAAGCTCTATTGTAGTTTGCTCTGGTATAAATCATATGTGCAGTCAAACTTTTTTTGGAAAGCTAATTCTGCTTTATGATACAGGTCCCAAGAAGACAGAATTTTATTAGGTGCATGCACATGGAATACCAACTTCAGGGTTGAAAGTGACTGAGGTTGATAGTCTCTGTATTGGCCGCCCTCTGGGCACTGTGGCTTCAGGGTTGAAAGACAATCATTTGCAGGCGTGTGTAAGTATATATGGCTGGTGGGCAGAGTGGTGGCTTTGCTGCTCTTGCAAGGCTGTTTTGTCATTGATGGCACACAGGAGAGTGCTGGAGGTTAGTGTCAGTTTATCTTATCTCTGTACTTCCTGTTGCCTCACTTTAGGATCTTAAGAAATATTCAATTTCCACTAAAAAGAGGAGTGAACAATTCAATGTTTTGCTGTTTTAAGGGTCATGTATGTAAATATGGATGAATGGGGGCATTGGAGCAGGGAGCACATGGGGTATTATTGGCACCGGTTGCAGAGAGGGCCTGGGGACATGAGTGTGTGGCACAGAACGCAGGTGTTCAGATCGGCAGCGTCTGGACTGAGCCTGGGAGCTGGAAGGCTGGAGATGGTGCTTTTCTTCCTTTTGCATTTGGCAAGGAAGAGTATCCCGTAGTTTAGTGTTATTCCAGAAGCTCTCGGCATCATGTTTATTCCCTTTCTTTTTTTTCCCTTGTACTTTCTCATACCTCTATCAGATAAATTAAATGAATTGGAAAAATAACTAAGCATTTCTCTTTGACGCAGGTAAATGCAGTATACATTTGATTCCATGGAAAGGAAATATATATAATTAGAACACTTATAGACATTAGTGGTGACAGTTCACAGGTTAGTCTGCCCTCTCAGGAGTTGTCTTGATAAAATAAATTTTATTAAGCATGTTACTTGTAAGTGTCAGCACTTATCTGTGGTTGGTTCAGTACCCCTAGCTGGGGTGAGTGTTTGCTGTGATGATGGTTACAAGCATAGTCTTGCAGAAATGGATTTAGTCATCACAGTCCCTTTTTTATTTTAACTTTATGTCTCTAAGACATAAAAATTTATTATCCTTTTTAGGCCTTTGACTCACAGTTTGTACCACCATCTTTTCTTTCAGCATCTCCCCCACCCACAAGAAAAAAGTTGACATTGATTTCTAATCCTTTCTGTCTGGCCAAATTCAGGATCTTAGAAAGGACACCCCTATTTCAGCTCCTATACTAGTGTTTTAAGGGGAACCTTTAAAATGGGATTCTGAAGCCTTGGCTGATTTTTCTTTTCTGCACAGGAAATAACCAATTTGTGCTATTTCTGGGTGGTGTGTGTTGAACTCACAGTTCTAGGACCGGAAGAGACTGCCAGCCATGCGGTTCCATATTGTGCAATGCAAGGGCAGAAATGGTATCCAGGTCTTTCTAAGGGGGAAAAAACCAGTATGGCCAAGCAGCAGGCTGCCAGGCTGTGCGGGCTAGCAGAAGGGAGGTTCTTAAATTCTCTGCACCCATGTGAGGGAGGCTGCTCTCTTGACAGCGTCTTAGGGTCAGGATGGCTGGAATGGAGCGTGGAGCCTGGTCTGGTTGGAGTCCCTGTGTGGCCTTTTGGAGATGAGTATGGTAACAGTGAGGCAGGAAGTGGCTGGATTTGCAGCGACTGTGTGGAGCCTCCCTGTTTAGGCTTAGTGAGCTGATGCAAAGTCTTTCGTAACCATGATCAGTTAAAACAAAACACCTGATGTTGTGGCCTCCTGTCAGCTTTTGTCCTCCTGTAGAAACAAGATGCTTCTAGAAAACCAGTTTGTAAATTTGGCACAGAAAAAAAACCCTTTCAGCAATTTGGTGTGGACTCTGCTTGTTAATTTATGGCTTCGCAACTTTTTTTAAGCTACCGGCACTAACAGCAGATCTTTAAGTGTTTAATCGTCCCAAGTCAGGTTTGACTGTGGGCTGACTAGCTATAGTGATCTAATTTGGTTCATTTCCTAGGAGAAGAAAATTATAACCACATTTTTATTAATTTATGGTT
Organism: Homo sapiens; assembly: GCF_000001405.40. NCBI lineage: Eukaryota > Metazoa > Chordata > Mammalia > Primates > Hominidae > Homo > Homo sapiens. The sequence goes on from NC_000002.12 coordinate 105,798,045, forward strand.
TTGATCCATCTATTTTAGACTCAATATTAAATCATCCCCTACTTCCAGAAGATGTGTTTTTGAACATAAGTATCTTTAGGATTTAATATTCTATGAAAGGAGTAGGAGCTAATGTTCGCTTGTTGTAATGTTTGTTTTCTTCTGATATGATGATTTTGTTGAAAAAATGTATTTGAAAGAGTAACGTGTAGGTAAGAAATAAGTTAGCCAAAACCATACTTCAAGGGAAGCCTCCCTCCTATCCTGGGAGCCCGGATAGCCTCACTGTGGCCTCTTGTTTGTACATCCAGAATATTCTTGAAACTGGGTTAGCTGAGTCATTTTTTTTTCTTCTTTCAGTGTTCTCCTTTTTTCTTTTTATAAAATGAAGAGATCTGTCCACAAGTCTAGCTTTTAACAATGAGAAAAAGCACTGAATTGTACACTTTAAACAGTGAACCAGTTTGGGGTCTGGTTTAGAGAGAAGAAATAAGGGTTAAAATTGTTTTCATCTTCCATATCTGATTCATATAATCAGATATGAATAGTGAAGTTCCCCAAAGATACATGTAAGCTTGGAGTAAAGACAAAATGTATGCATTACTTTGATGGGGGAAGCCTGTGGTGAACCCACTGAGGTTGCTGGTGATTAAGTTTATGTGGACGGTGAATCTCAACAGAATGAAAATAAACTGTGGGTGTCTATTTTGAAGCAGATGAACCAGGCAGCAAAGCAGTAGCTGTGGTTCTTCATAGATAAATACATTTAGGGAAATTAATACAAAATGTTCTTACCTTATTTTTCTGAGTTGTTCACCGAGCTTCCTCAGATGTTAACATCTTAACCACAGCACAGTTTTGAAAATCAGGAAGTTATACCAGGTTGTTGTCATCACACTTTCTGATCTCCAGTGGTCTGAAAGGTGAGAGGTGATATCTTAGTATCATTTTAGTGAAGTTCAGATGTCCCTTTTCATCAGTTTGAAGGCCTTATATTTTCTTACCTGGTTTTCCTTGGCCCACGGTTTTCTTGGTGTGTTGGTCTTTTCTTGTGTCAAGTTTATTTAAGAAGCTCTCGCTGTGTCCTGTCTGTCCTTCGTGTCCTAAGTTGCAAATGTTTTCTCCTAGCTTTTTATTTGTCTTTGGAATCTATCTGTGGTATATTTTATCATGTAAGAAAATTTTTTATGTTTATGTAGTTGAATTCATCCCTCTTTTATGGTTTCTGGAATTTGAGTCCTAGGTTTAAAAAAAAAAAGTTCTTCCTTCAGGGTTATAAAGGGTGTTTTCCATATGTCCTTCTATACTTTTACTTTTTCATTGTAAATCTTGGATACCTTTGGAATTTATCCTGTTGTGGGCGTGAGATGTGGCTCCAGCTTTCTTTCAGATGGCCAACCAGAGTACCCCATGGCCATTTATTGAGAAGGCTGTCTCTTCCCTGGGGACTTGACTTGAGATAGTGCCTTTATCATACACTGAATTCCCAGAGGCCTCTGGGTCTGTTTCCCATGTTCCTGCTTCCTAGTGTTTCGTTAGTCTGTCTATCTGCCACACCAAACACGAGCTGATGAGTTATTTGAAAACTTCCTATTTTAAAGCAGAAAAACAAAACGGAATACCACTATATGAAAGCCTATAAAAAGCTAATTACCATGTTTACATAAATGGTACAATAGCAGCCCAGAGGTCACTGGGTTGTTTTGGCATGGAGGGATGCTTCCCTCTACCTCAAGCCTAAAAGTGGTTAAGATAGATCCATTTCAAGAAGCCATTGGTCCTTACCTGGCCTTCCCCTCCGCCATCTTGCCACTATGTTCTTGGCTATGGAGACAGGATCAGGGAATTTGATTGAAAATCATTAATGACATAACTTTTTTTTTTAACAGTGAGAGAAACACTCAAACACTACATTTTGCAAAGTTTGTAAGAATCCCTCCCAAGAGTTTCCTTTGGTCAGCGTAGCTTCTGGTAATAAGGAAATCTGTCATTTGGAAACACCATCTTTGTTCATGTGGTATCATTAGATGTGTCTTTGCACCAGCATTTGACAGAGACCATGACAGTTTTCCTCCTGAGCCCTTACTTTGTGAGAAGAGAGGGTCAGTGCAGCCATGTAGCCTGGCTGCACCGTATAGTCTGGCTCTCCCTGGTCTCCGGCACGGGGGCCACATGCCCAGGGTGAACACCAAGGAAGGGATCCTGAGTCCCCAGGCTCCGGTTCCAACTGCACACCTTGTTCTCTGTCCTCCCTGTGCACGCCACCTAATTCTCTGCTGTGAACGGGGTAATGAGGTGTTGTCTTGTTGTAAAGATTGATTGAGATAGTGCATAAAGAGGGCCTAGTCTGGTCTGTGGTACCCAGGATAGGGTTGGTAAATGATTGCCATTAGCATTCATCTGTTTCCTTTCCTCTTTAGAGCATGAAATTCTGAGGTGCACAGTTCCTGAGCTTTAAACTTGAGTGCTGGAGGCCAAGGAAAATAGAATACAATTCAGGATTACGTAAGAGTGGCATATGTGTGTGTGATTAGCCCATAGAAGGCGGAAACCCAGCTGACATGGGGTTAGTCTCAAAGTTCTACTAAGGCCTAAGAACAAGAAACATTCATCCTGTTTTTGGTCTGTTTGAGATAAATGGACCGAGAGAGTGGGTTTGGTGCTTGGTTTCTGATGGGACCAGTTGCAGGAGCACAGTTGATCAACTGTCATGAACGTCTGTGTTTTGTTTTGTTTGTTAAAAAGAAGAATCTTGAAAGTAGAGGCTTCAGAACAAATGTCGTGAAGAAGGAATTGAAGCTCAACATGGGAAAAAGTGAGTGGGAGAGCACCTTGCTGCTTTTCAATCCAAGCTCGAGGTTCCATGGGATTACATGCCTGTCCAGGTGGTTGGCAGAAGCCCCTTTAGTATTCTTTGAGGGGTCTTGAAGGAGAGGAGAAGTGTCAGAAGATTGGAGACAGGCAAATGTTCTAATTTTCTAAACGCAGAAAAAAGCAGAAGCAGGGAAGAGATACTTAAACAGGTTACTGAATGGAGGTGAAAGCTGGGCGTGCTGAGCCCGTCAGCATTTGTTCTCTTTGATGCAGTGTGGCTTGATGTCTGCAGGGTGTCTGGTGAGGTTGGACCCTCTTAGGTGAGTGTCCCATAAATCTGTGGTGTTAATATGCCTCCTTACCCTGGGACCTCCCCTCCAACCCTGCTCACTGGCTAGAGGCCTGCCGGGCTGTCATCTCCTTGGGGACAGGACTGTGATCATTTGCCCCCTTGTTGGACGTCATTGTAGGGATCCCCCAGCCCCAGCCCTTACGTCTGTTGACCAGCTCACTCGGCTTGCCTCCCCCCTTCCCCATGTCATCGTGTGCACCAGCACGTGGTTGAGGGATGTGCTTTTTTCTTTTTTTTTTTTTCTCCTCACAGTCTATTTACACAAAACCAGTGCACAACGTTAACAGATAAGAAGAAAGACTGAGGGACAAAGCATGACAGAGACCTTTGTCACGTGCTGGCTGTAGCAGTCGAGTGAGGAGAGGGGCCCATGGCACAAGGAAAGCTGGAGTTAGGGGGAGGGATGGTCTGACCTGCATCCGCATTGTCTTGCTGCCTCCTGCTTGGCTTCTTACCTACCCTGTGAGAGCAGCCTCGGGATTGTTCTTTGGCAGGCTCATCTCAAGGGCTGGGTGTTTGGGGACAGAGTGGCCCTCGGCTCAGTCCCTTTAATAATGAGAGTCATTTTCGTGTCCACTCGGGGGAACAAAGTGACATTTTCTGTGAGTGTGCACCAAAAGCACATGGGACTTTACAGGGCGCTTTTTAGAGTATCTGGCTCTAGAGTTAGTCGTCTTGCTGAGAGAAAGTGATGGAGCTGGCATTGCATTCCAAAGCCAGTGTGCATTCACCAGCTCAGGCTGCAGGCCCATCTCCCTGCATGGAGAACTGTTTTGTAGATTGGTAGCGATTGGACAGCCATGCCCTGTCACCTGCTGGTTCAGTGCTCCTCCAGGAAGGCCTCAACTGCCTACTGCCTTTGACCATGATTTGTACAGCAGCTTGGATGAAGAGCTGGAAACCTGCTTATCAGATTTGCAGACGATGCATGGTTAGAGCAATGGGGACCATCTGGGAGTGAGCCAGGATTTAGGACTCTTGAGAAGCTGAACAATGGACGGAAACTGATGTGATGAAGTGGAACGGGAAGATGTGCACACACCCTCTACCTGTACTCAGAAATCACTTGCTCAAATGTGGTGTGGGAGGCTGGGCCCACTGTGCAGGGATGGTGCTGTCTGCAGAGGCATCCTTAACATGCCTTTAGCATTTGCATTTCCATTTTCCATGGACATCTGTCTTAGTCTGTTTGCATTACTGTAAAGGAATACTTGAGGCTGGGTCATTTATAAAGAAAAGGGTTTATTTGGTTCACGGTTCTGCAGGAGGTACAGGAAGCATGGTGCCAGCATCTACTTCTGGTGAGGACCTCAAGCTGCTTTCCACTCATGGCAGAAGGTGAAGGGGGCCGATGGGTAGAGATCCCATGGCGAGAACACGGAAGCAAGAGAGAGAGGAGGGATGTGCCAGGCTCTTTTTAACCATCACTTCTTACAGGAACTAAATAGAGTGAGAACCCACTCATCACCACGAGGAAGGCACCATGCATGAGGGATCCGCCCTCGCGATGCAGACACCTCCCTTAAAGCCCCACCTCCAACACTGGGGATCAGATTTCAACATGAGAAGGAGTCAGATATTCAAACGGTAGCAACATCCTTGTTTGCCCCCATGTGTCACATACATGGGCCATGGATGATGACTGATCATCTGGAATTCCCCTTTTTTGTCGCTTGCCACCCAGTTGTCTGTTTCATCTGCTGCTTTCTCGGGGGTGAGGTGGTGTCAGTGATGTCTGTTGTGTGTATAGCACCAAGCACAGTGCTAGCAGGGGTTCAGTAAATACTTGTTGGATGAATTAACTTGAAGTCTTTCTAGAAGAGAGCAATATTGGGATGGTGAGGTTTAGCAAACCTTGTTGTCATTTTTCAAATTGATGGTTTTCCTTAGAGAAGAGATTATAGTTCCCCTAGCTTTGAAGGTCAGTCTTGGGAAAGCAAGGTTAGGCTTATTTTCTACTGTATCACAAATTAGTTTTTATCTAAGATAGTTGTTAATATAAACATTTATTCTGCTTGTCTCCATCAAATTTTTAAATTCTAAGGCAGATATTTTAGATAGCACACATGTGTTTTAGAAGTTACCTAGAAAAGTTTAGCTGCTGTTTTTTATAGGCACGTTTTCTTGCAGCAGATATCATAAATAGGCACTGCTATGTAGTCTCCTATTTGACTTTGAACTCTAATTAGGCTGAGCTCCTTAAGAAGGGCCACTTCTGTGCTGTGCCTTATGTATGTACAGCATTTGCACACAGCAGTTGTGCAATACATTTTCATTGAATACGTGTGACTGATTTCATTCTACCAACAAGGTGACTGCTATTGTCTCCAAGGAAACCTAGTTTCTGAGGTTAATTAGCAGCCTTCAATTTCTACAGCTAGGAAAGTGCGGAACTGGCATTAGCATCCAGTTTCAAAGCAAGTCCTCATGCCCCTGCATCATGTGCAGAGACATTGCCAGCTTCACACCCAGGTTAGTCGTCTTTCACACTTGTGGTCCAGTTATGAGGGTTTAGAGAATAAGGCTTTCTGGAATTGGCTCTTCTTCAGTTTCTCTTATTTTCTCTAGAGTAGTGATTCTGAATGGGGCTGGGCCTCATAACCACCTAGAAGCTTTTATAAACTGCAGATGTTCTAATTAAGTAGGTCTCAGGTAGGGTCCGTTTGGAATGAATAGTCAGCCCAGAGTCTTTCTGTTTCTGGAATATGTGGTTAAAACAGTCCTGGTTCTGGCTGTTGCATGAAAGCTGAGGATACCATGTGCCTTGTGAGTTGTGAATCTGAGTCATGGATTGCAAGACAGAGGAGTAAATTAACACGTTGAGTGCATCTCTGCCATCCCTCTCCCTCTCAGTTAGGTTTTGGCTTTGCTTGCCCATTTTTTACGGGGCAAATTATATACATAGAGGCAGTGGCGACTCTCAGGATTTACTAATTTCAAGGGTGTACTCTGTAAGGGGTTGGTTGAGTAAAATTTTGAGTCTAGAGAAAGCTTGAGATGTTTTCTGGGCCTGTTTCCTCACTGCACAAAATTTCATTGTGAAGCTGAAGTTGATCATTTCAAAATGTGTGTAAATGAACGGACCAGCGCTTTTCTTTGATGTTTGCACTGGATGAGGATTATCTGAGAAGACCTGGTGGACGAGAAAATGGGTTTGACTTTTTGCCAGATGGTCACTGAATGTCTTTTCTGTCTTTGTGCCCAGTTAAAAGGCTAGGCATGTAGGTTTTCATGCTCTTGTCTGGTTTTGGCTTTGGAAATGCTTACACAGCTAATCTGGCATTTATGATGATTTCCACTTTGAGCTCAGCAGGAGGCTCTTTGGGGATATTCAGACAGAAATGGCTTAATTGGATTTCAGCCCAGACACAGTATTTGAATGGCTTTATGGATGGCATTAATTGGGCAGCTGCCATAGGAAGTCATATATATGCTCCTGAGCTTTAGAATTTAGAATTACTCTTTGATTCTGTCCCTCTTCATTGACTGCTTGCAAATTTATTTATTGAATGAAATACTCAAGAAAACTAAACTTATAGCCTTGAAATTAAGAAATATGATATGTAAGAACCATTGTTTGGTTTTGGCATAGGTATGTTATTATCTGTATTTAAGGCTCCACGTTGATATTCATGGCCTGGCCTAGAGGCACAGTGGTGTTAGGGATTCAGTGTGTCTTAGATTGCAAACTGGGGGACAAGGATTCAATCAGGGCCTAACATGGCACTAACTGCTGCAGGGTACTGGATAGTCACAGCTGATCTTATAGATGGAACTAAGGAAGTGGAAGTTTATTGAACCATAAATGGGGGAGAAGAGTCATTTTATCCAGAGCCTGCCATGGGCCTCCCCATATGGGTATCAGGACATGAAAAAGTTGCAGTCCCTTCCCAGAGGCTCTTCCTATCTGGACAGTTTTGTAAATGACAGTTGATATTATAAAATAGTGCTTTTTATGGGCACGGAGGCCGGTCTCCTAGAAGAGAGCACGTTTGAGTTCCTTCCTGAATGGTGAGTTGGATTTGATTGCACGATGGCATTGGGAAGCTGAGGTGCAAAGATGTTCCCAGTACGGGGAGGAAATAGCAGACGCGAGGGCAAAGAGTTATGAAAGGGTCCAGCGTTTGAGGAGAATGTGGATGAACATACCTTGACCATTTTAGGAATATTTAAAAACTAATTGTACTTTAAGAACTAAGTATTCTTAAAGCTAAACATACTTTAAAAACACAGTGATAGTAAAATTTCTATTTAATTGGAATAATAATAAATTTGTTTTCTATAAGTTAAATTTTTATAACTATTAGCCTTTTAAAATTTCATTTATTTTTAAAATTAAACATTTTAAATTAAATTTCCCGAACTTACTCATAACCAAAATTTTGTACCCATCCACCAAAATCCCCCCATTTTCCCTACCTTCCAGCCCCTGTTAACTACCGTTCTACTCTCTATTTCCATGAATTTGACTTCTTTAGATTCCACATATAAATGAGATCATTCAGTATATGTCTTTCTGTACCTGGCTTACTTCAGTTAGCATGATGTCCTCCCAGTTCATCTGCGTTATTGCAAATGGCAGGATTTCCCTTTTTAGGATTGAATAATATTCTTGTGTGTGTATATATATAGGGTAAGAATTCCTTAACCCGAATACCTGGAACCAGAAATGTTTCAGGGTTTGGATTTTTCCAGATTTTGGAATATTTGCATAAACATAACGAGAGGTTTTGGGGATGGAGCCAAGTCCAAACATGTAATTCATTTATGTTTCACGTACACCTTATATACATAGCCTGCAGGTAATTTTATTTTTTTTCTTGGGGGTGCTGGGTAAACTGTGTTGTGTGCCTGCGTTTTGACTGTGGCCCTTCCCATGAAGTTAGGTGTCGAATTTTTTACTTGCAGCATCATGTTAGTGCTCAAAAATTATCAGATTTTGGAGCAATTTGTATTTTGTATTTTTAGATTAGGGATGCTCAGCCTTGTATATGTATGTGTGTGTGTGCTTGTGTATGTGTACATATCACACATATCACATTTTCTTTCTTTTTTTTTTTTTTTTTGAGACAGAGTCTCACTCTGTCGCCCAGTCTGCAGTGCAGTGGCACGATCTCTGCTCACTGCAAGCTCCGCCTCCCGGGTTCACGCCATTCTCCTGCCTCAGCCTCCCGAGTAGCTGGGACTACAGGCACCCACCACCACGTCCGGCTAACTTTTTGTATTTTTAGTAGAGACGGGGTTTCACCGTGTTACCCAGGATGGTCTCGATCTCTTGACCTCGTGATCCACCCCGCGTTGGCCTCCCAAAGTGCTGGGATTACAGGCGTGAGCCACCACTCCCGGCCACATATATTCTCTTCATTCATCAGTGGACACTTAGATTGTTTCCATATCTTTATTAGCCACTTTTAAATGGAAAATTTTAAATTTCCTTTTTATTCCACATTTGATGGAATTTTATGGAATTCATTTATGGGACACTGTAATATCTATGTGAATATCTGCTACTTAATGAGGGAAAAAAATCACGTTGATTCAGTGCTTATCAGAGGAAGAGGATAACATGCAGTGCGGTATTTTCAGTTTCTTAGAAGCAAATCCCATTCCATAGGGGGCTTCGCAGTTACCAGTAATTTACAAAATTAAAAAAAAACCCAACCAACCATCCTACAGAATCTTTCTGAACCTTTTTCTCCAGAGTTTCTTTGTTCTCTACACTTGCAGGTACTTCTCAGATGCCCGTGGTCATGGGGTGATCTTAGTCTTTCTTAGCCCATCCCTTTGTCTAATTGCTGTAAGACATCCTATCCCACACCCTCATGCTGAAGAGTCCTATTGTGACTTTTCAAATGACCCGTGATGTAATGTGGAATGAAGGTAGAGTCTGAGTAACACTTGGAATCCCTGGAGTACTAAAGTTTGTATCAGCCCTTGTAGCCTGCTCCCTGGAGGACCCAGCTGCCTAATCCTGAGTTCATTAGAACCTGGGCCCTGACCGGAACAGCTCACTCTGGGTGTTACTGTCCTGTGACGCACCTGCGTGGGAAGGGCCGCCCTCGCAGACATCATGTTCTCTCTAAGATTCATAGGTGGTTCTAAAATCACACCCAGGTGCTCTCCTCGAAGGGCAGGGGAAATAAAGGTTTTGAGGTTTCTGATTTGATTAATTCTGGGCTATGGGAAAGCCCTCCGATTTATATATGACAATACAAGTTGTTCTTTGTAGAAATAAAAAGTGCAAATTTTCCTTCCTAGGGAAAAAATTATTTAGTAGCATACAGCTGATATCTATGTAATTTGAGAAGTGTAAAAATGGCATTATGTTTCTCAATAGGGTCACTTGGGGACATAAAATGCCTCCTTCCTAGGGTGGTGTGAGGGTGACCATCAGTGACACCAGCCTCTTGGAGTTGGAGTCACGCTGGGCAGCCCTTGAGCCCCTGCGGAGGCTGATCTGACCCACAAGGTAGTTGTTTTTTTCAACCTCTCTCCTTTTTTTTTTCTCTTTTCTTTTTTCCTTCCTTCCTTCCTTCCTTCTTTCCTTCCTTCCTTCCTTCCCTCCCTCCCTCCCTTCTCTCCCTCCCTCCCTCCCTTCTCTCTCTCCCTCCCTCCCTTCTATCTCTCCCTCCCTCCCTCCCTTCTATCTCTCCCTCCCTCCCTCCCTCCCTTCTCTCTATCTCTCCCTCCCTCCCTTCTCTCTATCTCTCTCTCTTTCTGTCTCTCTCTGTCTCTGATGAAGTCTCCCTCTGTTGCCAGGCTGGAGTGCAGTGTGCGATCTCAGCTCACTTTAGCCTCCGCCTCCTGGGTTCAAGCCATTCTCCTGCCTTAGCCTCTTGAGTAGCCGGGACTACAGGTGTGTACCGCTATGCCCAGCTAGTTTTTGTATTTTTGGTAGAGACAGGGTTTCACCATGTTGGCCAGGATGGTCTTGATCTGACCTCATGATCCACCCACCTTGGCCTCCCAAAGTGCTGGGATTACAGGCGTGAGCCACTGTGCCTGGCCTCTTTCTTTGTTTCTTAAGAAAAGAACATTACATCATTCAATGCTTAAGATGATTTTGTAACTTTCAGCCTTAAATTTTCATATACCTTATTCCAGTTGGAAAAGTAGAATGAGGCTTTTCCTTTCTTCTGGAAAGTCTTCAAAAGGGCCATGGACCCTGTAGAAAATCCCATTTGAAAATGACAGCCTGGAAAGAGCTAAGGACAAGGGCTGGACTCCCTGATACATTAGCACCTCTAACTTGTTTCATTTACTAAATCACGGATTAATCGGGTGGTTCTCAGTGCCAAGCACATAGTCAGTGCTGGATCCCTGCTCTTGAGAAAGGATCTTTCATCGAAGGAGCCCCCAGGAGTAACCACCAGTTTACTACAAATGCCAGGGCTGGGGAGCACGTGAAAAACACCAGAGGGATGGAGTGCCACGTGACTGCAGGGTGGATCACCCAGCGTCTTCAGTGCATTGTCATTAAAATAAAATCGACTTAAAGTGGCCTAAGAGAAAAATTGTAATTTGTGGACATGACTTGGATCCTGATTCAAGTAAATCAGCTACAGAAAGTCACTTATGAGACAGGAAAATCGGGACACTAATGAGATATGAGCTTTATATTAAGGAATTGGTAATGATGTGGGGTGTGATACTGAAGTTGTGCTGATCTGTTGGTGATAAGCACTGAAGTGTTTGTGGGCAAACTAATTTTTGCTTGTGATTTGCTTTAGCCATCTTGTGAGGGCTGGGGTGTGACTGCATGTACAATTGTTGAGATTGGATGAGAAAGTATTTTTACATATAGTGAAACATCACAATTCAAATGCAAAATGGCATGGCTATGTTACAATGTGATGCAGGAGCTTGGCCCAGGAAGCCAGCTGTAGTGCTTAAACTGGGTTTTGAAGAATGAATAGGTGTTGAAAATGGAAGAATCAGTTCTTTCTGGTGTGCAAGAGGAGATACTTGGTAGGCAAAGTGTGGGTCACCTGGTGGTTTTGACCTCGAGTTCTTTCAATTCACTCATCCTTGCATTTGCTCACACAAGGTTTTTCAAGTTCCTGTTGCGTGTGTCATATGTCGTGACACATATGTATGGTTGAGTCTCACAAAAGTCCCAGGCTGCCATGGGAAAGTACCACAGACTGAGGTGCTTACACAGCAATTTATGCCCTCACAGTTCTGAAGGCTGGAAGTCCAAGATCAAGGGCTCAGCAGGGTTGGTTTCTTCTGGGGCCTTTCTCCAGCGCTTGCAGACAGATGCCTTCTTGCTGTGTCTTCATAAGGTCTTTTCAACGTGCACACCCTCCTGGTATCTCTTCCTCTCTTAAAAGGCCAGCAGTCCTATTGGATTAGGGTCCCTGATTCATTTTAACCACCTCTTTAAAGACCTTTTCACTGTCACATTATGAAGTACTGGGTGTTGAGACTTCAACATATGAATTTTTTTGGAGGTAGGGCAAGGACACAATTTAGCCCATAGCAGATGGGATGCACTTCATGGTGTAATCAGTACTATATAAGCACTTATGACTTATTCACAGAATAATGAGTACTGTCTAAGATGCTAAGGGAACTTGGAGGGAAGAGCGTTTAACTGTCCATGGAGCCATCCAGGAGGTCTTCCTGGAGGAGGGGCTTTTGAAGAGCTTCTTGAATGAGAGATCTTACCTCACCCACTGAGCACTGCTAGAAGAAGAGGGAGTGGTGGAAGGCAGTTCCCAACACTGAGGGGGAGAGGGCAGGCAGGGAAGGGAGCGAGCGGGACTCTGTTAGTAGTGGAGGGCTGTGATGTCAGAATGGGCCTGAAAGGAGAGTGGGTGCTGAGGTCTCATTCAGTGGCAGGGCCAGGGCTGAGAGGGAGGGAGAAAGAGCACACACATCCCCACTCTTCATTCCTGGGCCTCAGCTTAGCAGAGGATGCAGTGATAGAAACAGGGAAAGGAGTGTGGAATTTTATCTAAAGCTGTGCTTAATTACCAAAGTAAAACATATTATAAAAGTTCAGATGTTATAGAAATTAACCCTTCTCACCCCCGATTCTACTCCCTAAAAGTGTTAATAATAGTTGTGTCTCACCTTCTGGCCCGCTTCTTAAGATGCTATTTGAAAAAAACAAAAGTGTGTGTGTGTGAGAGAGAGAGCGAGCGAGCAAGCACACAAGCAAGCTGGCAGTAGAGGGAGGGAGAGAGAGAAAAACAGGATTTGCTTTCCTGACTCCTCACTCTTCCCTCCCTCTTTCCTTCCTTCAGAAAAAGGGGGGTTTGCACAGTTTTTATTCAGTATGCATTTTAGTGTTTACAGTTTATTTTTGTCAGCATGCTTTTTACTGGTGTTGTCACTACCTAGACAATGGCTGAATCCTGTGCATGCTTAATAAAATGCTGGTGAACCTGTTAAAAAGGCAATATGTAATTAAATTGTCTAGTTATGGCACTGAGATGTATAGCAAGGTTTTTATGTTGATTACAAAGACAAGTAGCAGTTTGGACTAGAGGAAAAACCTTAGAGAAACACCTGGGCAGACCTTTTAGAGAATGGAGTACTGCTGGATTTAAGAGGCTAGCATTAAATATATCAAGAAAACCCTTTACAAACCTTGTCACAAATTTACAAAATTTGTCACTAATCGAATTCCTATATGTTAGAATTTTTAGGCAGCAGACTGTAAATCTTAAATTTATATTAATATTTGCCCGGCTATGGGCCAGGTGCAGTGGCTCACACCTGTAATCTCAGCACTTTGGGAGGCCCAGGTGGGCGGATCATGAGGTCAAGAGATTGAGACCATCCTGGCCAACATGGTGAAACCCCGTCTCTACTAAAAATACAAAAAAGTAGCTGGGTGTGGTGGGGTGTGCCTGTAGTCCCAGCTACTCGGGAGGCTGAGGTAAGAGAATCACTTGAACCTAGGAGGCAGAGGTTGCAGTGAGCCGAGATTGCACCACTGCACTCCAGCCTGGTGACAGAGTGCAAAAAAAAAAAAAAAATGCATTATGGCTTTCTTCTATTATTTTAGTAAGCTTTGATACATTTTTGGCACCACATCATCAATTTTTGATAATGTCCATTCCCATATGTCCCAAAGATATAGGATTGGAGTTGAGTGGGGTGGTGGATGAGGGAACAGAGAGGCATTTGGTGGCCAAGTTAGGCCTACAGCCCTGTCATCCTGACCCATGGCCTTGTTGCTTCCTTTTCTGGCTGTAATTTGCTTCTCATTATATATGGATGATGTAGGGTAAACACACCTGCCAGCAATAACTTAAGCAGACCCTTAGAATGACCTTGTGTGGCAGACGTACCTGAATGTGTGTTCCCAGCTAGGGAATCCAGAAGTTGCCAGCCTGGAGATTCAGTCCTTGTCTTTAAGGAGCATCTGAGTCCCTGCAGCTTGTCTCGTGGAACAGGTGTGATTGAGGCCCTGAGTTTTGGGTTGCATGAAGGATGCCAGGTGGAGGTCCTTTGTCAGGGAGTGTGTTCAGTGAAAATGCTACATGAATTGCATGATGCTTGCAGGCGGGTGCGGGTCTCCTGTCCAGCCCGCTGCCACTGGACTCTCTCCCTTCTCTGTAAGCCCCTAATAAAACCCTGGCTGGCTCTGGATCTCTTCAGCCTCTTGAACCTGGTGCCTCCCCTAGTACAGTTAATAGGGGTTTCGCCCATCGATTGACCTACTGCTTGCTATTTCCTTCTTTTCTCAGTTCTGGAGTATTTGAAGGCAGAAATCATTATTCCAGAACCTAGAACTGACAGACCTTAAACTCTAATCAGTCACTTTTCTCCTGCAAACACCTGCCTTGGCCACTCTTTGGCTTTCTAGAGAATTAGAAATTAGTTCTGTTTTTTCCCTCGTGTTTTCATTAATCAGCTTCTAATTAACCTACTAACCAGCATTAATATATGGAATTGATATAATTTCAGCCTAGTGCAGAAAAACTTGATACTTTTACTTTTCAGGACAGCTTTATCTTGAGTGAAAAATCTAATTGCAGTGAGGCTTTTTGAAGCTGCTTCAGCTGTTTCTAAACCCTGCCTGGGAACCACTGTGCACTGGATGATTAAGAGACAGCTGAGGTCATCTCCTTGGACACCTTTGAGTTTCGGATTGATAAACACATCTAAGCTGCTCAGTATCAGTCCACATGGGTTGAACTTTGGCCAAACCACTCAAAGAAACTTGTGTAGCTTTGTTCAGTATCTGAAACCAGCCTTTTCCCACTTGAATAAGGTTCTCTTCCAAGTGGTTCACTAGGAATGAAATATAGCTAGCTCTGCCAGAATTCCCTCAGACAGCGCTGACCCCGTGCTGTGTTGGGCTGGCACTGCCGCCTCCGTACTCTGAACGGGAGATCCACTTGCAGGCCTCTGCTGGGCCTCCTTGGTCAGGGAGGGAGGAGGGAAGGGTAAGACAAGGCATTTGAGAGCTCTGAGGCCTATGCTAATCCATGCTTTTTTGTTTTTCTTTTTAAATAAAAGGAAAAGGACAATTGCCTTAGCTCTGGCTACAGACTAGGGATCTGGAGTGGTTCTCTCCATGTGTAACACAGATTAGATTTGGTTATGATACACACCCGAGTCCAACATCTGCTCATTACTGAAGCCAGGTGACACTATTCAACAAGGCTTTTTTTTTTTTTTCCCTCCTGTGCTAACATCTAAGAGAAGCAGTAACGTTGAAAACAAACTTGGTGTGTGTACATTCATGGGCTTGCTTCTTGATGTAGCCTGACATGGTTCCTAGCTGATTTGAGAGGTTGGAGCCGGCCACCCAGGGTGGCAGATACCCCAGACAGATGGCATCAGCAGATGCGATTTGCAGAATGCGACTGTCAAGGTTCTAGCCCTTTCGTGGTGATCTTTGTCAGGAGAAGGAGCACTCTGGCTTTAAAATCAGACAAGTGTGCATTCAAATTCTGGTTGTGAGACATCTGGTCATTTGGTTCCTGGGCTGAATGATAAGATGTATCTCCCAGGGTTGCTGTGACGATTCTTGCAGCTGATGCTAAGGTGAAGCCACGGCGAGTGTCTCACTGGAATCAGAACATGTTCTTCTCCCAGCCTGTCACCGTTTCTATCATTTGGACAGTGGGAGAGGAGGGATTCCCTGAGCCTCCTGAAGGCTGACTTTAGTCTCTTGGTGACTTCAGTTTTCTGGACAAATAGGCCACCTCAAAAACAGGTTGAGTGACAGCACCCAGTGGTATTATGTCCACAAAGCTCACAGCCTTGGGCTGTCATCAGAACAAGGCTCATAACTCCCTTCTTAACCCTGAACTGCTCCTCTGGAGTTGCCTTAGTCAGGGACCTCATCACTGGACTTCCCTCTCAGATGCTGATAGTTGGAGGAAACCAGCCCAGGTGCAGCAGAAGACACTGCGCCAGCACCACACAGGCATTGGGGATGCAGAATCGGCCACGACTGCTTGCAGGGGGGCATCTCACTGCCTGGCCCTGCGCCTGGGACAAGTAGTGTGGCCTGGCAGTGCTCAGCACACTCGCCCAACACTGCAGCTAAGTGCTGCTGAAAACACTGGAAAACCCTGGGTTGTGGCTTTAGTGGAAAAAAAGCAAATTTTAAGGTTACAGAGAATTCAGATAATCCCTTGGATTTTGCAGTGGTAAAATTTTGTAGTATTAAGGATCCACATTAAAATGAAGAGATACGTACGGTATCAGTGTTAATTGCCTTCCAGCCCTCCCTCCTTTATTTCTAAAGGGAGATGCACGTAGTGCTAGTGAAGTACTTTTAGAGAAAAGCACACACTCCTTCTGTATATTCCTGTCCTGAAGCTGGCTGTAGAAAATCCTTGAATCCTTTGGTGAGGGCCTTCTACAGTCCAAGTGACCGTATAGGTGTTTATCTTTCAGGCTGATACTGTTTTTTGCACAAAAGTGTATACTTTCCTGATGGATTTCGATCACTGATTATAATTAAGACCTGCTTTGAAATGCTCTTCCTTAACACAGGTTTTGAATAAGCTAAGAGCCCCATGTTAAACTTGGGCAGTCTTCATTTAAACCCAGAGAGAGAGATGTTGACCACCATGTTTTATTCTACTTAGGGTGTACACTTAACACATTGACAGTTTGTCAGTGGAATGCTTTTCTCAAGGAAAACATCGCATGCAACCTTCACGTTTTACACTTGAATCCCAGATGGCCACTGGCACCTTTCAATGGATTTTCAGTAGCCTCACTTTTGTTGGAGCTGCTGCATTAGTTCAAGTCCTGCTCCGTTCTGTCTGGCTTTTCCTTTACTGATTGTGCTTGGAGAGGCCGTGTTCTGACTTGCCCACTGTGCCTAGTATCAAAGGACTCAAGTTCTAAATCCAGCTCATTGTTCTTTTGCGGGGTCTGGTAGAGAAGCTGCTCAGGCTTTTGGTTTGCTGTTGGCATAAGGAGTCTCTCCTCTGTTCGCATGCAGAAGAGATTAGAGATGTGCAAAGCCCACTCATCCGGAGTCCAAGGCCTAAGTGATTCCTCACTCTCCAGTCGGTTGGGAAAAACCTTTAGTGTCACTGAGAAAGTGAACTCCTCTGTACATTTGGGCATTAGAATCCATCCTGGCAGTGTATCAGAAGGATTAAATCATATTACTCATGAGACACAGGGCACACAGGGGGGAGGCCTGTATTTGGACAGCCCAAACAACTGCATAAAACAATTCCTTGCATTTGCCTGTGGAAGGCAGACTCTGGGCAAATTCACTTCCCAGTTAAAATCTTAACAACACAACTTAACGTTTATAATAGCCCCTGAAAATGACACATACAGAGGTGGTGTTTGGGGCATGGTACCCAGCACATTGCCCTTTGCTGATGTTCAGTGGTGTCAGCATGAGAAACAAGAACTCTTGGTCAAGAACTGAGTTCAGATTCCAATACTTCCATCTCGAGAGGACCTGTCATTTTATTATAAACACTTAACAGAGAGAAGGGCAATCTGCCTAGTATACGTTTGAACTTCTTGCCCAAAGATGTATTCCCACTGTGTTTGGCCATCACCTTTTCCTTGCCTTAAATTATATCTGTATTAAAATGATGCGGCCTTTAAAACAGTGCTAGAGAATACATAAAAAGGAATTAATTTTTAAATCAAAATTTATGAACTTGCCTTATAACATTTTTATGATAGCCCTATTTGAATTATCTTCTTATCTTTGACTAAAATAGAATTCGATTTTTCTATGGGGTATTTAACATTTTGGATCATAATCATGCTAGGGATGAATTAATAGATCTTCTGTGAGTGAACTGTCAAGACAGATCCCCATTGGGTTTGAAATGTAATTAAAAATGTCAGTGAACTCACTTGAAGTCCACAGAGTGCTCCAGGGTCCCCTCGAAAACGTTAGTCAAGGACTGAAAATACTTACCAAGTGCAGTGAACATAACGCAGCTGCCAGCTCTCCACAACCAGGAGGGCGCTGGTCACCTTTGTCAGGTGCCTCTCATCTTAACTTCCTTCTAGTTTTGGAGTGTTCGTCTCAGAAGTCTTGAAACTAGGGGTGCTTTTTAGCCCAAGGCTATGGGTCCGGTTGGTGGCTTCTCAACAAATGGCTGGTGCAACAGACCTCCAAGAGAGGAACGAGTCTCTAAACAATATCCATGCCCTTTGTAACCCTTCTCCGTCATTAGACTCTCAGACTGGCCACCTTTCCAATGGGCAGACTCCCTTTTATTTCTGGGAGGCTTTTAAAGGTGGGGCTCATTGGGAGGAGGAAGTCTGGAAGAGACTGGGAGCTCAGGTCCCTTGATTATGGGCTGGCTGTTCCCCCACACCCCATCACCTCCTTCCACCTGCTGTTCACCGGGTGTGTGGTTGGCCCTCCCCAACCCGAGTGTCGGAGCTTGCCCAGGGAATGAAAGGTGGGAAGAGGGAGTACATGTGTGTTGATGGAGGTCTTTAGGCACAGAGCAGCTTTAATCTGGGATATATTTAAAACATTGGTTTCAAAATACATAAAATTAGCCAGGGGTGGTGGCATGCCTGTGGTCCCAGCTAATGGGGAGACTTAGGCAGGAGGATCACTTGAGCTCAGGAGGTGCAAGTTGCCGTGAAGTAAGATCGTACAACCACACTCCAGCCTGGGTGACAGAGGAGACCCTGTCTCAAAAAAATAAATAAATAACAAAAAAACCCATTAGTTTTAGGCAAATAAATAACCAGTTATTTTTAAAAGTGGTTACTTAAAATCAAAGAAGCAAGCAGACCTAATATATGCTTCTTTCTTTTTAGATTTCATGTGTTCTTTGTATACAAGCGACGTCCCAGATTATAATTCTCTGCTGAGATTTGAGTTGGATTTGAGGATTTGGAGAATCCCTGCAGCTTTGTAACTTCAGAGGTGTAATTAGCTGAAAACATCATCGTTTTGAAGAGTTCTGCGTTTTGCCAGTCACCTCTCAACTGTGTGCCAAAGGTAAGTCTGCAGTTTTCTGCTTAAAACAGAAGTTGCAGCTTTTTGCTTCAAATGCTTAATTTGGACAGTAAGTTTAGTAAAATATCAGTCAGTGTAGCCTTGATTTGTTGAATCACATTAAATTTAAGCTTTCAATGAGGGAGAAAATTAGATTATCTCTGTTCCTGCTTTAGTGTGTGATGGTTCTGAGTATGTAGCCAGGAAGCAGGATGGTAGACACCTACAACCTGTAAGATGGTACAGGTACCTCCACACTCAGATATTACTGACTCTTGAATCCATAACGAATCCTGGTCCCTGTATTCTGTATGGGACAGGGAGTATAAGGATAAATAACCACTTTTCTGGTGCTTTCAGTCTAGGAAAAGTTGGATTCCAGCTTTGATGCTGAGAAGATAAATCTGTGTCAAAGGATAGCTGGGCATGGTGGCGTGCACATGTAGTCTCAGCTATTCGGGAGGCTGAGGCAGGAGAATTACTTGAACCTGGGAGGCGGAGGTTGCAGTGAGCCAAGGTCACACCACTGCACTCCAGCCTGGGCAACACGGCAAGACTTGGTCTCAAAAAAAAAAAAAAACCTACATCAAATGAGATGCAGACAGATGAAGGATTCTCAGGAAGGTTTTACCTGTTCATATGAAAAACCTACTTGTGTATGTTACAATAAAATCATAACTGTGATGCAACATGTGGATTCTGGGACCCAGTGGTGCTATCACCACAGGCACCAGACAAAAACATGTCACTGTGCAACAAAAATATTTCTTAGCCCTAACATCTTAAGACATTTAACTTAAAATATGAATTGCTGTTTGTAGTCCAGTTAATCCGGTGTTCTCTTTCTGGCTGGGCAGTAAGAAGTGCTTTATGAGAAGACACATTTTCACCTCCAGAGCTTTGTCTCAGAATGAACTGCAAGAATAACACTAGCTTTCCTTAAAAACTTTTAATTTGCTCAAAAAAATTTACAAGAAAAAAAACAACCCCATCAACAAGTGGGCAAAGGATATGAACAGACACTGCTCAAAAGAAGACATTTATGCAGCCAAAAGGCACATGAAAAAATGCTCATCATCACTGGCCATCAGAGAAATGCAAATCAAAACCACAATGAGATACCATCTCACACCAGTTAGAATGGTGATCATTAAAAAGTCAGGAAACAACAGGTGCTGGAGAGGATGTGGAGAAATAGGAACACTTTTGCACTGTTGGTGGGACTGTAAACTAGTTCAACCATTGTGGAAGACAGTGTGGCGATTCCTCAGGGATCTAGAACTAGAAATACCATTTGACCCAGCCATCCCATTACTGGGTATATACCCAAAGGAATATAAATCATGCTGCTATAAAGACACATGCACACGTATGTTTATTGCAGCACTACTCATAATAGCAAAGACTTGGAACCAACCCAAATGTCCAACAATGATGGACTGATTAAGAAAATGTGGCACATATACACCATGAAATACTATGCAGCCATAAAAAGTGATGAGTTCATGTCCTTTGTAGGGACATGGATGAAGCTGGAAACCATCATTCTCAGCAAACTATCGCAAGGACAAAAAACCAAACACTGCATGTTCTAACTCATAGGTGGGAATTGAACAATGAGAACACTTGGACACAGGAAGGGGAACACCACACACTGGGGCCTGTTTTGGGGTGGGGGGAGGGGGGAGGGATAGCATTAGGAGATATACCTAATGTAAATGACGAGTTAACGGGTGCAGCACACCAACATGGCACATGTATACATATATAACAAACCTGCACGTTTTGCACATGTACCCTAGAACTTAAAAGTGTAATAAAAATATATATATATAAAAAGATTTTATTCCTTATACTGTAAGATTTTTCCTGTACATCTTACTATCAGCTTATAAGAAATATATATTTCCAACATGGTATATTTAACAGAACAAAATAGAAAAGATTGTTAAATCAAGTATGAAAGCAAACCAAATTTTAATCAAAGCATAACCTAAATTAGTTTTGGTGTCCAACTTTTAGGTGATATGTCTTCTGGTTGTATGAAGAGCAAATGAGAATATTACAGTGGACATTTGTATAAAAAAACTTTAATTTGCTTCTATTATTTGCAGATTGTTTTAAAGTAATCTTGAAACTATCATGTTGGACTATGGAATCTTTTGGTGTGGTGGTTTCTGGAAATTTTCTCCTTTAATATTAAAAGTTAGAATTTCCTCTTACTTGGTCTGCTACTACTACAAACACATCTTGTGAATATGTTCTTTCTCTTCGACCACCTTAAAAGAAAAATCTCTTGGAACCTTTTCAATTTCAGTTATGCCCCTTTGATGTGTGGTATTTAGAACAGCATAAGATTAATATGCAATAAGGATAGGATTAAGTGTCTTAGTGTTCTCGTCGTGTTACGCTTTATGTTATCTTTTGGAGAAAATGCCATATTGTCCCGTTGATTTAGGGTGTTGTGTGTTGTGATTTCCAGAGCTAGCTCCTGGTCGGCAGTCGGGGGTTGGCACTCACACTGCATACCTGACTTCACCCCAGCCATTGTTGGCTCTTCTAGCTTTGGGTCCCCTCATGCATTCATAGGGCATTCCCAGGTCTCTCTTCCAGACCTTGTGCAAGACAGACACCATCGGGGTGTTCCTGTTCCAAACCTAGGAGGTTTATCTTACATAAGAAAACTTCTCAAACCCATGGTAACTCCGTTTTCTTTAAAAAAAAAAAAAAAAAAGTCATTGGGGTAGAACTTTTTAAAACAGTCATTTGCAAATGCAGTCATGTATCAATCCACTTGTCAGATTTCAAGGGAATGGAGTATAAGCTAGAAATGACAGATCTTCTGATTGGATCATCAGAACTCATTAATAATTTATTAGCATCAGAGTCTGTCACTACTTCTTTAGAAAGGTCTTGATCGTCAGTGACATTAGCAGACCTGAAGCTGTTGTTGGTGCTGGTTGAGAAGGTGGTGAGGCAGGGGAGTGTGGCATGCTCACCCAGCAGCTCAGTCTGCAGGAGCTCCCAACACACGGGTGCCACGTAGACAAGACGGTACATGGAGACCATGAGAGCTGGCTGGCTTACAAAAATATCTACCCATGTAATTTTAAAGGATTACTTTTATTTCATAAGTTTATAAGTTCCACACAAAACCTTGATTCACCTATTAAAATTTACTTTTGTGGTTTAGAAAAATGTTCATTTGGAAAATCGTGAGATGTAGCCATTCATATAATAAACATCTATTGTGAACACCCCACCTGTATTTTGGGCTATTTTTCTTGCAGTGACTGTTGTAGCAGTTAAAAAAAAAATAGATAAAATATAGTCCCAGCCACCTTTCCCCATGCCCTTTCAGGATGGGACCCTGACAGTTTGGGACTGTGCTAACTGCTGTAGTGGAGGTTCTTACAGCCAGTCCCTAATACTTGAGGCAGGGATCAACTGACCCTTTAGGGGACAGTATGGAAAAGCCAGGAGATGTTACGTTGGGAATAAGTTTTAAAGAATGAGGAGACGTGTACAGAGGTATAATGTGTTTCCTTGGAACAGGGCAGGCTGATTGGACCAGCTGGGCCATGGTTCCTGGAGACTGCAGGTCATTCAGACAATACTGGCTTGGGGACCAGGCATTTGCCATTTGGTCGGTGGTCCTTGAAGTGCCAACAGGGAAAGCAACAGCTCGGTCAGCCATACACTTCGGCATGTCAGAAAGAAGTGAAATAAATGCTGGCCTGGTAGAACAGTAAGCGGGATGTCAGCCTTGGATGCATTTCCCAGTTATTGGACACTCAAGGTTTGCGTGCCTGGGGCTGGGCTGAGAGCAGCTTGAGGAGGATGGCGGTGTCTGAGGGCTTGAGTAACGTCTCAGCCCATTTCCACGTGGTGCATTTCCCTACCCTGTTTTCTGGTCTCCCCATTGAAGTTAAGGAACAAAGTCTTGGGACCCTGCGGCTCTGACCCTGCCTTCTTTGGGGGAGCGGAGACCATAGGAAGAGCCAGAAGGCCACCAGAGTTGTCATTTTGGCAAACGCATAATCTGCACTTAATTCTTCCCGTGTGTACTTGAAAAGTGACTGTAATTGATTGTTGGAGGCTGGCCATTACTAGGGACGGAAGATGCAAAGGGCCTTGTCTGCTATGCTGCAGATTCGTTTGACTTTTGAAAAGCTTTTGGAGGCTTTTTCATGACAGACATGTCCTAATGGACAGAAGGATGGTGTAGTGGGATAGGAAGGACAGTGGCTTAGATGACACAACTCAAGTTTGAGTAAACAGGACGGGATTTCACAAACCGAGTCAGTTGGTGATGTGCATGTCCAGCGTGTAAATGTCAGCAGTGAGCCTACACACATCTTTTCCATTTTGTGATAGAAGCAGCAGCAGCTGTGTTTAACTGAGCAGTGAGCATGAGAAGATGAAACATTGAGCCTGTCACTCTTACATCCATAAAAACGCTATCCAGTAATATTTATTTAACTACTAAAGTTTACTACTTCATATTATCCTCAATTTATTTCAGAACAATTTTTCCTAGGGTGTGTACACTTGGAAAAGTCATCTGGAATTTACTACTCACTTTTATCATATCCTGGTTGTTTGGTATTTTGGAGATTGCTGGTAGCTGACTTTGCCCCCAACAGGTTATTTAGAAAGATTTTTTACACGCAAAGCCCAGTGCTCAGTCATTAAGATTTTAGGGCTAAAGCTTCTGTTGAGGGTGTAGCTCTGGAGGTCTCATGATACCTGGAAGTAACTTGTGGAGTTTCCGCCCAAATAAATGGGCCCATCTCAGCCTCCTTCTGCCGCACTCTGGACCCCTGGGTGATCTGGGGGAACAGTCTCTGCAGTTTGGACTGATTGTTTCTTCTGTACAGTGTACCGAATATAAAGAGATGGCCACAGCCTTTAATGCTGCGGATAAATCTGTGGTAATTGGTTAAATAATTGCCCAGTAAGTATTGACAGCTGCTGGGAAAACATTGCCACATTGATTCCACAGTGCCCCGGTGGTGCAGTCAGTGGAAGCAGCTGTAATCTATGGGGTCATCGTTGGCAGGTGCCCGGCACAGGGCTTGTCACTGCTTGTATATTATCTCTAGTCGCAAATGCAGATGTTATTGCCCCCATTTAATAGATGGGGACACAAAGCCTCAGGAGAGGTTAAGGAGACTGTCCACAGCTGTGCATGCTCAACTGTGTGACTCTGGAGAGTCCCCTTAACCTCTCCTGTGGCTTTGTGTCCCCATCTATTAACAGCAGCCCGGGAAGCAGAAGGTCTGTTGCTTACCAGCCCACGTTCCTTCTGCTTCCCGGGCTGCTGTCTCTGACACATGATGGTGGTGACATGGTAACGACCCATTCTCCAAGTGCTTACCTTAAACTGAAATGTGAGGCTCTGGGAGATTAAATGACTTGGCCGGGGCTCCTAGGTGGCAGAGCAGGCTGGGAGCTCCCATTTCCTGACCCAAAAAAGCCTTTCTTTCTTACTGTACCAGGAATTTCGTGAGATTTATTTTTTTCTCCCCTAGAAAAATCTCCTGCAACTAAGTGCAGTTTGGAGAGTTCTTTGGAAACGTAAGGGTGTGTGAAGGAAGACTTTGGGAGGTTTGAGAAGGGGGCACCAGCTGGGAACCTGAATCCCCCGAGGGCCTCTGCTGCTCCTGAAGCACCAGGATCAGCTTAACAGCTCCTGTGGCTTCCAGCTCCACCCATGGAGGCCCAGGATGGTGCTCAGAGTCGCCTTGTGTTGGGGATCCCCAGCTTAACATCAGACCTGCCAAAAGAGAAGTTCTCTGTACAGGCCAGGGGACTTTGTATTTAACAGCCACTTCCTGTGTGCTGAGGCCATCTCTAAGGTCCCTGACGCTTCCCACAGCGCCCCTGTTCAGGGCGAAACATCATAAAATTGTGATTTAACGTTCTTGCATAGTCAATAACATAATTATTTTCTCTTAGTTGTGGTGGTGATCAAGGTTATGCCAAGCATTTTTTCTTTTCTGTCATAGCTGATACACCCTAGCAGTGTGGCTTCCTAGAAAGCTGAAGAAACAAAAACAAAAAAGCCAATTCTGTACCCCTCGACCTTCTTTTCCTTAGATAGAAACTGAATACATAACATTCCATTCATTTTTCAGTGATTCTCTGAATTGTACCTTAGAATTTACAAAGGAATTTTCGTGAATTCTCTTTAATGCCAGGTGATATGGATAGTCCTCCCCTGAATTGTATAGCAGAAAATGAGCCCAGAGAGGTTACTTTCCTTGCCTAGTACGGCCCAGCGTTGGATGGTGACCTGTGTCTCACACCTGAATGTTGGATTCCAGATACTCTGTCCTTGTCCTTAAGAGGCCCTGGGCCGGCCGTGTGGCGGATGTGTATGTAAGAGAACAGCATTAAATAAACAGGCCACACAGAGCTTGAAATGAGCGCATTGCTGCAGTTGAGGTTCTCAAACTAGGAAAAGCAGAGAGAAATTTTTCTTGACTTCCTCCAGAAAAACAAAAAGTCCTCTCATGCTGTGTGTGTGTGTGTGTGTGTGTGTGTGTGTGTGTGTGTGTCACAATGGAGGGGGTGTTGTAGGGCTTTTAGTAAACTGGACCTTGAACAGGTAATTACAAACAAGCCCCAGTAGGAGAATACTTTCTGGGATTACCACTGGGATGTACAGAACTGAAGGGAACACGTGGAACTGCAGAAGTGTCATTCAAGTTGGGCGTGTCTGGTGGAGGGTGTGGGAGGGGAGTGTGTCCCAGTGCCCTTGTGCTCCCCATTCCCGTGCTGCAGGTGCCTCACTGGACACACCAAAAGCATTTTGAGTTTGAGATTTCTGCCTATCAGAATCAATTTTCCGGTTGACTTTTATTATAACTAACGTTGAAATGGTTTCTTTAGAAATGTTCCTGGCTCCAGGATGTCAAAATGGTTATAAAACATGATGAATAAATCAGATCATAAGAGGTCACAGTTTATGGGGAATGAATTCTGGGACCATGTTAACAAAGAGTATATTAACAAGATGCCAGTTTTGGATGGAAACGAATAACCCTTAGTGCTTGTTGGGGCAGAAGGTACCCAGGCCTTCCTGTAAGGTCCGTGGCCATGGAGGCAGGCCTTGTATCTCCCTGGAAAGTAAAATATGCCTTCTCAGCTTCTCAGAGTCACACCTGACCAACAGTCACACTGACAAGTTAATTGGTGAGATTTGAGCTTGATTGCTGCCTGCAAGCAGTAAGGATGATCCTAATTATGAATCTGCTCTGGCTGTTTCGTGATCAAACGCCTTGTTCCGTGACCTTCCCGTGTGAAGGTCTACCCAGGTCACAGTGTGAACAACCCATGGTCCGGAGCAGTCCCTGGCCGGCGTGAACTCCAAGTCAGGAGTCTGCAGTGGTGACGTCCCTCTTGAGTGTCCTCAGGTAGGCTCTCCCTTACAGGGATGTGGCCAGGGACAGGGAGAGGCTCTAGAGTTGACGTTTTTAGTAGTTTTTCTAAATTGTTTATCTTTTTTGCCAACATTCCATTTTGGGTTTTGCTTGTGATTGTTACCTTATTTCACATGTGTGAGTGCCCCCTCCCTTTATTGACCACATAGCAGAATGCCCCGTCCGTAAATGTCACGTTTCCATAGAGTACTGCTTTCCACTTGGGCCCCTGACGGTGCTCACAGGGAATGAGTGGGAAATGCAGCAGATCTGACAGTGAGAGCCCAGTCACTCCTCAGTCAGACTTGTTTTATTTAGTGCCTTCCGGAATATGCCACTTATGATCTTACCCAGAGGTTATGTTGAAGATTTTGTTGTGTTCACAAAGACCAACGTCAGAAGTACTTGGGAAAGGCAGGGATCCCAGGAGCCAGAGACAGGACTGTCTTCCCTGCCTGGAGTCTGGGTCTGGTACAGGCCTTTCTTGTGGGAGAAGCTAAATGTAACCGTATCTTCCAACCTGAGAGCTCATTTAGTAACGTTTTTGTAATACATTGGTCATTTTCCCAGTCGTTAAGTACCACGTCTCGGCGGCGTGTGCTTAGAACAGAGGTCTCTGGAGGAATCACTGGGGCGTGCTCATGTGTGGGTGTTGTGCTTTCATGGCTGGGTTTTAACTTCCGGCCTTGGTTCCTTTGGCAGTGACATGGAGGGAGAGGGTAGATGAAGTTGGGTGTGTGAACTTGGAATTCTAAGGACAGTCCTGCACAGGCAGGACAGTAACACAGACCTGGTTGCCATGCCCCACAGAATTCAGTGGGAAAACATGCTCAGCATTTGTGGGACACCAGTGTCACCCTCTCCACCACTGCAGTAAGATCAGGAGCCCATCTCCCACCTGAGTCTCAATTCCAGGAAAGAGCATCAGGGATTCCCCCAAGCTGCAGGCAAGTGATGCTGCCCACATTTGTTGGCTGAGTGGGGCCAGGTATGGAGGGAGATGAGTGGGCACTCGAGGTGCTTGGGGACGGAGTGGAGGTAGACATGGCCTGGCTCCTGCCTCCTCCTCTCCCTCCAGGCTTTGGAGCTCTGTGAGTCCATGCCTACCAGCTGTAATGTAATGGGGATCATCTGGGATGCTTGGGGGTGACTTAGGATGCTCAGGGTCCACTCCCCACTAATCTCGAGTGGGCAGACAGGACCTGGGCATCTGTGCTGTTAACGCTGATCTTCCCTAAAGGGGCCTTCTACTCTAAGGGCTTTCATTTGCGAGTTTTCATGTATTCACACCTGAGATAATTCATCATAAATTCAAAAATCCCATTCCGTTACTAGTGTTTAGTTCTGATCTTTGATCCTTACAGCGAGCTGACCCTCAGTGGAGACTTGTCTTATGCTCAGAAATTTAACAAAATATAATGGAGAAGTAGGAAGCAGCACTGGGCACTGCAGCGCTTTGGAACATAGCAGATATGGGAACGCTAATAATTTCTTCCCACACCTGGTGTTTTCCACTTTGGAGATTCTGGCTTGGGGGATGGTGGGTTCCTGAAAAAGGGTCAGCAGAGAAATCACATAGCAATGTCCATGTTATCACATAGCAGAGAATGATAATTTCTCTTGTTTTATTAGAGATTTTTTACGGAGCCCTTATTTTTGCCCAGCAGGGCTATTATCTGGGTCACCAGCAAGGCACAGAGGGATGGGAAATGTTTGTAACTTTACAGAAGGCAGTAAATATACACTCTGCTCTGTCAGTTACAGTATAACCCAAAAACCTTTGTAAGGAGTTTTGTTACATAACCAGACCCTCTAGTCCTCAGGACTGGAGTTCCTTATGCAGTCATAGTGTCCTGGTGATCCGTCAGGTTTGGAGTTCCTGGCTCCATTAGATCTTGATGGAGATTCTGATTAACCAAAGTGATTGCATTACATCCTTTATAACTCTAGAGCAGATTGCTAGGATGGTCTACATCCCTTAGAAGGCTGATACTGTGTATTAGTCTGTTTTCCTACTGCAATAAAGAACTATGCGAGACTGGGTTATTTATACAGGAAAGAGATTTAATTTACTCACAGTTCAGCATAACTGGGAGGCCTCAGGAAACTTAATCATGGCAGAAGATGAAGGGGAAGCAAGGCACCTTCTTCACAGGGTGGCAAGAAGAAGTTCTGAGCAAAGCGGGAAGAGCGGCTTATAAAACCATCAGATCTCCTGAGAACTCAGTATCACCAAGACAGCATGGGGGAAACCGCCCCCATGACTCAATTACCTCCACTGGTCTGTCCATTAACACATGGGGATTATAGGGATTACAATTCAATTCAAGATAAGATTTGGGTGGGGACACAAAGCCTAACCCCACCACCCTTCGAGGACCAATTCTCTCTGCTCAGGTAGTTTGCTTGTAGTGTGGATGATATGTTAGTTGGGAGGCCTGTGATTGTGACTATCTCAGGAATGGAAAACTTAAAGAGACTTATATATAGATTACCTGATTGGTTATGTTTTTTAATGCAAAAATGTAACTAATAAAGCAAGAATTTCTTATTCCCAAATTAGAGCCAAATTCCCAATGGATTGCATGGTAAAGGGCTCTGGATTTGGGTTCTAGGCCCCCTGGATTTGGGTCATTACTGAGTTATCCTCACAGTATCCTTCTCTCTCAATTCCAAGTTCTGGCCAAGTAAGTATCCTTTCCTCTGAGCAGCTTCCCTAGCTCCTCTGCCTTATCCTGGCACATTTTAGAGACATTTTATATATGTGTATATATATATATGTATGTGTGTGTATATATATGTTGAAAATAAAAGGATGGAAAAAGATAGACCATGCAAATACTAATCAAAAGAAAGCAGAAATTGTTATATTAATATCAGATAAAGAACTTTTAAAAGTAGAGAGTTACCAGGGACATAAAAGAGTGTTCATCAAGAAGACATAGCATTCTTTTTTATTTTTTATTTTTTATTTTTTTTTGAGATGGAGTCTTGCTCTGTTGCCCAGGCTGGAGTGCAGTGGCACGATCTCGGCTCACTGCAAGCTCTGCCTCCCACGTTCACACCATTCTCCTGCCTCAGCCTCCTGAGTAGCTGGGACTACAGGTGCCTACCACCACGCCCGGCTAATTTTTGGTATTTTTAGTAGAGACGGGGTTTCACCATGTTAGCCAGGATGGTCTCGATCTCCTGACCTCGTGATCTACCCGCCTTGGCCTCCCAAAGTGCTGGGTTTACAGGCGTGAGCCACCGCGCCTGGCTGACATAGCATTCTTAAGTATGCATGCACCAAACAACAGAGCTGTGAAATAAGAAGTAAAAACTGCTAGAACTACAAGGAGAAACAGACATACCCATGATTATACTTGAAGATCTCCATACTCTTCTCAACAGTTGATAGAACAACCACACAGAAAGTACACAGAAAGTCAGCAGGGCTATAGGAACACTCACCACCATCAATTAATATTATCTAATTGACATTTATAACACTCCACCCAAAAGTAGCAGGATACACATTCTTTTTAGGCACCCACAGAGCATTTGCCATGTTAGGGCATGTCCTGGGCCAAAAAACAAACAGTAACAAATTTCAAAGCATTGAAATCATACAGAGTGTCTTCTATCTTTTAATAGAATTTCTTCTTTTTGCTTTAAAATGAGTCTCAAATGGTCACACATATTGTATGATTCCATTTATATAACATTCTCAAAATGACAAAATTACAGAGATAGAGAGCAGGTTAGTGTTTACAAGGGGTTGGTGATGGTTGTCAGAAAGGGAGGTGGGTGTGACTGTACAAGGGATAATGTCAGAGAGATTTCTGTGATGATGAAATAGTCTTGATTGGCATGGTGGTTATAGGAGTTTACACACATGATGAAATGACAGAACCATATATACTCATTATACTAATGTCAGTTTCCTGGTTTCGATATTTTACTGCAGTTATGTAGAATGTAGCCATTAGGAGGAACAAGGTGAAGAGCACAAGGGACCACTCTGCACACCCTTTGGAATTTCCTGTGAACCTATACTTATCTCAAAATTAAAAGTTTAAACTTTTTTAAAAAGAAAAAAATGTTGAAAGATCAACTCATTTCCTCTTTTTATAGTAGTTTGTAGTTTGGGATCTAAGAAGTGTGCAAGCTTACATAGCAGTAGATGAATAAGTCATAAAAGGAAGATGGAAATAGGAGAGGGGCCAGGGAGAATTGGGCACCGTTCAAGATTGCTGAAAATGTTTTTGCTATCAACGAATTTCCCTGTTCCCTGCTTTGGAACAATATGGCCTAACCATATTTTTGTTGTTGTTGTTTTGATATACAATTATAATTCACAATAATTTGCCTGTAATTAATGTTGGTCAAATTTAAAAAATGGCACTGACCACAAGAATACTACAATTAAAGCCCCATGACAGCACACTCACCCACCGCAGATCAGTGTGGAGTGCAGAATTTAAGCATGTGATAGGTAATGACTTTGTCTCGACTCTGAAGTCTAAGAAACAAGGCTGAAAACAGTAGAAGGCTCTGCAAATCATGGCAGCTACTGCAAATGAAATACCTATTTTCATGAATCTAGACACACAAGCACTAACCCTGGGGTCAAGAGACCCAGGAAGAGGTCTCAGCTTGTCTTTGATCACCTATGACATCTTGAGCAGGTCACCACTTCCCCCTTGGGGCTGCTGTAGGAGTGAAATAGGATGCTGCTGTGTTGACCTCTTAGTAAATTAGGCATGCTCTCTACAGGGAAGGACCATCACTCACTCATCTTTTCAACTGTACCCAGTGGCCACTGTCTGAAATGTCTTCTTTTAATAGAAACCATAGCTCTTAGTATGAGCTCACACACTCCATCTCTCTGAGGCTTCCACCTTTCCCAAAATAGGCATTATTTTTATTAGAGCCCAAATGAGCTGATTCTTTATTTCAGACCCCCAGCTCTGAGTGATATAGTTGGATGGAGTAGAGTGCCAGGCCTAGGGGCATAGCCATGCTGACTGGCATTTTGGGGAGGTTCAGCAAGTGCTAGCTAGTGAAGTACTCTTACTGTCCCTTTCTGCTTGGCCTGTATGCTTTCTTTTTAAAATTTCCATTTGTGATATTTGATAGGTACAAAATACGTAGGTGTCATTTATGTACTTTTGGGGCATAATAATAAGACAAATGCCTGTGAACCTACCTCCCAACTTAAAAACTAGAATATTCTCAATACTGTTCTCTACCTCCTCTTTTGCCATTGCCTTTTCCCCCAGAAGTTATTTTAGAACACTTTTAGATTTACAGAAGGCTTATGAAGATAGCCTAAAAAGTTCTCATATATTTAGCATCTAGTTACCCTTATGATGAACTAAAATTGGTCCATTATTAAGTAAGGTCTGTACTTTATTTGGATTTAAAACTTTTTTAACCTAATGTTCATTTTCTGTCCCAGGATTCCATCCAAGATGCCACACTAGTTAGTTGTCATGTCTCTTTGAGCTCTTCTTGGCTGTGACAGTTTCTCAGACTTTCCTTGTTTTGTTGACCTTGACAGTTTTGAGGAGTCGGGTATTTTTTACAAAGTCCCCCAATTGAGAGTTGTCTGATGATTTTCTCGTGAGGGTTTTGGGAGGAAGACCACAGAGGCAACATATCCTACTCATCTCATCACATCAAGAGTCCATTCTGTCAGAATTCTTCACTCCATACTGACTCCCTCTCCCCCTTTCCCTATGTACTCTTTGGAAGGAAGTCTCTGGGTGCACCCCATAGTTAAGGGAGGGGAGTTCACTGCTTCATCTCCTTGAAGATGGAGTGTCTACGTAAGTTATTTAGAGTTATTCTTCCAACAAGATTTGTCTCTTTCACTTATTTACTAGTCATTCATTCTCTTTTTGTTTTTTTGAGTTGATACATTTTGTTTTCTTCACTGGATCTGTTTACTTATTCATTCTAATTGTTCCTATTAATAGGTAAAGAGTGGTATTTTGATACCTGTATATAGTGTGTAATGATCAAATCAGGGTAATTAGCATATTCATTCCCTCAAACATTTATTTTCTGTGTTGGGAACATTCAAAATCCTCTCTTCTAGTTATTTTAAAGTCACCCTACAGTGCTATCAAACACTAGAACTTATTCCTCCTATCTAGCTGTAATTTTGAATCCAGTTAACCAACCTTTTCCTATTCCTCCCTCTCCCCACCCTTCCCCACCTCTAGTAACCTCTATTCTATTCTCTACTTTTATGCATCAGCTTTTGTAGCTCCCACGTGAGTGAGAACTCTGGTATTTATCTTTCTTTGCCTGACTTATTTCATGTAATATAATAACATTATCCAGGCTTATCCATGTTGCCATGAGTGACAAGTGACAGAATTTTATTTTTTTTCTGGCTGAATAGTATTCCACTGTGTATATGTACCACATTTTCTTTATCCATTAATCTGTTAATGGACACTTAGGTTGATTACATATCTTGGCTATTGTGAATAGTGCTGCAGTTAACATGGGAGTGCAGCTGTCACATCAATATACTCATTTCCTTTTCTGTGGGTAAATGCCCAGCAGTGGGATTGCTAGATCATTTGCACCAATGGTAAATTAGTGTTCCTCTTTGTTTGCATCCTTGCCAGGAATTTGGTGTGTGTGTGTGTGTGTGTGTGTGTGTGTGTGTGTGTGTGTGTGTTTGGTCTGATAATACCATTCTCATTGAGATGATACCTTATTGTGGCTTTGATTTGCATTTCTCTGATGATTAGTGATATTGAGCATTTTTTTTGCTATACTTATTGGCCATTTGTATATCTTCTTTTGAGAAATGTTTATTCAGATCCTTTGATCATTTTTAAAACCAGATTATTTGGTCATTTTTAAAACCAGATTATTTGGGTTTTTCTTTTTGTTTTGCTGTTGAGTTTTTGAATTCCTTGAATATTTTGGATAATAAATAGTCCCTTATTGGATGAATAGTTTGCAAATACTTTCCCCTATTCCAGAGTGTCTCTTCATTTGATTATTTCCTTTGCTGTGCAAAAGCTTTTTAGTTTGATATAGTCCCATTTGTCTATGTTTGCTTTTGTTGCCTCTGCTGTTGAAGTCTTAACTATAAAATGAAAAGATATCTCATATTCATGGATTAGAAGAATTATAATATTGTTAAAATGACTATAGTACCTAAAGTGATCTATACATTCAGTGCAATCCCTATCAAAATACAATGATATTTTTCACAGAAATGGAAAAGACAGTCCTAAGATTTGTAGGAAACCGCAAAAGAACCCTGAATAGCCAAAGCAATATTGAGCAAAAAGAACAAAGCTGGAGGCACATGGTGCTTGACTGGAAAATACGCTACAAAGCTACCAAATAAGCATGATATCTTTTTTTTTTTTTTGTCTTTTTGATAATATCATTCTATGCTGTAAAATCTTTGCCCAGACCAATGTCCTAATGTATTTCCCCTATATTTTCTTCTAGTAGGTTTATAGTTTGGGGGCTTACATTTAAGTCTTTAATCAATTTTGAGTAAATTTTTGTATGTAGTGAAAGATAGGGACCTAGTTTTATTCTTCTGCATATGGATATCCGGTTTTCCTACCACCATTTATTGAAGAGGCTCTCCTTTTCCCTAATCTATGTTCTTGACACCTTTGTTGAAAATTATTTGGCTGTGAATACATGGATTTATTTCTGGGTTCTCTATTCTGTTCCCTTTGTCGATGTGTCTGTTTTTATGCCAATACGATGCTGTTTTGATTACTATAGCTTGTAGTATATTTTGAAGTCATGTGGTGTGATGCCTCAAACTTTGTTCTTTTTGCTCAGTATTTCTTTGGCTATTTGAGGTCTTTTGTGGTTGCATACAAATTTTAGGATTTCTTTTTCTATTTCTGTGAAAAAGTCACTGATATATTGATAGGGATCACATTGAAAATGTAGATTGCTTTGGATGTAATGGTCATTAACATGGGATATCTTTTCATTTGTTTATGTCCTCTTCAATTTCTTTTATCGGTATTTTGTAGTTTTTAATGTAGACATCTTTCACTTTCTTGGTTAAATTTGTTCTTAGGTATTTGGCTTTTTTTCTTTTATTTTTAGCTATTATAAACGAGATTGGTTTCTTTATTTCATTTTCAGCTAGTTTGTTATTGGTATATAGAAGAAACACTACTGATTTTTGTATGTTGATTTTAGTATCCTGCAATTTCACCGGATCTGTTTACCAATTCTACAGTATTTTGCTGGAATTTTCCGTTTTCTTTTCCAGTATGACTGCTTTTTCTTTTTCTTGCATAATTGCTTTGGCTAGGATTATAAACAATACATTGAATAAGAGTCGTGAAGGAATAGGCATTCTTATATTTTTCCAGTTGTTAGAGGAAAAGTTTTCAGCTTTTGCCTATTCAGTATGATGTTAGCTGTGCATCTGTCGTTAAGGCTCGTATTACCTAATTTGTTCAGAGTTGTTATGAAGGAATACTGAATTTTATCAAAATGGTTTTCTACATTTATCGAGATGATCATATGGTTTTTGTTCTTCATTTTGTTGATGTGATGTATCACATTTATTGATTTGCATTTGTTGACCACATCCTTGCATTTCTGGAATGTGTCCCACTTGATCATGGTGTATTGTCTTTTTGATATGCTGTTGGATTTACTTTGCCAGTATTTTTTTTTTTTTTGAGGATTTTTGCATCTATGTTCATCAGGCACATTGGCCTGTAGTTTTTGTTGTTGTTGTGTCCTTGTCTGTTTCAGGTGTCAGGATAATACTGGCCTCTTAGAGTGAGTTAGGAAGAATTCTCTTCTCTTTTTTTTTTTTATTTTGTTTCGTTTCGTTTTTGTTTCGTTTTGTTTTGTTTTTTGGAATAGTTTGAAAAGAATTGGTGTTAGTTTGTCTTTATAAGTTTGGAAAAATTCAGCACTAAGGCCATCCAGTCCTGGTCTTTTCTTTGTTGGGAGACTTTTTTTTTTTTTTTTTAAATGGATTCAGTCTTGTTGCTCATTATTAGTTTGTTCAGGTCTCCCCTCCCCTCCCCTCTTTTTTCTTTTCTTTTTCTTCTTTTCTTTTTTTTGAGACAAAGTCTCACTGTTGTTGCCCAGGCTGGAGTGTAGTGGCGTGATCTCTGCTCACTGCAACTTCCATCTCCCGGATTCAAACGATTTTCCTGCCTCAATCTCCCGAGTAGCTGGGATTCCAGGCATGCAGCACCATGCCTGGCTAATTCTTTTGTACTTTTACTAGAGATGAGCTTTCACCTTGTTGGCCAGGCTGATCTCGAACTCCGGGCCTCAGGTGATCCACCCACTTCCCAAAGTGCTGGGATTACAGGTGTGAGCCACTGCACCCAGCCAGGTTTTCTATTTCTTTCTGCTTCATTGTCAGCAAGTTATGTGTGTCTAAGAATTTACTTGTTTTCCTTGGGTTTTCTAAGTTATTGGTGTATCATTGTTCATATTAGTCTCTAATGATCTTTTATATTTCTGTGGTAACTTGTAAAATGTCTTCTGATATTATTTATTTGATATTCTGATATTATTTATTTGGCTTTTCTGTTTTTCATAGTCTAGATAATTGGCAATTTTCATATTTTTAAATAAACAACTTTTTATTTAATTGATTTTTTGCATTTTTTTGGCCTCTTTTGTTCAGTTCTCTGGTCTTTATTATTTCTTTCTACTAATTTTGGGTTTGGTTTGTTCTCACTTTTCTAGCATCTTGATCTTTCTACTTTTTTGATGTGGGCATTTATTGCTATAAACATCCCTCTTAGCACTGCTTTTGATGTATCCCACAGTTTTTGGTATACTGTGTTTCCATTTTTATGTTGTTTCAGATTTTTTATTTCCTTCTTAATTTCTTCATTGACTCATTGTTCATTCAAGAGCAACTTGTTTAATTTGCATATATTTATACAATTTCCAAAGTTGTTATTGATTTTTAGTTTTATTCTATTGTGTTCTGAGATAATACCTGACTTTGATTTATAAAAATTTCTTATGACTTCGTTTATGACCAAACATACTGTAAATCCTAGAGAATGTCCCATGTGCTGATGAAAGGGTGTATATTCTGTAGCTGTTAGATGAAATTTTCTGTAAATGTCTGTTAGGTGAGTTTGATACATAGTGCAGTTTAAGTCTGATGCTTCTTTGTTGATTTTCTGCCTGGATGATCTGTCCAGTGTTTGTAGTGGGGTGTTGAAGCCCCCAACTGTTGTTCTATTGGGGTCTATCTCTCTCTTTAGCTCTAATAATATTTGCTTATATATGTGGGTGCCCTGTTCTTGGGTACATATATATTTACAATTGTTATGTCTTTTTGAATTCACTCCTTTATCATTACGTAATGACTTTCTTTGCCACTTTATGTTTTTTGACTTAAAGTCTATTTTATCTAAATTATATTTTGTCTGGTATAAGTATAGCTACTCTTGCTTACTTTTGGTTTTCATTTCTGTGGAAGATTTTTTTTTCATCCTTTCCCTTCCAGTCTCTGTGTGTCTTTATAGGTAATGTTTTTTGTAAGCAGCATATAGTTAGGTGGTGTTTTTTAATCCATCTGTCCAGTCTATATCTTTTAATTGGGAAATTTAATTCATTTACATTAAAGGGTTTTTTTTTCAATTTTAATTTTTTTATTTTTTTAGAGACAAGGTCTCGTTCTCTTACTGAAGCTAGAGTGCAGTGGCATGATCATAGCTCCCTGTAGCCTTGAACTGTTGGGTTTAAGTGACTGCCCCCCTGCTTCAGCCTCCCGGGTAGCTGGGCCTACAGGTAGATGTGTGCTACCATGTCTGGCTAAATTTTATTTTTATTTTTGTAGAGATGGGGTCTCATTGTATTGCCCAGGCTGGTCTTGAACTCCTGGGCTCAAGCAATCCTCCCATCCCAGCCTCCAAAAGTACTGGGATTACAAGCATGATCCACTATGCCTAGCCCTACATTCAAGGTTGTTATTGAGAGATGAAGGCAAACTCTTGTAACTATGTTAAGTATTTTCTGGTTGCTTTGTATATCCTTTGTTTCTTTCTTCCTCTCATTGTTTTTCTTTGTGGTTTGCTGGTTTTCTTCAGTGGTAATATTTGATTCCTTTCACTTCCTCATTTATGTTTTCGCACTACCAGTGAGTTTTATACTTTTGTGTGTTTCCATGATGGCAGATATCATTCTTTTGCTTCCAAATGTAGGGTTTCCTTAAGCATTCCTCATAGGGCCAGTCTACTGGTGATGAATTCCTCCAATTTTTGCTTGTCTGGGAAAGACTTTTATTTCTTCTTCCTTTTTGAAGGATAGCTTTGCTGGGTATAGTATTCTTGGCTGGTTTTATATATATATACATATATATACACATATATATATATATATACGTGTATATATATATATATTTTTTTTTTGGTCAGCATTTTGAATATATCATAGTGAACTCTCCTGGCCTGTAAGGTTTCTGCTGAGAAATCTGCTGTTATTTTGATGAGGATTCTGTTTTATTTTACTTGATGTTTTTCTCCTGCTGTTTTCAGACTTCTCACTTTGTCTTACTTTTGACAGTTGAACTGCAATGTGCCTTGGAGAGGACTTTCTTAGGTTGAATATATTTAAGGATCTTAGAGTTTCCTGGATCTGGATTCTTTCTCCCACAAAGGGAAGTTTCCTGCTATTACTTTATTAAAGAGGGTTTCTATGCTTTTCTCCATCTCTCCTCCATTTAGAAATCCCAAAATATGAATATATGTTTGCTTAATAGGATCCCACATGTCAGGTAGGCTTTCTTCATTCTTTTTTATTCTTTTTTTCTGAATTCTGGTTTGACTAGGATATTTCAAAAGACCTGTCTCTATGTTCAGAAATTCTTTCTTCTGCTTGATCTAGTCTCTTTTTGAGGCTCTCAATTTTTTTATTTAATTCATTTAATTATTCAGTTCCAAGACTTTTTGTGATAAATATCTCTGTTGAATTTCTCCATGAATTCTCATGAATTGTTTTTCTGATTTCGTTGAATTTTCCATGTTCCCATGTATCTCACTGAGTTTCCTTAAGATCATTATTTTAGATTCTTTTTTAGGCATTTTATGGATTTCCTTTTCTTTGTTCTGTTATTAGAGAATTACTGTGTTTCTTTGGAGGTTTTATTGTTTCCTTGCTTTTTCGTGTTTCTTGTATCTGTACGTTGATATCTGCACTGTTAGCGAAATAGTTTCTTTTTTTCAGTTTCATGGAGTATCTTTCATAGGGAACAGAGTTTTTTGTAGATGTATGCTATAGTATCATTTGGGTAGGATGCTTTGGGTTTGATTCTGGGTGAGCGTAAAAGTGTAGTCTTCGTATGATTTCTTGGACTGTAATCACTGTCAGTGGTGTCTGCAAGTGCCTCAGTGGCTTAAGCTGAAGTTGGTTTTGGAGGCGTGGTGTGGCTTTACTGAAAACAAGGACAGTGGGTGGGCTGGTTTTCAGGCCTCCAGGCTGCGTATGTGGCAGCTTACTGCTGGAGGGAGCAAAGTTGTTGGTGGAGGTAGTAGCAGGCCCCATGCAGTCAGCTTTCAGGCTCTGGGGAGACTGTGCATTGGCTCCCTTTGTTCTAGGGGAAGCCTTCCTTCTGTGCTGGACCACCTGTTCTACAGGGTGTAGGATGCTGCTTGGGTTCAGGTGTTGGGATTAGAGCTGCACTGCTGGGTCCAGCTGGTATCAAAACACTGCAGCTCTTTGGGTGGATACGGTGAGATGTTGACAGGACCCCAGGGATGTGGAGATGCTGGGGCCCCTAGGAGGATGCACTCTAGTGTGAATCCAGTCTCCAAATGGTGCCTTGCTGCAGCAGCCTGGGACTCAGGGAGTAGGGGCTACCCAGCATGAATGGTCTTTCTAGAGTAAAACAACTGCATGGATGCCAGGTACCTCCCTTTATGGGGCTCAAGGCCTATGATGGCTCTGGCTAAGATTGTAGGCATCTGTGGTGTGAATGTGGTCTGCTGTGGACCTTTAGCTTACTTTTTCCTATAACAGGGAGTCCCCCTTGGCTCTGAGTCAGTCCTGGCTGGCTGCTTTTCTTTCCTCTGTGCTGCCATCCTGAGCTTCTGTCCCTCGGAGGGTCTTGTTGCTTCTTTGCTGAATTCCAGTGTTCTCCCTTGGACATTTTACTTGCTGTGTGGTTATCTATTGTTTTAGTTCTTTGTGGATGAGGTGATTGCTGGGTGTGTCTCTAGTAGGCCATCTTAATGACGTCAAGCTCCTTGATTTTTAACGTTAGTTTTACCACATATGTAAGTCTAAACTACATTGTTTAATTTTGCTTGTTTTAGGGCTTTATGAAAATGGATCTATGTAGTATGCAGTCCTTTGACTTCCCCAACGCCTCCCCAATTGCATATTGTTTCTCCAAGTCATCTGTGTGATTGTGTGGGGAGTGGTGATTTCTTGGTTTTCACTTTCTTGGTATGATAGTGAATCATGTGACTATACCACCTATGTATCTTCCCTCCATCAGGGTTATTTTCTCTTCTTTAACTGTCATAAGCAGTACTGCCCTGAGCACTGTGCATGTCCCTGAGGCACAGTGCAAGAGTTTCTGTACTGCATATAAGTAGAAGTGGAGCTGCTGCCTTGTACGTATGTCAGTATTCTGCATTACAAGATAAGCCCACATTGGTTCCAAAGTAGTGATTCTGTTTTACTTTGTCCAGCACATGATGTGTATTCCCATTGATTTTCAACCTTCCTAACACATTATCAACCTTTTTCATTTTTACCCATCTACTATAAAATGGGATCGTATTGTGGTCTCAGATTATGAATGAACTTGAGTTATTTTTATGTTTATTCACCATTTGTGCTACCTGTCCTTGCAATGACTGTGTATTTTGCCTGCTGCCTAATTGAGTTATTGGTCTTTTTGTTGTTGAATTGTAGGAGTTCTTATATATTCAACACCAGTCCTGTACGATTATATGTGCTGTTTCCAACAGTTTCTTTACAAGTATATTTAATCCTATTTTGATCTATGAAAATCAATAATTCCTACATGAGAATTCACTGTTAAGCCAGACTTTCTGTTTAACTAGAACAGTCCTTTTTTTTTTTGTACCAGCAATAGATAACCACTATTTATAAACCTTAGCATTTTCAAGTCACAAGAAAATCTTGTGTTCTCACAGCTGTGCCGAAAGGGCTATATGCATTTTGTTTTGTTTCAATGTTCAGCAGCATATTTTAAAATTAAATTTTGGAGTTGATAAAGATAAATGCAAATTTTTAAATGCTGGAATTTTATTAAAATGTTTTTTTTTTTTTGGCCAGGTAACTAGTCTTAGACAATTGCCTTCTCAGTCATTTAATGAGCTTTCCTAAACTTTATCTTTCATTATCTGTGGCTGCACTAATCATTTGCTAAAAAGAATTGGAAGATTCACTCTTTATTACTGATCTGTATTTCATGAATATTTATGTATACTCCCTGTACTTTCACCCTTTTACCAAAGTAGCTGAATAATATAAAATTTAAATTTTTTAATGGAATTATTTTATGGCTCCCATATGAATAAAAGACCCCTTATTATGTAGAATAACAATGAATATATCAAGAAGTGGGATTGTTTTAAATGAAGCACCTTAAATTTGAATCCACATGCAAGGTAGGGCCTCAGTGTAGGATGGAATAGTTTGTAGGCATCTTGTATCTGTGTGTCTACTGTGGTGATGGAGACCATCAACACCTACTGATGGAGGCCGACCGTAGGCCTTTCATCCACTCTCTCTTTCACATGTTTGCTGAGTATATATATGCATGCTAGGCACCCATCTAAGTCTTGGCTTACAAAGGGACAAAGTCCTTGTCTTCAAGGAGTTAAGTGCAGTCAGAGAAAATAAACGATAAATAAATTAAAATGTGTGTGAAGTAATGGTAAGGGCCATGGAAAAAGAGAAAACAGAAGAAAGGAATGGAGAGTGGTGCGGCAGCTATTTTATATGAGGTGGGG
This sequence comes from Homo sapiens, assembly GCF_000001405.40. Lineage (NCBI taxonomy): Eukaryota > Metazoa > Chordata > Mammalia > Primates > Hominidae > Homo > Homo sapiens. Next base: position 105,839,010 of record NC_000002.12, read on the forward strand.
CAGGTTTGGCTTGGCAGAGAATTGGATGGAATCAGAGAAGGAATATGAGAGAGGCAGGGAGAGCAAGGGAGGGGACATTTGAATGGCGGCTTGAACAAAGTAACAGAACAAAGAGTCCTGCAGAGAGCTGGGGAAGAGCATTCCAATGCGAAGACCCCAAGGTGAGAATCAGAGTTTGGAAAAACTGCCCAGGGTCAAGGTCTTTTAGGCTTTGGTGCAGCTTTGGATTTGGTTCTGTTTGGGTGGGAAGCTGCACTGGGGTTTGCAGAGAGGACTGACACAAATACCTTTAGTTTTTAAAGTTCCCCAAAGCGAGTGCCAGGAGGGTAGAACAGAGAGACTGGTAGACTGGAGAGGTGCTGTTGGTCTGGAGTGAAGTGCATGGGAGAGAAGGGGTGGATCTGAGGCATATTTTGAAGGCAAGTCTGTGGGGTTTGCTGCTGGAAAGAATGGGGAGTGAGAGACAAGAGCTTGAGGGATGAGTCTCAGATTGGGGGCTGGGTCAGCCCACTTAATGGTTGTCTAATACCCACTTACTCAGAAGGGCAGACTGCGGGAGGCACAGGAGGTAGTTTGTTTATTTGATTGGTTTCCTTTTGTTTTTCATGGGGAGAATGAAGAGCTTAGTTTTAGACGTGAGATTTGAAGTGCATGTTAGACATCCAGATGCAGATGTTCACCAGGTAGCTGGGTGCAGGAGTCTGGCATTTGGGGATAGAGCAGGGTGGAGACCAACATTTGGCAGCAACAGATGGATGACACTCAAAGCCAAGAGGGCGGATGGAGGGGAGGCTCCTAGACGGCCTGGCTACCCCTCCATCTTTAGTTCAGAAGCACAAGTAGAGTGAGCCAGAAAACTAAGAAGGAAGGGTCAGCAAGGGACAGGCAGCAGGGCTGTGTGATCTCCGCGCAGCTGGTGGACGGTGTGTTTCCCAGAAAGGCTGGTCAGCAGTGTCTGCTGTAGTGGACATGCAGGTAACAAGAGGACCTTTGGATCTGGCAGTATGGTAGGGACAAAAGCCAATTAGTGGAGGCTCAAAGATCAGGTTGGGGAGGAAGTGGAGATGGCAAGAGGAGACAGCTTCTGGTAGAGTATCCCCTCTATAAAGGAGAGTTGGTGGGGTTAGGGGCAAGGGAATGTAATCACAATATGGAGGAGAATTTAGCATGTCTTATGCTAAATGAGATGATCCAGAAAGACACAGTAGCTCCAGGGAATAATTATAGGAGCAGGTTCCTTCCAGAGGTGGGATTCAGTCCACGGAGGAGGACAGGCCTCAGAGAGGCACCCAGACAGCTCACCCCTGTAACACGTGGGACACATGGAGATGTTTTCTTCCGATTGCCTGAATTTCTGTTAATGAAATAAGGAGGGCAAGTGAAAAAATATGCAGTTTCTCCTACTCTACTCTACTCTCACAACACACTTCTGTCAGCAAATGTCTGGGTATCTCTCCCCAACAGCAAGTAAGCAGTTGCTTCTGCAGCAGATGCCACTGAAGGTCTGCTAATTTAATTCAGCTCTGACACTGTTGACCTGGAGACAGCATCAGTCCCATAGTTTGGGGACTCAGTCCTCAAGACTGCCCCTCCACCCCCACTTCAGATGCCAGTTGCACGTCCCAGGTTGTTTTAACCAGTAATTCTGGCTATAAACTGGGGTTCCCATGTTGCCTTCCTCAGGTTCAATTAATTTGCTAGAGCAGCACACAGAACTCAGGGAAACACATTTACTGTGTTTTGTAAGGGAAAATAAAAAATCTCAGGACCTCCTGCTAAACTGCTTATGCAAAAGGGTGGCTTAGGCCCAGAGGCTGAATCTTGCATCCCCCTTTTCCTAATGAACAGCTGTTACCACCATTATGCATCAGCCAGGTCCCCACGGAAAGGTAAAAGGCCGTGGGCATCTGAAAGGCTGCCCCCACAGATCATTCTTAAGTAAATCCTTTCCTGGCTTCCCAGAAACAAGGACAGACCAGTTGTAACTTTAGGTCAGTAATTGAGGTCTACCTTCTAATTCTCCACACTGATAGTGTGGATTACAAGCTTATCTTCCCAGGTGCAGAACAAGTCCAGACTCATTTCTTCCACCTACCCAGAGATGACTGCATAATTGTCTCTTCCGACATTCACTTTATCTGATGTAAAATGTAGATTTACTGGGCACTAACCAAAGTCTCACAGGCATGTAACCTTTTCGCCTTAACCGCCAACCTACCTTCCCCTACTTTAAGGAAATGTCTAAATACTAAACTTGAAAACCTCTTTGGAAAAACAGATGGCTCTGTGGCTTATGTTTTTTCCCTCGAAAAGCCCTAAAGTTGGCTTAATAAACTTCTGTGATTGAATGTCTACCTCAGTCACTCATTTTGGGTGTCACTATAAAGGATATTTTTAAGGATACAGATGTAGAGGTGTAGGTAGGGTGAGGTACAGGGGAAGGGGCACGGAGCTTCCATGCCTTCTCCAGGAACCTCCCCGTGTTCAGATATCTGGAAGCCCATCTGAACCCTGTCTTTTTGGGTTTTTATGGAAGCTTCATTGCATAGGCATGACTGGTTAAACCCTTGGCCATGGATAATCAACTTGACCTCAGCCCCTCTCCCCTTCTTGGAGGGTGGAGGGTGGGGTTGAAAGTCCCAACCCTCTAATCCTGCCTTGGTCTTTCTGGTGACCAACCCCATCCTGAAGCTGCCTAGGGGCTGCCAGCCACCAGTCACCTCATTTGCATACAAAAAGACACTTACATTTGAGGCTAAGCCAGGAAATGGGAAGATGACCAAATGTGTTTTATACGGTATCATAGAAGGTCATTCATCAACTGAGGCTACAGAAAGGGGAGGAGATATTAGAGGATGGAAAAGAAAGATATTAATAGACCCTTCAGAGAGGGGAAGGGAGCTCGCTTAGAAAATGGAGTTAAGTTGCCAGGAGGCACCAAGAGTCCACTTGAGGCCAGAGATCAGAAATGTAAAATGGCACTAGCTGCCCTGGGGCAGGTGTGAAGTAGGTGAGAGTTAGATTTAAGCAGACCTGAGATGTGGTGAAGGGAAAGTAGTAATAGTATTTGTGGGGGTTTTTTTCTTTTTTTTTTTGAGCCGGAGTTTCTCTCGTTTCCCAGGCTGGAGTGCAATGGCGCGACCTCGGCTCACTGCAACCTCTGCCTCCCGGTTTCAAGTGATTCTCCTGCCTCAGCCTCCCAAGTAGCTAGGATTAAAGGATGCACCACCATGCCAGCTAACTTTTTTGTATTTTTAGTAGAGACAGGGTTTCGCCATGTTGGTCAGGCTAGTCTTGAACTCCTGACCTCAGGTGATCTACCTGCCTCAGCCTCTCAAAGTGTTGGGATTACAGGCGTGAGCCACTGCACCCAGCTTGTTTTTTTCTCATAAAAAGTGTAGAAATCCTAAACACTGAGGAAAGTTTGTAACATTTTTTCCTATATACACCAATACTTAATGAAAATATATACATTAAAAAAATAAAAATCTGAATCATATTATACATATGCTTTATGACTGTGTTGTCTGCCCTGCTATCAGAGTTGTTTAAATTTCCCCTTGGTCCTTTTGGCAGTGACATCTGACTCTTGAGTTATAGCCACTGAGATCTCTCTAAGTGCTCTTGACTCTTGACTTGTGTCATTATGTTTTGTTGCCCCTAAGTCAAGGGTACAAGTAATTATACATGGAATTGGTGTGAAGTACTCACAGCAAAGACTGCAGGTGGGCTCTGGGAGGCCTGACTGGGTTGGGGACAGTGAATGCAGAGGTGGGGACGGGACCCAGCCCGTGGCAGGAGAGGGCGGCTGTGGTTTTGGAGGAATGAGTTTTCAGGGGGGTGGACGCTGTGAGAAATATGATAGGCAACCAGTGGGTGGTGGGGTGGGGGGGTTCTTACTGCTTGCCATTGCTTAGCAGGAGGGACAGTCTAGTGGAGATAAAATACCATCAGGCTTCACAGCACAGTTTTATTATTTTCTTCAACAGCATGTGGCCCAGGAGTGGGCTAGAGTCTGCATAGGAGAAATCTTAAGTTCTAGTTAAGTATACCTTATCCTAAGTGCTTGGGATCAGAGTGTTAGGGCATTCAGAATTTTTTGAGGTTTTGGAATATCTACATATACATAAATGAGATATCTTGGGAATGGGACTCAAGTCTAAATGCTAAATTTATGTTTCATATATACCTTATTTATGTTTCATATATATATAGCCCGAAGGTAATTTCATATAATATTTTTAATAATATGTGTGACCCATCACATGAGGTTGGATGTGGAATTTTTCACTTGTAGTGCTCAAGTTTTGGATTCGGAGCATTTTGGATTTTGGAGTTTTGAATTAGGGATTCTTAGCCTGTATTTCTGTACTGTGGTCCCATAAGAAAAAAAAAAAAAAAACCTAGCCCTCCCCTCTTTATTTTGTAAAGGATTCATGTGTAAAAAGTGGACTACAGGTACTGCTGGTTACAATCAAGGCAGATATACTGATTCTGGGACTGGGGTAGAAAATATGCAAGAAAAGCCCAGAGCATCTTGTGGTGCCAGAAAGTAAGGATGTGCTCAAAGAAACAAACGAACGAACACTCGCAGTGATGGTGATACGTCACAGGGACACAGTAGCCAGCTGAAAACGCTCCCATACACAAAGCTGGAACAATTCAAGAAAAAGCAATATTGGATGGTAGCCCAGAGTATAAAATAGCCGTAAGATCACAGTGATATAAATGATGGAATACGTTAATTAGTAGGGGAAGAGAAATCTCCTGTGCAAAAGGTTTCCAGATAATTCATGTAGATGCTTTGCCCTCAAGGAGATGGAAGAGTTAACTCCCCACCCTTAAGCGTGGGCTGTTCCTGGAGACTTCCTTCCAAAGAGCATAGCATGGAAGGGGGCAAGTGTAACTTCAGTGGAGAATCCTGACAAACACCGCCTCAGCCAGGTGATCAAGGTCAACATCAGCAGTCTGCAGTCCTAAGCCATGTTGACCTTTGATATGGTAAGATGAGAATAGCATGTTGCCTCTGTGGTCTTCCTCCCAAAAGCTAATACTGGAGCACTGATCAGGTATTTTGCAGAAGGTCCCCCACTTAGGATTTGTCTGATGTTTTTCTCATGACATCAGACAAATCCTAACGGGTGGGGGGACATTCTTTAAATACCTGACCAATGCTCTTCAAAAAAAAGGGAAGTCTGAGAACTGCCACAGTCAAGAGGCGCCTAAGCAGACGTGACAACTAAATGTAGTGTGGGATCCTGGGTGGGATCTTGGGACAAGAAAAGGACATTAAGGGAAAGCTAAGGACATCTGAATAAACCATGAACTTTAGTTAATGTATGGGTAGTGGTTCATTAATTGTAACATGCTTATCATACTAATGTAATATGTTAATAATAAAGGAACCTATTTTAGTCTAAAAAATATTTTTGGGCCAGGCATGGTGGCTCACGCCTGTAATCTCAGCACTTTGGGAGGCTGAGGCGGGCGGATTATGAAGTCGAGTTGGAGACCAGCCTGGCCAACATGATGAAACCCCCATCTCTACTAAAAGTAGAAAAAAACAAAAAAAAAAAAAAACAGCTGGGCATGGAGGCTCTTACCTGTAATTGCAGCTACTCGGGAGGGTGAGGCAGAATTGCTCGAACCCAGGAGGAGGAGGTTGCAGTGAGCTGAGATCGCGCCACTGCACTCCAGCCTGAGCAACAGAGTAAGACTCTGTCTTGGGGCGGGGGGGGATATATATATATATATATATATGTATGTATGTATATATGTATATAAAAGAATATATAAATATATATACATAAAAATAGATATATATATTTTGAAATATCAAGCACAGATGCTAGAAACCTTTATTTCCTCATTCTGTTTTCTTAAATGATAGGGATGGTTTCTTTAACAGAATTCTACATTTGGAATAAATATTAGCATTTATTGTTCCAAACTCATTTATAGAGGTGTCTATAGTAATTAAACCCAAAGTAACCCATGTCCCCTCTCCTACACAGGGTCCCTGCTGGCAGGTAGGTACAGGTTCTTGTCCCTAGAGCGGGGTGCAGAGGGGCTTTCTATAATCCACTCTCCCACTTCAATAGGAAAATCTAAAGCATAGATACCATGCTTAGGAATGTGGGCATAAACCATATAAATCTGCAGAACTAAAATGATTTTAGTAGCCTAATAATATTTTAACATTATGAGACCTGGGTAGTGTGGAATCTGTTTTTAAAAATCACTGTGCTTCTTGTTTCAACCTTGCATGTTTCAAAATCAGGCAGGGAATCGTGAGTAACAAGGTGGCAAGGAAAAAGGTCAGATATTGATTAATGTAGCTGAATTCATTTGTAAGAACTGAGGAAACTCATGACATTTATATTTTGAATTTTTTTTTTTTTTTTGAGATGAATCTTACTCTGTCACCCAGGTTGGAGTGCAGTGACTGATCTTTACTCACTGCATCCTCCGCCTCTTGAGCTCAAGTGATTCTCCTGCCTCAGCCTCCTGAGTAGCTGAAATTACAGGCATGTACCAGCATGCCCGGCTAATTTTTTGTATTTTTAGTAGAGGTGAGGTTTCAAATGTTGGCCAGGCTGGTCTCGAACTCCTGACCTCAGATGATCCACCCACCTCAGCCTCCCAAAGTGCCAGGATTACAGATGTGAGCCACCACGCCCAGCCGAGGTTTTTTTGAAGTAGATGTTTAAGTTACAAAATTTACAAGTACCTTACAGCTGTGAAAAAAAAATAGGAAGGCCTGATAAACCGCTAAAAATGGTGACTGTTATCCGTCTACTTTGGGAGCAGGGAGTATGCACTACCTGAAAAGACCTCACTTGTGTTTCCTAAGAAGCCAAGTTCCACCAAAGACATCTATGTCCATTTTCATACGTGGGTATTTTCCCATTGTTGGTATTTCCTCTTCACCCCTTCACCATGCTGTCTTCTGGCTTGGCAGAAGGCAGTGTTGATTCCAGTGCAGTTATATGGAATTTCATTTGTTTACAGTTAACATCATGTAAGAAAATTGGCTTATTAAATTTATGTTGATTTTCCAAAATGCTGGCACCAGGGAATCACTTGACAGTCACAGCCTTCCTCCCAGTGTGATTAGTGTCTAAGACACCAACGAGAAAGCCAAGGAAGGTTACAAAATTGTGTACTTTTGTAGCTGGAGTGGTAAATTATGTGTAAAATAGCATTTCCCAGATTCTAGTTGAAGCGACAGTGCCACCACTTCTTTTTTTTCTGTAAAATTTCCCAGACACTAATGAGCTATGTTGACTTAGAGTCTAGTCTGCAGAACGCTAGTGTGTCTTGGCATTTCAGAGAGTAAATGAGTTGCTCAATGATGAACTCCTGAAAACTGGATGATAAACTCACATTTTAAGGCATTTTTCTTCTATAATTTTGAGGGGTAACCTGATCCTGGCAGTAAAGATAAATTAATGGTAGATACTCACTGAAAAAAAAAAAATAATAGGAGGGTGTAGCAGAAAACTGTAGATGATCTTTATGATCAGTATAAAATTTTTCTTTTTATTGAGAATTGCTATGTGCTAATAAATTCTATTGAGGATGCAGTACAAATACTGTTCAGTTAAGAAATTGATGTATACGTTACACCCAATAGGATGACTGCTGTCAAAAAGTAGACAATAACAGGCGTTGACAAGGATGTAGAGAACTTGGTACCCTTGTGTACTGTTGGTGGAATTGTAGATGCAGCCTCCGTGGAAGACATTAGGGCAATCCCTCAAAAAATTAAAACTAGAATTACCATATGACCCAGCAATTTCACTTCTAGGTATACACCCAATGGACTGGAAAGCAGGGACGTGAAGAGATATTTGCATACTCATGTTCATAGCATTATTGACAACAGCCCAAAGGTGGAAGCAACACAAATGTCGAGTGATGGATGAACGGACCAACAAAATGTGGTATATGCATACATTGGAATGTTATTCAGCCTTAAGGGAATTCTGACACATGCTACCAAATGATGAACCTGGAAGGCATCATGCTAAGTGTAATTAGCCAGTCACAAATAGACGGACAAGTGATTCCACTTAAATGAGGTACCTGGAGTTGTCAAATTCGCAGGGACAGAAAGTAAAATAGTGGTTGCCAGGGACTGGGGGAAGGGAGAAATTGAGAGTTAGTGTTCAGTGGGTACCTATTCCAGTTTTTCAAGATGAAAATAGTTCTGCAGATAGATGATGTTGATGTTTGCACAACAGGGTGAATGTACTTGAGGCCACTGAACTGTACACTTAAAAATGGTTAATCTGCAGGGGTTGGGTGAAAAAAAAAAAGAATATGGTTAAAATGTTAAACTTTGTTAAATATATTTTATCACAACTTTGTAGAAAAGAAATGATGTGGGATATTGTGTGCTTGAACTTTTGCTGAATAATATGTACTATAATTACTGTTTAAGCAGTGGTGAATGCCGCTGTAGGGTCCTGGCCTGTGTCCCGGTGGGCAGGTGGAAATGCAGGTGTGCAGCGGAACTGGCCTCCCTAGAAGTAAAGACCTGGAACAAGAGCCAGCCAGCCAATGGGAAGTGGATGAGCTTTCAGGGGGCTCCCAGGGTGGGAGAGGGGCCTGGTGGGACACGCAGGGTACATCAGGGAAGGAGCAGATGGCAAAGAGGGAGGAGAATTCACTGGATAATCACCCATCCCAAGTACTTAAGCATAATTTTTTCATTGACTGGTTCTCTAAAATGAACAACAAATAGTTTAAATTTACATTTTATAATAGCTTGACTACACCTCTTTGTTTGTAAAATGTATTCTGTTAGATGCTGTGGTTGCATCAAAGCTTTTCTAGGCTAGCTAGATACAAGCTGATAGCATTAGCATTAGCCACACTGGGAGCATTAAAAAAAGGGAGCTGTGACCCAAGACTTATTGGGATCTCTTCGTAAAACCTCACAGAACTATGTCATCCCAATTTTACTACCTTTGAGTGTTGGCACATCTTTCTGTTTAAGTTTTCTGTTTTTCAATGACATAATCTATTGCACATACGTTTTTGAGTCCCCGTGAACCTTATGTTCAAGCCATTGAGCCTAGTGATGACTGGGCATTACGTGGACATTAGCAGAGCAATAATGGCTAACACTTGTCCAGCACAGACTGAGTGTTAGGTATTTCCTGTAGACTGGCTCATTTAATCCTCACCGAAGCTCTGACCCATCTGCAAACACAGAAATGGGGGGCAGAGTGGTCAAGCACCTTCCCCCAAAGTCACCCAGATGGTTGATATGAAGCTGGCTTTTCAAACCCTGGCTTTCTGCAGCTGAAGAGGATCTTTCACAAAAGTGGTCCTATCAGTGTCCACAGAGGAAACCTCTGTAATTTCAACGGTCGGAAGAGAGTTTACCGGCAGCAGATTTTGACCATTACCCAATAAAAACAGAAGACAGATCATGAAAGGACTCTCTCCAAAATAACATACTGAGCAAAGGTCTTACTGACCAGAAGCTGCTGCCCTGTAAGAGTCAGCCATGCTCAGTGGGAGCAGCCACAGAGAAGATGCTTCTTTGCTCCCGAGAATAGCAGTGCACACGGCCTGCCTCCAACACGCTGCAAGAGAGAGGGGGCGAGAGGAACTGAGTTAGTGGATGTGTGCTTTAGATTCAGTAAACTTCTTTCAACTAGGCCTGCCTTCCTCTACCCCTCCCCAGTAAAATATTGAAACAAGCCCCTTCCCAAATGATATCTACTAAAAGCCTGTATTTGAATGAGTTTCCATAAATTGATCAGTTGCATTTTAAGGCATGAGATATTACAAAGAAAAAAGTCTTAAGGAGCCACAGCGAAGTAGATTGTGTTATTTGAATAATTCAGACTGCATGTTGAAAATCAAGGTAGGGATGACAGTATTTTTCATATAGACTCAATTTTTTTTCTACTAACTGAACTCTAAACCAATTATTTGCACATAGACAAATATATTTTGGTATGCACACATGTGCACATATGTATTTTTGAAATTTCAAGTTAATATCCTGGAAGTAACATGTTAGACTTGTTTTTGTCTCCCTGCGTATATTTTGAATTAAGTTTAAGAAATCAAGACCAGGTGTAATGGCTCACACCTGTAATCCAGCGCTTTGAGAGGCCAAGACAGGAGGATCCCTTGAGGCCAGAAGCTTGAGACCAGCCTAGGCAACATAGATATTTTTTGTAGATAACCCCATATCTACAAAAAGTAAAAAACTAGCAGGGCGCGGTGGTGCACACCTACAGCTACTCAGGAGGCTGAGGCAGATGGATCGCTTGAGCCCAGGAGTTGGAGGCTACAGTGAGCTGTGATTGTGCCACTGCACTCCAGCCTCAGATGCCTTTCTGTGATGCCATCAGAAAGAAGGAAAGAAGGAGGGAGGGAAGACTCTGGTCTTCTCTGTGGCGGGATAAATTGGTTAGTCAGTGGAAAGGTGAATGAGGCAGGTGGATATTAACCTGGAATCATCAGTCTGCCTTCTCCTTCAGCTTCCCATTAAACCAGGTGGCTGAAGCCTAAACACCCATTGTCAATACACAGTGGGGCCTCCTAGACAATAAGTAAGTGACCAGGTGGTCTCTGGTGCTAAATGCTCTAATGCTCTTCAGGAAGTCAGACAAGAGGGCTAGGAGAGTGACACTTTGATGGGTATCTCTGAAGCAGTACTGCTTGTTCACTGGCTTGAATCACAGAAGAGCAGCCACTGGGCCTGTCTTACTCTGCAAGGAACCTGGTGCTTAGAAAACTCAGTAAATCCTAGTTAAATGAAGCAGAGATGGGTAGAACATGGCCCCTCCTGACAGGTATGACATAAATATTCAGAGGGTATTCATTATGACTGTAGTTGCCATTCTTAAGTCTCTCTTAATGCTGGCACATCCGGCCTCAGGACTTTGTTTACAAGCTCCTCATGAGGTATTACCCTGGGCTATTGAAGAGGCAGCTGGGCTAAGGTGGCAGTAAGGCCCACACCTATATAAATGTTAAACCTTGCCCTCTAAAGCACTTTGTATTCATGTCTCTCCTGAGCATCAGAAGTATCTTCCGAGGCAGGTGGCGGTGTCCCATTTTACAGAAGAAACTGAAATCCAAGGAGAACATACAAATGGTTCAGCTAAGCTTGAATCTCAGACCCTTAACTCCTTTCTTCTGTAATATTTGGTTCACCTTGATCCCCGTGACCTCTTTGGAAATCTCTATGACCATTTTTTAATGTTGTAGGGGCACTGGCTACTATCAGGAGTGTGTTAACCCAGCAAGATACGGTTCATAGGATTGTCTTTAGAAAGAAAATAGGGTCTTAGAGTAGGATTGCTCGTATTTTAGGCGTTAGTGAAAACTGTTGAGCTGAGAAAGTTTTTATACCTATCCTATTTGTTTTTAAACCCATTCCCATCCAAGACTTGAAAAGGCAGCTTAGCTCATGAGGTTCTGAGAGCTGTTTTTCCAGCATAACTTGGGGGTCTTGCTAAGCTGTGTTTTAGAGTGGTCACATGACATACAAGATGTAATCTGGCTATATAATATCAAATTTGTAGCCCTTCTCTCTTTGGGCTAGACCTGAGTAATAAACTTAACTAGCTGTAGTAATGAAGCCAAAAATTAGGTTTCCTTGAACTGCTAAGCTAGAGAGAAAAACATGCGTTGTTCTTTGGATCAGACTTCTATGATGGTCTTGCCTAGACTAAATCAGAATACCATCTCTGACTTAAAATTTCAGTAGTCAATTAGCTGGAATGCATTTTTTTTCAGACTTTCTTCTGTTGAGGCTTTTTCACATTGGAAATTTGTCAGTTTGTATGTCTAATTTTATTGTAGAATAATGGGTCATCTGCAGTCTCTTTCTGTTCAAATCCATCCTGCACCATAGCAAATTACTCTTAACTGAAAATACCACATGGTCCTGTTGGGTTTTAAGAAACAGCGTCCAAGGGATGCAACTTCAACTCTCGGCCAACAAGACCCTCCAGATGGGCTTCCAGCCAGCCTTTCCAACCTGTGTTGGCAAAGAGAGAAAAGACCGAAGCCTGTGAGGATACAGGGTGATGGGGCACTCTTCCTTCCCACTTGTTTTGGGGTCTCTGAGGGCAGCAGCCCAGCCCGGCTGTGTAAATGAGGGAGCCATTGTTGTATCAGTGCATGGCCATAACTCAGCTTCAGAACAAAAAACTGTAGGGGGTGCCTCCTTCATTGAGGATACCGGGCTGCTAAGTCGGTGTCCGGCACAGAGCTGAGCTTTTTTTTTTTTTTCTGAGACGGAGTCTCGCTCTGTCGCCTAGGCTGGAGTGCAGTGGCGCGATCTCGGCTCACTGCAACATCCGCCTCCCGGGTTCAAGCGATTCTCCTGCCTCAGCCTCCGGAGTAGCTGGGACTACAGGAGCGTGCCACCACCCCCGGCTGCTCTTTTTGTATTAGAGACAGGTTTCACCGTGTTAGCCAGGATGGTTTCCATCTCCTGACCTCGTGAAGCGCCTGCCTGGGGCTCCCAAAGTGCTGGGATTACAGGCGTGAGCCACCGCACCCGGCCAGAGCTGAGCTTTCTAAGGGTCTTGGGAAGTGTGGCTTCCAGTGCTCCAGGAGTTTCAGAAGCGGAAGCGTTCAGGGATTGGTTAACCTTTAGCTACTGAGGCGTGATTACGCCAATGGAGCTGTCATTGATTGGCTGTCCCTCTGAAGCAGTCTCACTGCAGTGAGGCAGTTGTTGATTGGCTGGCCGTCTGGTGTGACTTAGTTTTTGATTGCTGGATTTCACTGGAGTGAAGTGGTCGTTTATTGGCTGGCCCTCTGATATGAGGTGGTGGTGAATTGGTGGGCGTCAGTGCAGTAAGTGAGCGAGCCGGACGTCGATTGACTGGTCTTCAGAAGCAGGTTCGGTTTTGTTTTGTTTTGGTTTGGTTTAAATTGATGGGGGCTGTCATTGAGCCATTAAAATAGGGTTAAACCCATTGCTATGGCTAACCAATAGGCAGTCATTTCCTAGTTGTATGGGAACTTTTAATTTTCACGTGTCCTAGAATCTTAGAATTCTGAGTTGGAATAAGCCTATCAAAATGCAGACCACGCATCGGACGGTTGGGCGGGTCGGGGAGGGGAGGTCCACAGGCCTGGGCTCAAATCCTGACTGTCATTAAATAAGGCACTCAGTCTCTGTGACACAGTCTCCTAAAGGATGACACCTCCCTGAAAGGTGGGTGTTTTCCCAAGATTAAACGCCTTGGCATGTGGCAGGTGCGCATCACTGCTCAACATTTACTTCCCATTGCATTTCGCAGAGCTCAGGGTTGTGGCCCAGGGGAAGTTCTGTGGGGTGTTGTTTTGTGGCTCGGTTCTCTCACTTGGCCTTTCCCATCTAAGGCTCGGAAGAATTACATGGCAAGATGTAAAACTCCTTGGATGCTCAGGCCTCTTTCATAAAGATACTGATATAATTGGCTTGCAGTAGGGCTCAGGCAGTGGAATTTTTAAAGCTTCTATATGATGTTCGGTGTGCGTGAAAATAGATCCTGCCCAGCCAGCTCTTTACTTAACTACCCTTCATGCAGTAGGAAATATTAATAAACAGCTTTGATTGGCGAGATCTTGACTGGTCTTAAGCGATGGGCTGCTCTTGTTAAAACCTTGTGGAAATTGTGTAATTAAGAAATGTGGTATTCAGATGGAATATTCTCTGAATATTCCATTCCTGTTACTGCTATTGCTCTTCTTCTTGTTACTTAGAAAATCTGCCTTTATGACTTTCAAAAGTCTAATCTGACATAAAGCTCAGGTTAGTGAGTTCTACATGGTATGCACTTGAGATTTTCTGAAAGTGGATAACAAAATTGTCTCCAGTTCTGATAGGAGCTTCATGTAAACTTTATCCTCTTGAATATTGTATATATTATGCAGAGGCTTTCCTCCTTCCCAAAAGGTTTGTTATCTTTAAATTTGGAAGTTAATTCATGAAAGAAACGTGTATTATTTATAAAAAAATTTTTTTAGCATCTAGTAGAAAATATGTTATTTAAAAATGGTATTTATGCTTCCATGGAGTCAATGTGCATAGGTCCCCTGTAATCCTAAAGTCATCCCTATACAATAATGAGAACTTCTCTGTCAGGGAGGAAGGGGATTTTAGTCCTGAGTGTTTTCATCATTCATTTCTCCCTAGTTTGGAGAAATGTCTAGTTAGTTTAAGGACTGAATATTGAATTTTTCTGCTTAAAGAATATTGGTTCATCTTCTACCTAAGAAGTAGAGAGTTGCTAAAATAGTTGATTATTTATTTTATTTATTCAGCCACACTTTTGCTATTTATTACTTCCAAAATTGACTTTACTGGATATATAATACACGCATCTATTTATTGTTGTTTTGATAAACTTTTCATTTTGGAAAAATGTTATGTTCACTTTTGATGTTGCACATTTTATAGATTTTAACAAATGTATAATGACAGGTGTCCGCCATTATAGTATTGAGCAGAGTAGTTTCACAGCCTTAAAAATCCTGTGCTTCACCCTTGCATCCCTCCCTTCCCTCTTGCCCCAGGCAAGCACTTATTTTCTTACTGTCTCCATAGATTTGTCTTTTCCAGTATGTCATACCGTTTTAAAGAAAAAACTTATTCATGACATTTGTTGAAGAACAGTAAGGCAGATTTTATTCAGAGGGACTACTACAGTAGGGTTTTGCAGTCAAGAAAGAGATTGGGTTTGACTCCTAATATTAAGACAACAAGGAAGAGTGGGCATTTATAGGCAAGGAGCAAAATAAGGGAGTTGGTGGGTGGAAAATTACTAAGAGGAAACATCAGGGGTGGAGCGTGGGGATTCTGGCTAAACTGACCGAACAGGATTCTTCTGAAGGCAGGACAGGGTGATCAGCTGTCACCTGGGGGATGGTAGAGGATGAGGAACCTGATCAGATGTTGAGAGTGGAGGATTCCAGCTAGAGCACCTTAGCAGGAGAGTCTTGCAAAAATTGGGCAATGCAGAGATGGACACGGAAGTGCAAAAGTTGAGGCCTTAAAGGGAAGAAGATTCAAAGGAATTTGGCTGAAGTTTGGTTAAGGATAAACTGTCAGAATCACACAGTGTGTAGCCTTTTCAGATTGGCTTCTTTCACCTAGCAATATGCGTTTAAGGTTCCGCTATGTCTTTTCATGGCTTGATAGCTCATTTCTTTTTGGTACTGAATAATATTTCATTGTCTGGATATACCACAGTTTATGTATCTATAAACTGTGTCCTACTAAAGGACATTTTGCTTGCTTCCAAATTTGAGCAATTATGAATAAAGCTGCTACAGACGTCTCTGCACAGGTTTTTGTGTGAATGAAAGTTTTGGGGAATAATTTTATATTTATAAAAAAGTTCCCAGTATAGTACAGAACTTTCCCTTATACCCTTTACCTGGTTTCTCATTGTGTTAACATCTTATGTGAATGCAGTAACATCTTACTGGTGTGTTGTCCAAACTAAGAGATTGACAATTATTTATTGTTATTATTATTCTTAGACTTTATTTTGATTTCACCAGTATTTCCATTAATTTTCTTTTTCTGTTTCATGATCCAATCCAGGATACCACCTTGTTATTAGTACAATGTTAATTTTAATTTATAGGAGTAGTTTGGTTATGTTGACTTATTAAATATGTTTATAAGACACAGCATATCCTGAGAAAATGAGTGTCAACCTAACAGTTATCAGGAGGCAGTGTTACTTAATGAAATGGACTCATTTAATTATAATGTTATTTAGAATTTTTTTCAAGTTTGTTTTTGTTAGAGGGTCAGATTTCCCCATGTACAGCAAACAGTAACATAAGATTTGTTTTATAAGGTTGCTGTTTCTAAACCAAATACTAAAGCTTGTTGAAAGAAGGTCATTTTAAAGTTGAGCATTTCAAGACCCAGGAGAAAACTGGTTGCAGAGTTGTAATAAAAGCTGTCAGTGCCTAATTTTTCAAGTTGGTGCAAAGGATGAAGTGTCCGGGTAGTTCTCTAATGAGCATCTCCAAATGTTTTGCTGGCAGAAGGACTCCATGAAAGATGACAGAAGAAGTTATTGTGATAGCCAAGTGGGACTACACCGCCCAGCAGGACCAGGAGCTGGACATCAAGAAGAACGAGCGGCTGTGGTTGCTGGACGACTCCAAGACGTGGTGGCGGGTGAGGAACGCGGCCAACAGGACGGGCTATGTACCGTCCAACTACGTGGAGCGGAAGAACAGCCTGAAGAAGGGCTCCCTCGTGAAGAACCTGAAGGACACACTAGGTGAGTGTTTCACCCTCGAGAGAGGAAGCCTTGTGCATTTCAAGGGACACTGTTCGTCTTTCTAGTTAGTTTGCTGTTTCAAAAAAAAAAAAGTCTGTTTTAAAAGTTAATATCTTCCTAGTTGTCTTTTTTAATAATCTAAGAATTAAGAGATGAAGATGGAGAAAGAGGATGTTTTTCATTTCCTGGAGATTCTGGAGTTTGGGGTCCTGTGTATGGAGACACTTTGTGTGCTTGGGACCCCTGCACAGGTATCTCCTTGTATCAAAACGTTAGAGGAGCCTGACTTGGAATTCTCACCTCTAAGTCTACCCAGCTCTGCCAGTGTCGTGACATGAAGTTCTTTCTCTCTTATACAATCCTGTCCATTTGGCCTACGTGCCTAGAGCAGGGGACAGCCAAAGCACTTTTTCCCTCTCTGAAATGGATGCTACATCACACCACAGTCCTGGGTGCCGTTAGCTAAGAGGGCAGCTTTGTGACATCAGAGGCCGCTCCATGGTGGGGGCCTAGTTCAGCCATACTGTTGTCCCCATGTGCCTCTTTTTTTTTTTTTTTTTTTTGAGACGGAGTCTCACACTCTTGCCCAGGCTGGAGTGCAGTGGCACGATCTTGCCTCACTGCAAGCTCCACCTCCTGGGTTCACACCATTCTCCTGCCTCAGCCTCCCGAGTAGCTGGGACTACAGGCACCCACCACCACATCCGGCTAATTTTTTGTATTTTTAGTAGAGATGGGGTTTCACTGTGTTAGCCAGGATGATCTCGATCTCTTGACCTTGTGATCCGCCCACCTTGGCCTCCCAAAGTGCTGGGATTACAGGCGTGAGCCACCGTGCCCGGCTCCCCATGTGCCTCTTGTTTTCCCAGGTGTTGTCAGGTTATGGGCAGTGCCCTCCTGGAGTTACACAAAGTTAACAGTATCCAGTCTTGCCTTTACATGCACACGGAACTGACTTACAGTATTTACTGCCTCAGATTACCTGAGAAAATAATTGCGAGGACTTTTTTGAAGAATGACTCATCTGAGCTGACATTTAAAACGTTGTTACCTTCTTATGAGTATAATGTTGTCTGTATCCAAGACTGCAGGTTATCACTTAAGGGTTTGCTAGTGAAATGAGTTAATATTATCACCTGTGTCACATTTACTTGGGGTTTTAAAAAAATTTCTAACAAGAGGATTTGTTTTCTTTTGGGGAATGGAGAATGAGGAATACGTAGGAAAACTGAAAGTAAAATTATACACCAAATGTGGTGGGTGTTGCAAAATGTTCATCTTTTCTTTTCTGCCATGTTGAAAAGTCTAAACTCCCTCTGCAAAATCATCGAAAGCCTTCATGTATTAGGTAGTATTTTTGTGTATGGATTAGGTTCTTACCATGATTTGGAGAGATAAGTGAGACATGGAACTTCGTATGAATCATACCAGCTCACTGGCCATCGTAGATTCTCAGCCTGATGGAGAAATTTCATTTTTGATTAGCAATATGCTCCTTCTCCACTGAGCTGCCTCCCTTTCATCTTTTCTTCCCCCACATAAGCATGCCACTTGAAAGAAACACTGTTTTATGCTTATAACTCTTAATTAACTGTGGTTACCAAAAAAAGAGGGTAGCATGAATAGAGAAAAACTTGAAGGTTGTCCTGAGCTTTATTTTTCCAATTTCTACCTTTCACCAAAGTACCATCTTTTTAGTGATGCCAAACATTGTTACGTTGTTGACTTGTTGTGTGTCTTCTTTTTTTTTTTTTTTTTTTGTATTTACAAGATTCTAGTAAAGCATGAAGTGCTTAGAGACTTGTAGGAAGTAGAACAAGGCAAGGCGAGTTCTCTGGGTGACCTGGAAATTCCCTTGAAAACCTTGTCAGTTTTCTTCCTCAGTTTTCTAGAAGCAGAAAAGACAAAGCCACAAATTAAAACTATGAACCACATCTTCCGCCCAGCATGCTTAGTTTTTTCATGAGCTGTGATCGGTTCAGCCAATGCGTGTACTCCCAGGCTCTCAGACTGAGCCAGCCGCCCGTCCTGGAGCCGGCACTGGGCCCGCGCCCGTCCCCGACAGATGGCCATCCAGCCCTGCTGGAGCGCAGCGTCGGTTCGAGTAGGCCAATCCCATTTTTGGCGAAAACAGATTGTTAGAAAGCTCTTCCTTAAATAGAATCAGATTTTTACATTTCTTTAACTTTCTTCCTTCCTTTGGCTCTTATTCTGCCCTCTAGGCCTGTGCTGAGTAGGTCAGATCCTCTTCTGTAGAGTGTCAGCCCTCCCATAGGCTTGGTCTCAGTTCAGGCAAGCAGTTCTTGGGAAACATTCCTGTTAAGCATTAGCTATTGTAAAAATACAGAAAAAATGATGTTCTGAACCCCTTTATTGAGTATAGCAGTTGATCTTCATAGCCAAAAGGCCCTTGGGGATCAGTATCCCCGTCATGAGGGAGAAATATCCCCATGGTTAGTATATATTTTTTGTTTTGATCTCTTTATCATGCTCACCTGGAGGTTTTTGTTGGACAAAGGGATGTTGTTATCTCAGCATGAGTTTTCCCTTGCCCTGTTGAGCTGCATCCAGTGGAAGAGGAGGCACCCCCGATCAGGTCTCACCATCATGCAGTAACTTCTGTGCACTTCTGTGCAAAGCTTATAGATGTGGCGTTGCCAAGAAGGAAAGTGAGAATGCTTTCCATAGCCCCTCCTGCCTCTCATTAGTTGCATTTGTGTGTGTTTGTGTTTTGTTTTTTGTTCTTTGTTTTTTGGGGTTTTTTTTTTGTTTTTTTTTTTGCTAAAAAGATAGGAGCCAAAGTGTTCATGGCTTCCTATTACTGTTGGTGATGATAATTAAACAGGTATACCATCAGAATGACAGTATGACTTTAGGCCAATTGTGCAGCCTGCAGAAATTATCCCTGCTGTGTATTAGGCATGGAAACAGCATCAAAAGTACACCACATGTATACTGACCACGGTTTGTTTTTGTTTTTGTTTTTTGAGACAGGGCCTCACTCTGTTGCCTAGGCTGGAGTGCAGTGGCACAATCCCTGCTTACTGTAGTATTGACCTCAGGTGATCCTCCCACCTTAGCCTCCCGAGTATCTGGGACTACGGGCATGCACTACCACACCCAGCTATTTTGTATTTTTTATAGAGACAGGATTTTGCCATGTTGCCTGGGCTGATCTTTAACTCCTGGGATCAATCTAGTAACTCATGGCACCACCCACATTTGCCATTTTTACTGCTTTGGGAGTCCACCTAATTCATAAATCCATGGTAAGATTCCTTCCTGCTTTGGAATAAAATGGCACCGGCCTCCCCAGCAAAACCACAGTGTTGTGTATTGCATCTCCAACTGTAGATTACCCTAACTCTGTGTAGTTCTCTCCTGCTTTCTTGTACTCATTTGCTGTCCTGAAGTTGTTAATAAACTTAATTTTGTCACATACAGTACTTTGTTAAGAGTAGCTTGAGGAAAGACGTGAGAACCTTTGACAAAAAGCTCTCTCATGAAAGTATTTACCTGCTTTCTTTCTCTGCAATAATTTAAAATTGATAAAAGCAACCTGAGCTCTTATTTTCACATGGGCAAAACATTTGTATACTGGATCTCTTCTCATATTCAGCTTATGATCATGAATAGTCAGAACTTTGCCACAGATAACAGGGAACAATGATCAAGAACTGTTTCTGCTGGCAGAATCCAGTTGATGTTTTTGAAGGGCTCAGACTGCACAGCTCTGAGCTCAGTGGAGAGCGGTCCTGGGCTGAGGTCTGGCCTTAATACTGCAACTCCACTTAGAAAATTGTGCAGGCGAGGTGTTGTAAAAGCACTATGCTACATCTTTTGAGATGGGGAAGCTGCTCCCAGGGAGGTATTTTTCAAAGATTTTCCCTCAAGCTACTGAAGAGCAGTTTTTTGTTACTACTTTATGACACCAGCTGGAGCCTTGCAAAGCCCCAAAGGTTAATTCTCTTTTCGGTGGTTAACATAGGCTTAAGGGCTGACTCACATTACCCAAAAAGTTACGGTTCCATTTACAACCTGATCATATCCTCAGGAGGGTTTGTTCACAGGCCCACCTGCCCGTGGCTCACCCTGCCACCCTACCTACCTGGGACTTCTGCATCCAGCGTCACCTGCCCCAGGGCTCACTCCTCAGCATTCCTCCCAACAGGACCACACCTAGGCCTAGCGTGGTTAGAAACTTGCATGATCAGCCCCAGAACTCCTGCCTCTGATCCAACCCAGACCTGGGAGCACAGAGGCTACTGAGAGGGCTCCCTAATGCTAACTGTGAAACAGCCTTTGCACTGGTTTGAGCTGATGCTTTTGGATGGGGACAGGGTGGCTGGCACCCGTGGGTGAAATTGACAGGGTTCTGAGAGGCATATCCCTGCTAGGATCAACTTTGGAATTGAACTGATCAAAGTCACAAGGAGTACAGCTGTAGGATTGTTACGTAAGATCCAAAAGCAGTGAAAAGCAACACTTGGTGTTAGAATTAAGATTACAGTACTCTGGAGGGAGGGAGGCAGAGCCTCAGTGAAGGTACAGGGGCTTCTGTCTTGGTGATCTGCCCTGGGGTCTGTGGGGCAGGCTCACGGGCACACCTGCCTTGGAGGAGTTTGCAAAGCTGACTGCTTATTTCTGTTGGTATTATACTTTCGTTTTTAAGAAATTTATTTTAGAAAAATGTCAGTTCAAAACAACAATCAGGGCTGGGCACGATGGTTTATGCCTGTAATCCCAGTGCTTTGGGAGGCTGAGGTAGAAGGATCAGTTGAGGCCACGAATTTGAGACCAGCCTGGGGAACATAGCAAGACTTCATCTCTACAAAAAAATTTTTTAAAAAATAGAGCATGGTGTCATGTGCCTGTGGTCCCAGCTACTCAAGAGGCTCAGTTGGGAGGACTGCTTGAGTCCAGAAGTTGGAGGCTGCAGTGAGCAGTGATTGCAACACTGCACTCCAGCCTGGGCCACAGAGTGAGACCCTGTCTCAAAAAATGAGCCATAAAAAAACAAAAACAACCATCAGAACAACAAAATGTCAGAACTTTTAGAGTTCCTGCATCCACAAGGGGACCCTACCCACCAAGTGCCAGCCTCCGTCCCAGAGGTCAGGATGGACAGAGCCCCTGCTCTGGTGTAGTGTGTATGTTCCACACAGGCTCAGGGACCTGCTAAGCCGTAGGCGTCTCAGAATGAGGAGGGGCATCGCATTGCTGGAGTGAAGTTCACAGCGGGGCATGGAGGATGAGCGAGCATGTAGTCAGAACCGCATGGGGAGGCCTTACTGGGCTGTGCACAGGACTCAAGCATCTCCACTGGGTGATCACAAACAGTTGAAGATTTGAGCAGGGGCATCCCATGTTCCTCTGCAGAGCTGGGGAGGAATTGGGGATGAAGAAACGTGGAAAGCTCAGAGAGGAGAACACACTGGTCCATAGAGAGCCGTGGATGCCGGCGGCGCTGTAATGGAGATGGAGGAGTGTAGATCCATGCCCCGCCCGCCTGTGCATTTACCAGGATTGCCTCTCATGCTTGGATTAACCATTCCTTGCGACTGCAACTTGTGGGGCACACGAGATGGGGAATTTTCTCTCTACTTCTTCCAAGTTTCCACTCAGTGAAGCCGTGGATGGAGCCCCAAGGGCACTATTGCTACACTGGAGGAACCCAAGGTCGTTGTGGATCCCGAAAGAAGGGACTTGGGGCAGGTGGCTTAGGAGAGTCAAACCTGGTGTGGAAACCCTCCAGGCAGCAGTGAAGGTAACAATTGTTTACGGAAAACTATCAACCATTTTCTAAATTGAGTTCTTGTGAAAGTAAAATATAGATATGCCTTTACTAGGGAGAAGAGAGCAATTTGAATTACATTCTTCAGTTACTTTTTACACCTTTATGGAGTCTGATTTTAGATTTTAAGTGGACTAACAAATTCCTCATTATGTAAAAAATAAATATCTGCCTGGTTTTAACAATAGATGCCCTTACAACATTTTTAAAGCATTAAGATCATGCACGATCTTTAAAGACAGTGTATACAGACGTCACATGTCTTGTGAAAGGAAGTCTGGCTCGTGCACCAGGTTCTGACCACCTCTCTATGGGGAAGGAAGCCCACATTAGGTGCTGTGTGCTGGATCCAGGAGCCAAGTCGCTTTCCTTCTGGTATAGCTACCTGCTGAAAGTGATAGTGGCTATTGGTGCCGTTGAGGTTTTTCTCTTTTTTTTTTTTTTTTTTTGAGACGGTGTCTTGCTCTGTCACCTAGGCTGGAGTGCAGTGGCACAATCTCGGCTCACTGCAACCTCCACCTCCCAGGTTCAAGCGATTCTCCTGCTTCAGCCTCCCTAGTAGCTGGGACTACAGGTGTGTATCACCACACCCAGCTAATTTTTGTATTTTTAGTACAGATGGGGTTTTACCATGTTGGCCAGGCTGGTCTCGAACTCCTGACCTCAAATAATCCACCTCCCTCAGCCTCCCAAAGTCCTGGGATTATAGGCATGAGCCACCGCACCCGGCCAGTTTCTCTCATTTTAAAGCACACCAAGTCTTACCACAAGAATCATGCTCAGCAATTTATCTTAAGATCAGACTGGCCTGGAATTCTTTCCTCCCTCCCTCCCTCCCTCCCTCCCTCCCTCCTGCCCGCTCCCCCCTTCCCTTTCTTCCACCTGCATAATGGCTACAAGAAGTAGCAGGTGGGGATCAGGGTAACTGGCTGTAAACTGCAACCAGGGAAGGCAGCCCTGCCCCGGGTAACTAAAGGCCCTTTAGTTAGGGTTAGCCTGCATAAATACATGTAATGAGAGCAGCAACAGCTTGCAATTTATACAGCACTTTGCAATTTACCAGGCGGCTTAACACTTACAGGCATTTTTTTATATCAGTGGTAAAGACTCTAGAATTATGTCTAGGAAGAATTAGAGGGCTTCAGACTAGTGGGAAGGGGGTCGGTCTTGAGCCTGTGCTTCATACTAAGCATGCTGATTTTACTTAGATCAAAAGACCCAGGTTAGTCGAGTAGTCAAGCAAGATTTTAGTTACATGGTACATAAATTTATGAAAATGTCCAGTTCATATGAAAATATGTAATAGCACCCCAGGCCAGCCTCAGTAGTGTTACTAATCACAGATGAAAAAATGAAGCCTGAGAACACAGCAGTCACAGGTACGAGACCCAGAGGGGACTTCAGATCTAATCTGAATTATTTTTCCTCTACCAAATTGACTATCTGGATTTAGTGGTAGGCCGCTTTGTACGTTTGGGGGGACTCTGTCCCAGAGTCAGAATTATACCAAGTTCTTTGTTTTAGAAATGAGAAACCTCGGGAGTAACTAGCAAGCCTTGAAGGGGTTCAAGGGTGAGGTGATAGTCATGTATTGATATAAATTTACTGATTTTGATGAATGCCCTTATTTGTGGAAATACACATAAAGTATTCGGGTAATGGAACATCGTCTTGGCAGCTTAGTCTCAAATGGCTTGGGGAAAATAATGTTTTTTGCGCCGTTTTTGTAATTTTCCTGTGCACTAAAAGAAGCAGACATATCAGCAGTGGTTTAGAGACTACCCTAGGCCGTAAAGGTAGCTGGGAGTCTGGAGACTTGGGCTCCCCTGCTGTGCCTGGGCAGTGCCCTAAGTTTGGCATAAGCCTTTAAGAGGCCAGAAAGAATCATCGAGTATCTGCTGCAGTTGGACTTAGAACATGAGAATAATACCAGATGTCAACGTGCCCAGCTGATGCTTCACAGAATGGTTCTAACAGTACATGATTCAGAACTTTCTCTAATTATTCATCATATCTATATCCCCAGCATGCAAGTGAAAACCATCTCTGCTTCTTGCTGGGTCACCCCAGGCTGTTTTGAGCTCCTGGGCTCACAGCCTCTGTGATTGCTGGGAAATCGGAAATTCTCATTTCGGCATTATAGGATTGTGGGTCTGTCATCGTGATTATAAATATTCTCACAGGTCTCAACAAGGGCAGAGCTGTTCATCTCTGAAATGAAATGTGGGTAACAAATGCAGCAGCCTGGTTCTCGTGGAAGCCGAGTCTAAGCTTCAGTTGTCCCTTTCTCTATCCCTTGGAAATCCCGTCTGAGCCACTGCATTCTCTGCTGTGAGTGACCTTTGAGAACAGTAACCAAAGGCTTTGAAACAGGGATGCAGACACGATGCAGCAACCCCAACAGTGTAATAGGGTGTGTTCCGATCAGAAGGGGGAGCCTGGTCAGATGTTATTTCATCTGGTCGGGATGTGAAGGAAGGATAAGGCTTAGTCCCTGACTTTCTGAAGCTTGTATTTGTAATATAATCGGGAAAATAATACTGGCACAAGATGGACAGTCCTCATTCAAACAATAGCACTGTCCCTTCCTGTCCAATGGGAAACTAGGGCTGAGTTATGCAGCTCGGGCACCTGTGCTTTCAGAGAGCATGTAGCATTGTGGGCAGGAGGGAGGACTCTGGAGTCTTCGATCACCTGCATTCAAATCCAGGCTTTGCCACCTACTGCTCTTAATCATTGAGTGACTTTGAACAAGCCGCTGAAGCTTCTGAGCCTCAGTTGCGTCGTCTGTATAACGGGATACGTGACTGCTTGTCTCATAAAGTTTTTGAGAACTGAAGGAAGTCATTCATGTGAAGAATACTCTGAGCTGGGTTGAGACTTGGCGAGGGGGGGTGGGGTCTCACTTGAGGGATGCAGAGTGCAAGTGAGGATGTGAAGACGGAAACCCATAGGTGTGGGGAAGGCCATCGGCGAGCCAGCCGGACTGGGGTGAGCAAGAGGGCTGGGGCAGCCTCTGGGGTGGGGCATGCCACACCGTAAAGGCCCTGGGTGTGAAAAAAGAACCCTCGGAGGTTTCCACAGGGCTTAAGGGGGAGATGAGTGCTGGGGTGTCCGGCAGGGGTCCTGATCCTTGTCTTCAGGACACGACTGGAAGGGCCTGAGCCTGGCAGTGGGAGGTGGGGGACGGGGCCTGAGAGTGACCCAGGGTGACATCCCAAGCCCTGAGCTCAGCTGTGGGGATGGAGGACAAAAGAGAAAAGGAAGATTTTGAAGGAAAACCCCTAGGACTCTGTTGACTGGATGGGGAACACCTCGGAGAAGTATTAGAATGACTCAAGAGTTTCCAGCCTGAAGGACCAACAGTGACCCAGAGAGTGGGGGAAGTAAGAGGAGACTGAGCCACGGTGCGTAGTGGAGTTTGAGGTTAGGGTGGGACGTCAGTAGGATGCAGAGAAGGCTGCAGGTGTGAATCTCAGGCTTGGGAGGTACACAGTTATCCTTATGACATACTTCTTTATGTCAGTGAATTTTCATTTTCAGATGTGTAAAGATAATGTAATCCAGGGCCTACCTCGGAGAGCTGGCACTTCTGAGGCAGCTGATTAGGTACCTCAGCCAGGCATTCAATTTCTCTCATGTTAAAGACTGGACCTGGCCTTCTCTTCTTTGTCCCTTTCACACATGAGTTTGGCCCTCCGAACCCACGGGAAAGATCTGTAACCTCTAGCTCACATGTGCATGTACACACACACACACACACACACACACACACACACACACACACACACGGTTCCCTGCAAATGGATGACTTTAGATGCAGTTAACACCATCCAAATAATACTAGAAAGAATAACACTGGAATAACACCATCCAAATAACACGAGTACCTTCAACTAAAAAGCGGTCACCAGAGCCCTCCCCAGCAGGAGGCCTCTTGGTAGCTGGTGTCAGGGCCGCAGGCTCCCTCAGCCAGCATCAGTGCTCCCTGACCTCCCTGCTGAGGAGTATGTGGCTTCCACCCTGAAGCCAAACAGAAAGCTCATGCAGTAGAAAAGCCTAAACCAAGTCCCCCAAACTAATCTCACAAGCGTTTTCCCAGCAAATGGGCCGTGATAATTATTTCTCCTCGAGTGCCTAAAGTGTGCTAGGTACCTGCCAGGTGCCCGAATATGTTTTTATTTCATCTTCACAGTAAGCCTACTAGGGAAATCATAATAGCCTCATTTTGCATGTGAGAAAACTGATACTCAGAAGTTAAGTGAGGTGCCCAAGAACACACAGTACGTGCTGGGACTGACATTTGAGCCCAGTGTGGCCTGACTCTGCCTCTTGTGATTGCTGTTCAGTCTCAGGAATTGGGGGTGCTGATTGGTGTGGGAGGGAGATGCAGTTCCTGCTAGGCATCAATACTGGCGACTCCCACCCACACGACTGTTGAGGTTATTTGCTGCCCTTGCGCTAGCCCCCAAAATGCTAAGGGAACAGTTCCCCAGTTCTGCCTGGACCCTAGGGATTCACGTCTTTGTAACTTTTCCTGGTTCCTTAATGTTGAGGTGAGCAAGAGCCATTAATCAAAATAACTGAGAAGCTGAGTGTCATAGGAGTATACTCCTTTTCCGTAATTGAGTTTAATCTGGGAGCAGTTTTGTCAGCACACATGTGCCGCTGCCGCATGAGTCATCTTCAGCATCTTTGTCATCAGTTTCTTTGTATGGCACAGTTTTCTGCAAACAGATATTCCTCAGAATCATAATCTCTGAAATGCCTGAGTTTTATAAAACTATTAATCAGTTGTCTTCACTCTTAAAGACAGAGATATTATTATTATTATTATTATTATTATTTGAGACAGAGTTTCATTCTTGTTGCCCAGGCTGAAGTGCAATGGCAATATCTTGGCTCACCGCAACCTCCGCCTACCAGGTTCGAGCAATTTTCCTGACTCAGCTTCCCAAGTAGCTGGGATTACAGGCATGCGCCGCCACACCCAGTTGATTTTGTATTTTTAGTAGAGACAAGGTTTCTCCATGTTGGCCAGGCTGGTCTCGAACTCCTGACCTCAGGTGATCCACCCACCTTGGCCTCCCAAAGTGCCGGGATTACAGGCGTGAGCCACCGTGGCCAGCTGGGATATTACTTTTAAAATTTGGAAACTATAGAAAAGCATAAAAGAGAAAAGCAAATGCTCCGTGATCTTATCACTCAGAAGTAATCACGGTTGACATTGTGTCTCTTTTCCCAGTGTTAATATAAGTATATAATCAAGATCCTGTTACACAGATGGCTTCTTGCTGTTGTCAGTACTAGCTGTCACAGTGCAGTTCATCTGTAACAGCAGTCCCCAAACTTTTTGGCACCAGGAACTGGTTTCGTGGAAGACAGTTTTTACATGGATGGTGGCAGGAGGTGGGGGCGATGGTTTCGGGATGAAACTGTTCCACCTCAGATCATCAGCATTAGATAGATGCTCAAAAGGAGCTCACAAGCTAGATCCCTCACAGGCGTAGTTCACAATAGTGTTTGCGCTCCTGTGAGAATCTAATGCTGCACCGCCTGACAGGAGGCAGAGCTCTGGTGGTAATGCTCGCCAGCCCACTGCTCATCTCCTGCCGTGCAGCCCATTCCTAACAGGCCACAGAGGTACTGGTCTGTGGCCCCGGGGGGTTGGGGACCCCTGGTCTAGAGAACATCAGGCTTTTCCCACAGGGTACTTGGTCCTGACACAGGCTGGAAATGAGATGTACCCAGTAATTTTTGGTATATATGCTTCCTGGGTGTTGAGTGCTTGGGATGCTCAGTGTGGCTTATATATTCTGTGAGTCATGTAAAAGGAGAAGCTGATTCTTTATGGTGCATTTGTCTTAGAAGTAGTTTGTTTTTCTGAGTTGAATGTTCTTCAGGAATGAGAAAATTCCTGTTAATCATCCTACATACCATTCAGACATGCTTTCTAAACTAAGCCGCTCTCCAAGGAACCACTTTTTCCTTTCAAATCAGTACAAAGCCAAACTGTTCCCCTTAAAATGTTTGTATGTAACATAAGGGGAAGAAAATTCAGCTATCTTAATTCTATTTTAAATGTTCCGCTTCTCCAACAAATTGTTTATCGTCTCTTTATCACGCTAAGACAAGGACTCTGTGGGTTTTCAGAGATGCATTTAATACTTCACGTTTACTTTTCATGTCTCTGTTGTATAATTTACCATTGTATGAACATGAATTAAATATAATGTATCAGAATTTAGAATTCATTAAAATTCTGTCTTGCAAGATTGTTCATAATAGGAAGGGCCCACATAACATGGAATCTTCGGCAGTAGTTGTGGTGCCAGACACCCCAAAATAAATGTGGGTTTGTTTTTGTGTATCTTTAGCTTCCAAGTATTTAGAACCAAAAATGTAAAACAAATCACAACAGATTAGTGGGAGGATACTTCGAGAGAAAATAGACACGGATTGTCTAAAAAGATTTCTAATGGAGGACAAGGCAGGAGAGACCCTGGGAAGTGAAGGTGGGGTCCGTACCCTTGGAATACTAAGGAGAATCAGGTGTGGAGTTCACAGTGGGGTGTGTGGGATTCACATTGCTGTGTGCGCTTGGCTGGGTGAGAGCCAGTCGTGTCCTGGTGAAAGGCAAAACATTAGGCAGAGCATTTCCCAGGAACTGGCATCTTGGTTGCTTCTTACTAAGATGATCTCACCCTGCTTCAGCTTCCTAAAGATCACCCCTTCCTAACTAATTACTTGAGTTACTCAAGCGGGAGTCTTAAGTTTACGAATAAAGAAACGTGAACCAAATATGCCAGGGAATTAGAGAACCATCTTCCTAGCATGTTTCTGTCTGCATTTACCCATACGGTGTGCTTTCTTTTTTAGGTGCTATCCATATGTCCAAAATGTTCCTTTGCTCTATTCCATTTTAGTGTCTGTTTCCTGGAAGCAGGTATGAGGCTACTGAGAGAGCGCTCGTTTACTGGCTTGATGTGTGAAGCTGCCTGCCTGCAAGCAGGTGGGCATCTGTAGGGCTCCTGCATGGCCCACGTGCTGCCTTGGTGTAACCGATGGACCTTGGCAAGTATGGGTGGAGTTGGGTGTATTTCTGCACATCAGCCTGCATTGACTCATGTCAGTTTTTGCCCAGAAGTCTGTCCCTATGATCAACTCCTCCAGGCTGATGTGGGTTTTTCTTTATAACTTCCCCTTCCGTTTGGGAATTCACAGATTTTGGGCACGCACTCAGGTTGTCCTCAGTGACCCCCACAGCTGTGAGAGCCACCCAGAGGGCAACTGTTCATAAGTTAAAGGCTGGGGTGGCCTGCGTTCCTTCCTGGAAGCAGGCCGTGCTGAGGCAGCTGTTGATGGGGAATCTTGCTTGGTTTTGTGTTTTTGTTTTTTTAAGGAACATAGTTGTTGATTGTCTGATTTGTGAAATTTACAAGTGGGTGTTTGTAAAGTAGAGATGAATTAGTGGTAAACATGCAGTTCGTTCTAATGCTGCTAATTGAAGTTGACTAAATCTGTAATGTTTAACCGGCTGTGCTAAGAAACTTCATTCAGTGGCGAGAAAGGTTGGTTGTGTGGTGTCCAAGAGGACCACTTGATCCCCTTGTGCTTCTACTGTGGGTTTTCTTTTTCTTCTTCAAAGCCTGCTATACACAGTTACGTTTAAAAAGTGAAGTTAATCGATAGTTTGCACTATCTGTAGAATTCTGGAAAGGCGATAGCCTGGCTCAGCGCTTTTCTATGAAAATGAAGCAGTCGAGGCCCGGGGCAGCCAAGCGACTTGGCCAGGGCTATGAGTCTGCCTCACAGCAAGGCCAGGAGTGGGCCCCTCGCAGCCCAGGTTTGGAGGCTGGAGCCCAGTTCCATCAAGGCCCTTCTCCAAAGCACGGAACAGGTGGACCGCACCCAGGCGCTCCAGAGCACTTATGTCTCAGTAACGTTTGTTTGTCCAAAGCAGCATACGATCCAGCCCCGCTGCCCACCCTTACCTGGGAAACGGGGCTCCTCTCATAGACCCACAGTGCTCCCCCTAGCCTGTTCATACGTGCCCTCACATCTGAGCTGCTCCTGACCCTGAGAGCCGAAGTGAGCTGAGACTCACCCCTCTGGAGCTTTTTAGGGAGGATAGAGGTGCGTGCATACCTTGTTGAGAAAGTGCCACACCGGATCCTGCATGTGTCCCTAGCCATAACAGCGAACTGGTATGGGGATGACAACACAATGGCAGCCATCACCTGGGCTCCTGCTGCGTGTCAACACCCCGCTGAGTGCCATCCTCAGTTACTGGGCCCTCATAACAGCCCCACGGGTACCAGGGGTTTCCTTGTGTTACAGATGAAGACATGTAGATGCAGAGAGATGTTACAGAAAGTGCCAAAGCCAAGCACGAGGAGGCAGAGAGGCTGGGCTCCAGAGTGTTCTGAGAAGCTGGCACAAGTACGGTTCGGCTGTGTCTTTGCCAACCACGTGCCACCTGCGTGTTCCCCCGTGAATGTGCTGTCTCTTTTTGTGTATTCGTCACATTTCACTTTCCTGAGCAGGTGTGGTCCTGCAGAACAGCAGGCGTGCTGAACTTTTGCCAGTGGATTGACACTTTAAGCAGTGCTCCAGAATGCCGTGTCTCATCCTTGCCGCGTCTTGTACACTCTTTTGCATATTCAAAAACGCTTGGGCTCATGGATCTGGTATATGTGTTGAGAGGTACTAAATATGTATTTTTAATTAAAAATTATAATGAAAAAAATTTTTAATTCTCTTCATTGGCATCTGTGTTCCCATTTGACTTTCATTCACATTTGTGAGAAAATTCTATACTTTTAGACCATTTTTTTTTCAGGTTTAAATATTCTATCATTTTGTTTGCCTGCCTGCTCACAAAGGAATGGGCTTTCTTATGACTGGAGTGGAAAGTCAGGTTCAGAGCCCTGGACACAAGGACCCATGTGGTGGTCGGGAGGGTGGGTCCTTTGCCCCAACACCTCCCTTTCAGAGCTGGTTCCTGGTGTGCCCACCCACTGGCAAAGGGACTACCTGCGCATAGAGATGTTGGAAGACACTCGGCCCCACCTGTATGGGCTGAAGTCCATCAGTGAGACCACAGTGCCACGGGGCCAAGCAGGGGCCCTACAGGTGCTCCTCCTACCCTCCCCTTCAGAGAGCAGCCAGCTGGAGGCTGAGGAGGCAGGGGGCCAGCAGCCCTAACCCCCACCCAGGCAGGGTGGCTGCTTGGGGTTTCCCTCAGGGATGGCAACTCCCTTCTGTGGCATGAGGCTTCTTCCTCCCTGCCATCCTGTGGCAGTCCCTTCCTGAACTTGGGGATTTTGAATGGCGCACAGTAGAATGTTTCATTATGGGGTATGCATGCCTAGAAATAAGAAAAGTCAGGCCAGGCACAGTGGCTCACACCTGTAATTCCCAGCACAGTGGGAGGCCGAGGTGGGCAGATCACTTGAGGTCAAGAGCTCGAGACCAGCCTGGCCAACATGGTTAAACCCCGTCTCTACTAAAAATATAAAAATTAGCCAGGGTGGTGGCACATACCTGCAATCTCAGCTACTTGGGAGACGGAGGCACAAGAATCGCTTGAACCTGGGAGGCGGAGGTTGCAGCCAAGATCGCGCCACCTCACTCCAGCCTGGGTGACACAGTGAGACCCTGTCTCAAAAAAGAAAGAAAGAAAGAATAAAGGTAAATATCCTGGAGTTATTCCAGTCTGGGGAAATTCAGGGTGGTTCAGGAAATAATGTACCACAGAGCCACCAGACACAGCCAGTAACAGCGGTGCTTTCACCCTAGGAGCAACATCACTGACATACGGGTGTGTGAGTGCCCAGCACATCGTAGGATCTTGGTGGAAGGGAAGGAGGAAGAAATAGCTGCAGAGCAGGGTCAGCGTGTTGTGTGCTTGGGAGGTCTGCTCATCGTGATCCTGGCCTCCTACTTTCGCTCACACCCCTGGCAGTGGAGGTGCCTGTCACTGCAGACACAGGCCTGGAGGGTCGATGAGTGCGTGTGAAATCGGGGTGATGAGACAGCGAGTGAGGTTTATTAATTGCAGATGTGTATTGAATGCCTGCTCCATGCCCAGATCTGAGGCCACGATGGTGACTTTGTTTGTCCTTCCCAAGGAGATAAATACAGAGAGATGAGGAGGATGGTGAGCTGAGCACCAGTGAGCGCTCCCACAGCCTGCGGGAGACAGGCCTTTAGACAGGCAAGGTGCTGTCAGGCGCTGCGCCACGTTATTGTAGTGCTGGTTACTGATCAAGGTGCTCCGCACGCTTTGGGATCAACCCTCATTTTACCATGGAGGGAAGGCCAGTGGTGTTTCCTCATGGGCTGTGTTGCCTGCAGTCTGCTCAGGGAGATGGGGATTTGCTAAGCTTTTGAAAAAGATAATGGTTTTTCTTTTTTCTTTTTTTTTTGAGACAGAGTCTCCCTCTGTCGCCCAGGCTGGAGTGCAGTGGCGCGATCTCGGCTCACTGCAACCTCCGACTCCCAGGTTCAAGCAATTCTCCTGCCTCAGCCTCCCCAGTGGCTATCATAGGCATATGCCACCACACCCAGCTAATTTTTTTGTATTTTTAGTAGAGACGGGGTTTCACCATTTTGGCCAGGCTGGTCTTGAACTCCTGACCTCAAGTGATCTGCCCACCTTGGCCTCCCAAAGTGCTGGGATTACAGGCATCAGCCACTGTGCCCGGCCTGGTTTTTGTTTTCTAAAGCTAAACTACTAGAGGTAAAAAGTTTCCTGGGTCAACTTCCTAAGGTCAATTAGGACCTTAGAGAGCGGGGAGGAAACTACATGACACCTGACAACAACAGGAACCTGAAGGGACAGTTTTGGAGATGGGCTGAGATTTCGTGCAAGGGAAATTGGTGCCCAAAAGGGACATGGAAGACTGGGGAAGCTGTCAAGAATACATTTACTGCTTTTTCTCCATGGTGGTCAGGAATTTAGAATTTCTTCTTCCTTAAACGTACGCAGTTCTTAATGGTGAGATTATTTTCTGCCAGCAGGACACTTAGAAGAGAAAGGTCAGTTGACGAATATTTTTGCTTTGCTCGACACGTTTCTGCCAGCCTCAGCTGGAGAGCTCTATGCTCCTGCCCTGCCCAGATCCCTCTCTGCAGCTACGGGATCAGCTGAAGGTGCCTGCTGCTGCTTGCACGCTGTCACCCGCTACCTTCCCCCCGCCACCAGGCCTGCCCTGTGCCCTTGCTGTTCACAGTGTGGCCCTAACACCTCCTTCACATCACTGAATGGCTCTGAGTCCTTCTGCTCACAGCCGTGGTGTAGCCTGTCTTCCTTGCCACGGGTACTTCCTGTCCTCACCTGAGCGCCTCCGTGTCCTGCGGGACCGAAAGAGACATGCTCAGGGAGGTCCTC
This sequence comes from Homo sapiens, assembly GCF_000001405.40. Taxonomy (NCBI): domain Eukaryota; kingdom Metazoa; phylum Chordata; class Mammalia; order Primates; family Hominidae; genus Homo; species Homo sapiens. The sequence continues at coordinate 105,872,479 of NC_000002.12, forward strand.
CCTGACCTCCTCCTCTTTATTGCGATTGTCACCGTTGGTCATCTGCAACTTGGGTTTGTGTAAGTGATTCTCTATTTCACTAGTCTGTGAGGTTTAGGAGGCTGGGTAGGTTCTTCACACTTTCCCTCAGGCTGAGCATTAAACAACAAATGAGCAAAGAACCCTTCTTGAGAACTCTGAAGAAATGAAGAAAGAGGTACAGCCAGAGGTGGCATTTGTAGGTATTCTAGTGTAAATTCATGGCAGAGCCAAGGGACAGCATTTCAGGAAGGAATGGAGAGCATCGTGATCTGTTAGTTGACTGAAAGTTTTTGCACCTTAAATGCCATTTGTTGCTAGGGAGGAGTCAGAAATGATTCGGAGAAATCTCTGAAAAAGTAACTGAGTCCCCTTTCTCCTTCATCCGGGGACACCTCTGTTGAGCAGTGAGTACATTCTGATGCCCTTCCCGGAAGTGGACATTAGCAGCGCCTGTCCTCTGCCTGTCTTGGCAGGTGTGCTGTGACCCTGGTTGGGGCCAGACCAGTGGCATCTGGTGCCCTCACCCGGCTGCCAGGAAAGGTCACTGTCCTTCCATATCCCACACCCCCAGTTCCATGATCTTTGGCCAGCAGTCAGTGTCATGTCTGAGCCTCCATATGACAAAAGGAATGGGTGTCAGCTGAAGCAGCTAGCTGATGGCATTTGTGCGTGAGTCTCTTCCAACTTAAATTTGACCTTGTCTGAAATCGATTTGTACCCAAAAGTCTGTCCCACTCTCATGAGCCACTCTCAGGATGTTCTCTGACCACTGTGCCTAAGATACTGGCCCCAGTGAATTCATGTGGGCCCACCCTAAGTCAACTCTGAGAGCCCCCAGAAAATCGAGGTTACATCATGTTGGTCTGTGAGGCCTAATGGATGTGGCCTCCCAGCATCACAGGTTTCTCATTATTACTCCTGCAGTAAATATTTTAAGCCCAGATTCTCCAGGCTTAGGAAACATGCACGCCACCCAGCTATGAATTATGTCTGCTGATCCACCGCCACCACCACCCTCACTCCCACACCCAAAACCCTTGGTCACTGTGTTCTTTTCAGCTCACCCATATTTACCACGTTTTCAGATGGGAATCAACAGTTTGGCTCGTTTAAGGGGATGGTTGGGGAGAGGAACAGTGAGGCTGGGGGAAGGGTGGTTTTATTTTTTGGGGGCTCTTAATTGAAGAGACTGAAAGTCAACTCAAAAGTAACTGAAGGGGAAAAAAAGAAAACGAAAAGTTGGCTCAGATGATTGGGAAGTACGATTGGATCCAGGGGTGCAACTCTTGGTTGGGGCCTGTCTCTCTGAGCCTCTCCCTGCTCACCTCTGCCCTTCACTCCTTACATGAACCTCTGCAGCGTGGGCAGATGCTGCTGCAACCCTGGCCATGTCCTCCTAGGGACGGTATTTCCCCCATGACTGTAGCAAGGGTCCCGGGAGTGCCCTGACCACACAGATATGAGTCATGGGCCTTCCCCCATGGCCAGCAAAGGCGGGGGAAGGCTCGGGGTGAGATGGGGCCCTTCACAGAGAGGAATTTTGTTTGACTAAGAGAAGGGACAAAGGGTTCTGAACAGATTAAGACAATAGAACCATGACATTAATCTCATGTGGCCGCCCTTTCAAAAAATCCTTAAGTTGAGTGAATTTGAGTTTTTTCCCTTTACCTATTGAAATATTATGATGATAAATTTGTGCCCTTCGTACTCTGAATAGTGGAAGCTAATCTTAGCAGCATAACTAAAAAAGTAGATGCAAATTAAATGAATATACAGCAACACAAAAACTTGTAGAAGCTGAGCTGAACGTTAGTTATATTCTGACTCTTATATGGAAATGTACTTTGGTCACTTTATACCATAATCAGATCTTATCTCCATAGTATTTAATAAAAGCTTTTTGTAATATTTAGCTGACTTTAATAATAGGTTCTGACTCTAGTGGGGGAAACCCCCACAGATCAATAATCTCGATTCTTAGCAAAAATAGCATTTTCAATAAAAGGAAGTTTTCTGATTAAATTTGGTTTATGTTACACATCTGATCAGTAGCAAAAATTAAATGATTTTGCCATAGAGCCCCCAAAACTTGAGCACACCGCGTCTAAACGAATTGGCTTGAATATGTTTCCAAAGTACCAAGTTTGTTTGACGCTTCAGCTTAAATCTCCCGAACTCCAGCTGGAAGATGACAGGCAGAGCATGTTTTAAAGTCATCTGTTACAACATCTCTTCATCTGAAAGGGGATATAAAAGATTTTGACTTTAAATTTACTGACATTAATAATGTATGACATATTCAGGCTTTTATTAGGACCCAATCTTTAATGTCTGTAATTTTATTCAGGAAAGTTAAAATGTGCTTATTATCAATAAAAATAAAACTTGTGATCAGAGATCCAGTAGCTTGATGCTGCAAAATCACCACCAAAGCAGAAACTATAGTTTACCTTTAAATCCAAGTCAGCTATTTGCCACTTAAAATTATACTTTCTGTCTGCTCACTGAGTGACAAATGTTATTACCTGCAGTACACATGTTATTTTATTATTATGAAATGCAGATAAAGTCATGGCACAGTTGGTGGCTGGTCTTTAATGTGGCACCTGTGGTGGTAGCTTGGTTAAGGAGTTTGTTCACACTCCTTGCTGTCCATCTTGGGCAGCTCTATGCTCAGGAGCTCTGTGTCCTTGCCCTCCAACCTGGCTGCTGACTGGCCTGGGAGACCTCAGGCAAATGCTCAGCCTCTCCAAGCCTCTGTCACTCGTCTCATCTGTGGAGCACACTGTCAAGCACCCAGGGCCCCTGTGTAGAGCAAACAGAACATTGCAGCTGCTGGAGGTGCTGGCGGTACGGGGTCTCCTGCCCCGCCCAGTCCCCTGGGCTGTACACACATGGAATCCTGGGACTCATTTCCCACAGCAGCAGCCTGAGAACAACTGGCCAAGCTGCTGCAGACTGAACTGCAACTGGCCAAGCTGCCTCAGATCGTGTTCCCCCCATTCATATGTTGAAATCCTAACCCGTAATATGATGGTATTGGGAGGTGATTATGTCATGAGACTGATGCCCTCATGAATGGGATTCGTGCCCTTATAAAAGAGACCTCAGAGAGCACCCTTGCTGCTTCTGCCATGTGAGGACACAGCAAGGAGGCACCATCTGTGAACTAGGAAATGGGCCCTCACCAGACACCGAATCTCCTGGGGCCTTGACATGGGGCTTCCAGCCTCCAGAATGGTGAGAAATAAATGTCTGTAATTTTACTTTATAAGTCAGTTGGTTTACAGTATTTTGTTATAGGCGCCTGAACCAATTAAGATACCATCAGATCTCTAAGGTTTCTTCTAGAACTTAAACACCGTAATTTTATGATGATAGATTTAAAGTGCTTGAGATGCTTTTCAGTGTAAGAGTTAAAATCCTGCTCACTGCTGAGCATGTCTATGAAACAGCATCTTGCTTTTTTTTTAGTTACTTTCATTCTTTCATTCTTTTTCATGCAAAGATATAGCAGTTTATACATTATTGAACAAGCTGTAGATAAAGTCATTACTTTGTGAGAAAATGCTGCTTCATCTAATACACAGCATGCCAGCCATTGGAAGGGTTTTGTAACGGTCACATTCTAGATATGATCATCGCAATATGATTTATCCAAAGCATGCTGCTGTGACACCTCCAACCAAAATGCTCAAAACCAGGTAAATTCTGTGCAGTAGGATTTTATGATTAACTTGAGAATTGAAAGAAAAACACATCATTTCATCTCTTGTCTCAAGTCTTGCTAAAACACATGACCGCACACCATGCCTCGGTAAGGGCAGGATGGGAGGCATTGGAACTGTCTGGGTGTTCTGCATGGGTGAGGACCCACCTACCTCACGTCTCCCTGAAGGATCCACCTGGCCTGCAGCCTGCTTTGGAGTTCACTGTTGACCCCAAGGTGAGCAGGCTCCAGGGACATGCTAGCGAATGTGCTCTTCCAAAATGCAACATAGAAAGACTGGTGAGCAGGGGCCCTGGATGATGGGGGCTTCCAGTCTGCCATGTTCTGGTTGGCTATGGTTTCATTATGGTAGCTAAAGACAGCCCAAATCTGAGAAGTGGGTATGAGGATTTGCCTGTCTTGTTGAGAAAATATGTTAAAATTCTATGAGAAAAGAATCATGTTACCCTGTTAAACACACATTGGACTTCAAATTGTGCTTCTGTTACAACTGGAAGCAGTAGGTGGTTTTACTTTAATGAAAGATGAGGCGATGAAGCGGAGATGTGTAGAAAAACTACACAGAGAGAATGAAAGGAAACTGGGATCTGGGTGCCGCCTCTTTACCTACAAGGTAATGAGTTTGCCTTCGAATTAGAGAGAGGCAGTCGCTTAGAGCCTGGACCACTCAGGGACTTGCCCTCGGTCTGGACGCACAGCTGCAGTGCTCCGTCTCCCAGACATGCATGAATCCCTGCTTGTTCTGCAGCAGAAACCGTCCCTTTGAGATGTCCCGGCTGCCACCTGGCGGGGTCACAGCTCCAGGTGAAGTCCAGGCAAGAGGAGAAGGACAAGGGATCGCTGAGTCCCCTAAGCCTGCCCCCATGTAAAGGCTCTCCTGACTCTAGGGTTGCAGTTTACTTAATTATCCTCACACAGAAAGGCCACCTGCACTCTTGGTGCATTTTTCTCTTCCCACTCCTCCTCCTACCACTGAGACACCTTGCCCAGGCACCCTTCCCCTCCCTCCCCCTGGCCACAGCTTTCTTGCTCTGGTATCCTTAGCAGTCAGGAGGGCGGCACACATTAAATCTTCATATGCCAGCATTCAGGATCTCCCATCCCTTCTGTTCTAGATGACCCTGGCTCTGGCCATTGGGCAGGATCAGGGTGCAGGGAGGAGAAGGGACCTGCTTTCTCAGCAACCCAGCAACTTGGTCCCATTGACGTCTTTCCCACACAGTACCCCTCCAGCCTGCTGAGACCTATTAACTGCTGTTCTGGGGCCCTGGCCTGTCACTGGTATTACACTTCTTATCCAAAATCTTCATTATCTGAACCTCAGCCCCTCTTCCATCTGGAGACACAGGGGCCTCTTCATTCTGTAGAGAAAGAGAAAAGGTTTCTCTCTGCTTGGGCATGCAAGCAGGCAGGGAGGGAGTGGAGTAGATTCTTGGCACCCCAATTCAGAGTCCTAGTTTCATTTCCTATAGAAATCATATTACAGATGATAATGCTTTCCATAAAAACCATTCTGGACACCAGCCGCTATCAGAACTATGCTCCTTCACTATTATGGATTGAATGGGAATTTACTGGGAGTACAGTCTGTGCCACATCACTGGTGGGTATGTTGGGCCAATTCCTTTACCTCCTGTAGCCTCAGTTTCCTTATTTCCACAAATTAAGAAGTTGCCCACTTTGTCACAGGACTGTTGTGAGGGTTTAGATAACATAGTAAAGTCAGGTCCCTCTCCATCTCCAGACACCTGCCTCTTGAATTTCACTGCACCAGCAGCTACATACAACATTGCTCCCATGGAAGAGTGTTTGCTTCCCAGGTGTCAAAGTCTGGCAGGCAGGCTTTCTATTTTGATGGCCATCCAACACTGGTAGGATCATGGCCAAGTGTTTTTAAAGAGGACTTTGGCCCTCTTTTGGTAAAGTATTGTTCAGAGCAACAAGAAAGCCACAGCTTAGTTAATAAGGGTAATCATTGTTATCCACAGAGCACTTCCTGTGCTTTATAGCATCAGCTGAACGCTGGTGCCTGTCATGGGCCAGATTGCATCTTCCTGAAATTCATACGAAGTCCCAATCCCCAGGACCTCAGAATGGGACTGTGTTTGGAGACAAAGCCTTTACAGGGGTGATTAAGTTAAAATGAAGTCACTGGGGTGGGCCCTCATCCAGTCTAACTGGTGTTCTTATAAGAAAAGGAGATTGGAACACAAAGAAAAGGAGATTGGAACACAGACACACTCAGAGGGAAGACCATGTGAAGACACACAGGAAGAAGACAGCATCTGCAGGTCCAGGAGAGAGGCCTTGCAAGGAACCAACCCTGCCCACACCTTGATTTGGACTTCCAGCCTCCAGAATTGTGAGGAAATAAATGTCTGTTGTTTAAGCCACCCAGTCTATGGTACTTATCATGGTTCCCTGAGCAGACTAGTATGTTCACATTTGGGGGGTAAGAAAACCAGTACACAGAGAGACATTTATTAAGTAATTTGACTAAGAGCATGCAGCTCTCTGTCAGTCTGCACTGACCCTCTGAGTTGCGCCAAAGACTATTTAGATCACATTCAAGCAAAACAGGTAAAATTTCCGCTGCATGCTTGCTATGTGCAATGTTCCAGTCTTGATGGAGAAGTATAAGCTCTATGCAGGCAGAAAGCATGCCTGTCTGCTCATTTCACCCCTCACCAAAGTCTAGTTTGCTGCCTGGTATGTCTCAGGAACTCAGTGGCTGTATTAATTAGATTACTGTATTTTGTTTTTGAAAGAAGTCACTAAAGTAGAATATTCGTCTATCAGTTATAAAGTGTCTTTATAACGTATTGTGATGGCCACTATCAAATGTCTTTTTTGCTGATCTTTTCACCTTTATCTTCATGGCCTGATGAATATTCCGAAACCTGCTCTTCCACAGGCGTTTTTTCTCAAGTAGCTTTTGTAATTCACATGTTTGCAAAGGTCTATTAAAAGTTTATTGTTCAATGTTATTTCTTGACATCATTGTTGCCAATAAAAGTTGGCCTCAGCGTAGCCCTCACGCCCCGGCTTGCTAGCTGTTTTGATAAGGCCGTGAGGCCTTCCTGGTTGAGCTTCGGGCACCACTGCCTTCTGGACAAAAAAGTTTGCTTTCATGGATGGCCTGCCTTCTGGATTGTGGAGCTGTGGCGGTATCATGGTGCTTTCATTGTGTAGTTGAACCATCCTGCATTTGAAATCCTATGAAAGGATGAGTTCTCAGATTTAGAGGTTTGTGTTTTTATATAAGTTAACACAAAGTAGAAATCTAAGCGTTTCACCTGTTCTAATATTCTGGCTTACTCTTGTGTTTCCCATGCACATGCATAAAATGTGGTACAAAGAGAAACGGCAGAGGCCATTAGCATAAATGAATCAGTGTATTTGCTCTGAAACGTACGTGGCCTCACATGCCTCCTGGCGCCGCGTGGGCACATGTCCCAGGGTAGTGGCAGTGGGAGGGGGGCAGCAGCCCAGCTCTCCACCATTGAGGACAATCAGCCTTTTTACCCTCTTCACCTCCTGCCCACTCAGCAAGGCCATAGAAGCACAAGTAATTCTTAGGACTGATCGCCCTTTACTCTAGTTTAAGGAAGAAAAGGAGAAAGGGGTACAAGCTACCCATGGAAGTGCTTGGAGGAAGTCATTTTGAGGAGTCTACAAATGACTAAACCTCCACACTGATTAAGGTAGAGGTCGAAGCAGAGCTGTGGTGGGAGCACTCATCTCTCAGGACAGCTGAGGAAGGGCCAGTCTGCTTGTGTGGGGTGTGTCCCCAGCTCTGGGGCTGACATGCTTTCCTCTCCTAGAATGTTCCGGAATTCCGTGCATTTTAACACAGTTAAAACATTTTTACCTTAGGGCTTTTCTAGCATTTTTCCTCATGCACAGGAAGAAATGTTTCTCAATCTGATTCGATACTCGTATCTGTGACTGAAGAAACAGTACTTACTGTAATTGTGTTTGATGCACTGAAATTTTCTACTTTATTCCCTTAAATTCAACACATACCTATAGGCTGGTTGCAGCCCATTAAAGTGATTTTTTATGATCCACTAGTGGGCTTTGAATCACAGTATGAAAAAATTTGCCTTCGATTGAAGGTATCAGCTAAGTTTTCCTAATGCACTCATCACAATCTGTTGTGGGAAATTAGTCTGCTGTTTTGAAAGAAGAGAAGGATTGTAAGAAGAGAAGAAAGGTGAAGATGATGGGTTTTGCCCAGTAGGGCTGTTATGCTGCCCAGGGGTGAGGGTGGGGGCAGTGAGTGTCCCAGGAGTGGAGGAGGCAGCGGCAAGGCAGCTGGGGGCAGGGCAGGTTATACAGGCTGCGTTCCCTAAGACTGGATGGTCTTAGAGTTCTAACGGGTCTTTGAATTCATTTAGTCTGACTTCCCACCCATTCTAGGAATGAAAAAGATATTTTCTCTGCATTTATACTTTATTTTTCTGAGAGGCGCAGGGATGCTCTAAAAATGGTTATTTCAGAAGGAAACCACCTACTCTTGTTATCTTTTGTGTCACTGGTATTCCCGCATTTTTTGGTTTTAGAGACAGGGCCTCACTCTGTTGCACAGGCTGGAGTGCAGTGGAGCGATCATGGCTCACTGCAGTCTCAACTCTGGCTCAAGCCATCCTCCCACCTCAGCCTCTCCAGTAGCTGGGGCCACAGATGTGCACCACAGGTGGCTAATTTTTTTTTTTTTTTTTTTTTTTTTTTTTTTTGCAGACACGGTCTCGCTATGTTGCTTAGGCTGGTCTCAGACTCCTGGCCTCAAGCAATCTTCCCGCCTGGGCCTCTCAAAGGCTGGGATTCCAGGCGTGAGCCACTGTGCTGGCCCTGTGACATGTTTTTATGGATAAAATAGATCAATTTAATTCTCAACTTTAAGTAACTTCGCAACTACAGGAGGCAGCTGCCAGCAACCGTATTTTTCTCATGGTAATTACAGTTTGTAAGCACTGTCCATGTGTCGTCCCCTTGTATTTAACCGCCAGAGAAACTGCGTGGAAATCCCGGTAGGCTAGGGAGTGTGGTGGTGCCCAAGTGCCCTGCGCCACTGAGCCTTGCTGTGTCTCCACAGGCCTCGGCAAGACGCGCAGGAAGACCAGCGCGCGGGATGCGTCCCCCACGCCCAGCACGGACGCCGAGTACCCCGCCAATGGCAGCGGCGCCGACCGCATCTACGACCTCAACATCCCGGCCTTCGTCAAGTTCGCCTATGTGGCCGAGCGGGAGGATGAGTTGTCCCTGGTGAAGGGGTCGCGCGTCACCGTCATGGAGAAGTGCAGCGACGGTTGGTGGCGGGGCAGCTACAACGGGCAGATCGGCTGGTTCCCCTCCAACTACGTCTTGGAGGAGGTGGACGAGGCGGCTGCGGAGTCCCCAAGCTTCCTGAGCCTGCGCAAGGGCGCCTCGCTGAGCAATGGCCAGGGCTCCCGCGTGCTGCATGTGGTCCAGACGCTGTACCCCTTCAGCTCAGTCACCGAGGAGGAGCTCAACTTCGAGAAGGGGGAGACCATGGAGGTGATTGAGAAGCCGGAGAACGACCCCGAGTGGTGGAAATGCAAAAATGCCCGGGGCCAGGTGGGCCTCGTCCCCAAAAACTACGTGGTGGTCCTCAGTGACGGGCCTGCCCTGCACCCTGCGCACGCCCCACAGATAAGCTACACCGGGCCCTCGTCCAGCGGGCGCTTCGCGGGCAGAGAGTGGTACTACGGGAACGTGACGCGGCACCAGGCCGAGTGCGCCCTCAACGAGCGGGGCGTGGAGGGCGACTTCCTCATTAGGGACAGCGAGTCCTCGGTAAGTGCGCTGCGCCCACAGCTCCGGCTGCAGGCAGTAAATGCGCCTTGCGCGGTGGGTCTGTGTGCCGCGCCCTTTTCACATTGTGTGAGTACACTAGAAAGAGCGGGAGACGCAGATGAATGCAATTTAGTATAATGTTTGCTACTCCGTGATTTACTTGCATCTGTTTTGGGGATAGTGGGTGTCCATTTCTGGAGGTGGGAGATTAACTAAAAAGATGTTTTTAGCTCACAGAGGTGGTTCTGCTTCTCTCCCAAGATTCCCCCTCTTGTATTTCACAGGCTCAAACATCATTTTCTCTCCTGGTTGCCCATTCTGTGTACGTAGAAGGCCCGAGTGATTTACTTTGTTTCTATTCGGTCTGTGTCCCAGAGAAAGCATTCTTTGCAAGACTGGTGGCTGGTTTCTGACACCTCCTTTTGTTGTTTGCTTGCTTTCTCTTTGTAAACCATATAATCCCAAGGTCATTGCCACGGCAGGCAGCGCCACTGAGTTCATCTCTCAAAAGCTTTTAAAGCACTTACGAGATAAATTGAAAAGAAAACAGGGGTTCTTGGGAGAGATGAGTTTTGTTTGTGTGCAGTGAGTCGGAGATATGAGGCCACTCGACTGGGGCAGCAGACCCAGTTCAGCGGTGGGCAGGCTGGGGGCGGTGAGTTTCAGGCATGGGGTCAAGCCTGCATCCCAGAAGGCAGGCTTTTCGTGTGTGAAGGAAATACTCGACCAGTTTTGCAAACGTCTTTCCGAATACACCTTCTACAATCGAGAGACTTCCAAAACAAGCATTTAGGAGATAGAGTTTAATGTATTTGAATTGTATTGGTTCTAGGAGGCTTCAATTTCATTTTTAAATGCACGCTATAAGACTAGTAAGTATGTACTACCTGCTGCCACTGCTGTCCTCTGAAAAGATTACTGGCACAATGAATAAGTGCTCATTCAAGGGTCCTGTTGACTGATCAGAGAGGCATTCAAAGCCCTCCAGAGAGAGGCGACTGGGATGTGCTCTCTTTGAGGACGGAGCATCGTGGTGGTGGAAACTGGACTCCTTTATGGTGTCATCAATTTTGCGGAGCCTTACATGTGCTTGGACGGGAATGCCAGGCTGAAAGCTAACTTCATCTGAAATCTGAACTCTGAGATTTATCAAGTCACCAGAGTTTATCATTCCTGGCAAGACATCACATTGAATTGTTCTCACATGACGAGAGCTCTGTGCACCACTTCTTTTAGATCGTGTTTGAAGCCTTAAGCAAATTAAGGACAGCAGCGCTTTTAACTCAATCGAGCAGAAACTTAGAGAAAGCGCTGGAAAACCAATTACAATATTAAGTGCTTGGTCCAGAGTCCTTAAGGGCTAAGTATAATGCACAAAATATGATCTTGGCTTAAAATTTTTTGAGTTTGAGGAGACTTCTCAGAAGGAAGTCCTGCAGTGTGGAGACATTGGTCCCAGTCATTATTCTTTCTGCCTAAGATTTGGGGAAAAGAGGAAAGACTTTAGAGGGTAGATGAAAAAGGTGTTCTCCGGGGTTGCTGGCCTTAGGGAGGACCTATGGCTTTTCTGTGGAACATGCACAGGTGGTCATTGCTGTCTGAATTCAGGGACCAAGTCCCTTTGGATAAGGAGGGATGCATGCATTGTCTGGGTTTCATCTCAGAACTCTGCACCCCACTGTCTCAGTTGTCTTATATTGTTAGAGAATGAGCTAACTTTTTCTAAAGAACTAAAGCACGAATTGTTTGTATTTCCTTTTAACAGTTTTTTAATGGGGGCCTTTCAGGGTTTTTTGCATTCTCTCCTAACTTAGAAAGTCAAGGAACAACATATATGATTCTAGGAATATAGGGCGGAAAGAGCTTTACTGGGACTTGCATCGGCTCTGCACACATAGCAGCACCGTCTTTGTCTGAGGTTCCACGTGGCCTGATGCTGTGCAGGGCAGCTTGTCCTGATGGATCTTGCCGTGACACGGGCCATTTTCAGCTGTTAGTGTGCATGCCTTGTTCCATGGGGATTCTGCAAGAGCCCTGAGGTGTGTGTGTGGCTTCTTTTCTCCTGACAGCAGAACCATGCCAGGTTTGCTGTATTTCCTGTTCATAACCAAGGCGTTCTCAGCTGTCATCTGTGACTACCAGGGACCTGTCCTGGTGGACAAGTGGACAAGTCCTTTGCTTGTTTTTTTCCCACCATCCACTGCCTCCCCCCGTCCCCATGTGTTTTCCTGCTCATTTTGGCATTTCTCAGGTTAGAGCTGGCTTTCGCAGCCACCACTAGGCCACCAAGAGCCCTTAGGTTCATGATCTGACATAATTCCTTCGCAGCATGCCAGGATGGAAAGGTTTCTGAGGGGTTCAGCCTCCCTGCAGGACTCAGTCAGGCATCTTTATTTAATTTCCTTTTTTTCTTGCAGTCTTTGGGCCTGGGCCTTTAATTGAGGTTATCACATGAGGCCTGGCTTCTGGATAAGCACAGCTGTTTTTTTTGGAATGGATCTTCAATAAAATATCCTGAGTGATTGCAGTGTAAATGAGCTAGACCCTTGCTTGACGATATTGAGGGGTGCGTATTTCAGGGAAGACAAACATTGCCACATGCTACACTATCCACTATCAGTAAGTGCTGGGTATTTCAGAAGTATCTGTTGGATATGTTAGATGAATCAGTGAACCAACAAACGAACGAACCTCTTGGACCCTCTTTCCTGTCCTGAACTTCAGTACCTACTGCTTGTCCTTCCATTTCTTCCTCCTCCCTCGCTCTCCTCTCTCATCTACAATTGTCATTTATCCTTAGCAGCTAAAGGTGATGCATTGTTGTTGCTTATTCTCCATATTTCGTTATCATACCTTCACCTGTGAGCCATACCTGCTTAAATCCAGAAAACTCAGAAATCCTACTCACCCTGTGTGTGTCCATTATAAATCCTTTTATATTACATTTTGTCCACATTGATTCTATGGATGTGGCTAGAAAGCTGTACTTAAAATGAACAGTAACCCTTTACTGGGTTTCTGGTAAACTGTACAAGTTGTCAATATTTTATTTTCTTAATTGCTGCATCTCCCATCCTTGTAAAGCTTGTTCAGAAAATGACAGATCACAACTAGGATATGGTTGGAAAAGGTGCAGAGCTGGCCTGCAAGTGCGGGAGGCCATTTTCCTCTGTAAGATTTTAGTTCCCGAAGATATCATGTATTTATTATGTCCTGCAATAGTATTAGATACTAATATTTTTTGTCATACAGTACTTTTTTTTCCAGTAGAGAAAAACTGTCTCGCTAAGGATAATTTAATGCACATATTTGTTTCATTTCTCTTTTTTAAAATATATGAAAAGTATTTGGCTGGGAAATAAAATAGAATAGCTCCTTTCTGTATTTTTAAAGTTATAATATTTCTTAAAGAAATTATAACTTTTACCCAAAACTCTATTTTCAGGCAATTTCATCATTCCATTTCTCTAAATAATGATTCTCTAACTGTATGTAGTGTGTATCAGAATTGCCTTGAAGCTTGTTAAAACAAATTGCTGGGTCCTACCTGAAATGGTACTGATTCAGGAGGTCTGGGGCCCAAGAATTTGCATTTCTATTAATAGCACGTTTCTTGGTGGTGATGCTGCTGCTTTTGGGACCACACTTTGAAAACCCTTGATCCCTATGATGCATTCTTAGTGGTTTTATATATTCTTGCAGCTGTTATTAAAACCATTTCTGCATAATACTACATTTCCATGAATTATAAAAATATTGTCATAAAGCTGAACTTCATTTAGAACTGAAGCTTTTGTTGAGTGGGATTTATCTCTTGAAGTATATTTCTGTTGAGTTTTTTGGGGGGCTTTTTTGTGTTTTTGTTTGTTTGTTTTTTACTGTTTAGAGTTTGAAAATAAACGTGCTGTATTTGCTGTGTTTCTGCTGATGAATTAGGAGGAGGTAGATTGTCAGAGCAATGTGAAAGCTGCTTCCAGGGTTTCATGGTTAGGCTCCGTGATCCATGGTGTTTCTTCATAAATGAGTTAATGTTAAGATGACTTAACCTTAGGTTGCTGTGAGCAGTGCCTGTAGGCATCTTTCCAGTTTCAAAGATAACAAGTTATTTTTAATTGCCAGGCTTTTTGCCCAGTACCAAATGGAAGTTTTAAGCCTGGATTTTTGTAATAGTTCTAATTTTAAGCATATTTAACTCTTGAAGATGGAAAGGCCTGCAAGATCATGCAGTACAGGCTGTTATCTGGAAGTTTAGTGCTCATCACCTGATTCTGATTCTCAAATGGGCCAGAGCCCTTGAAGACTCTGCCTTCTCACTCTGGCTGGCTCTTCAATGCTGACCTTTAAAACAGACAACATCCAGCATCACCAGCAAACTTGCTAGAATGCAGATTGCCCCAGCTTGCTGACTTCGAATCTCTGGGGTAGGGCTCTGCAACCTTGGTTTGAAGAAGCCCTCTGAGTCCTTTTTTTGTTCCAAATCCTGAGAACCTATGAACTCCTGAATAATTCTGATGCGCCAATTTGAGAACCACTACGTTGTGGAGTATGCACTTGATTCAAGCCCTTTTGCATACTGTTGTGTAATATGGTAAAATTCTGACTTAAATGTATCACTCAGTCACATCAGGTATGACACTATGGAAAGACAAAGAATAACAAGGACAATATTCTACAGGTCTATATGGTGAGGTATTACATGTGACTTTAGGAAATACATTTGGGGATAGGGAGGGCTAACCACACACATGCATACTAACTGGAAAGTGGACAGGGAACGCTCCGTTTGCCTAGATTAGGTAGATGGGACTTGGACAGCTGCTCTGTAGTTGATGATTGACTTTTCATTTATGTAAATAAGATTACTTCCAAAGTTAATGAGATGAATATTTGAACATGTCAGTGTGGATTGGCTTCAGGCCTGTGGAGTAAATATTTTATAGAGTGAACATTGATAGGAGAATAGGAAAAGCTGGTGAGACTCTTCACACTTGGGGCAAGGAAGAGATAATCTGATGTAAAAACAAAGAACATAGGGTCAACTGACAGCTAGCAGCATAAGTATAGGCAGGAGTAATTTTTATTAAAAGAAGGCTACCTTAGACAACTAGGGCAGGTGACCAAATAGAATGGTAAAACTGAAAGGCAGTTTTTCTGAGATAAAAACAGAGAAACTATTAATCAGTGGATCACGATTTGCCTCTAACCCATTTGTTCTCACTTTTGGGAGGTAAATGAACCACTTCTGTGGACAGAAGAGTGCCTTCTGTAAAGAAGTAAAAGGGGAAAAACATGTCTTTACCAAAAGAAAAGAATGATACAACTTGTGATAAGAAACCAACAGGGTGACCTCTCTCTGGGGGTAGAAGGAGATGTGTAGATTATTGATGCTTGGAGACTTCAGCGTGGCTGGAGATCAGTCCAGGGTCTGTGTGGAAGGCCTGGTGAATCACACAAAGGGCATTTCTACCCTCATCATTTCATAAAGTCCAAAGTGAAAGATAAGGAGAAGTTTTAAGGTTTAAAGAACCAAAAGTACCTGGAGCAAGGCCCCTCCCTCCCGTTTCCTCATGACTATTGTGCTTAGAAGAAAATCGCATTAATACATAAGCTTTCAGGAATGGAGGAGGAAATAAAGGATATTAAAGTCTGTCCTCGGCATTCATTTTTTTCCTTCTATGAGAAAACAATGATTAAATCTTGAGAGAGGGAGAGGCGTATCTGATCAGGACATCTGTTTTATAAAACTGCAAAGGTGCTTTTCAGCAAGTATTTGAGGCAATGGATCAAGCTGGCAAAGCCATAGAGATGGGATCAAAGAGTGTGCTCTCTACTGTTCTTTTCTAAAAGTACCCACTTATCGCGAGCACAAATTGCAAAGAGATGAGGTGTAAGAATTACCTAAAGGAATGAATAATGGAAGAGGTAGTCAAAATTAGAAATTTTTAAGTCTGCACGTTTGTTGAACACCAGATACTCTGAGCCCGGTGTGGGGATGTGGAGCTAAATAGGGTTCTTGCACTTAGTTGTATTCAAACACAGAATCTAAAGCCTAAACAAAAATAATGATGATAGAGGCCCCGAGAGAGGTTGGTTTTCCGCCAACCTATTAATTGTCCTTAGATTCCACTTGGAAAATGACTTCTGAAAAGAAGGGTCAAATGAATGGGTTGTACTAATTGTTCATTCTCCAGAACCATTGATTCAAAAACTATGAGAATGGAAAAATCATTCCTTATAAGGAGTACTCATAGAAGGACATAACAGGAAGAAGTGGTCTGATGTTTGAAAATTTGAAGAATTTGCCCAGTAGTCAGCACAGAGAAATTACTATATACCAAGTAAGTACAGTGTTTGGAGATGGAAAGTGTAGGAAATGCGGACAGTGGGAGGTAGCACAAAGGTGGCAATTAAAGAGGAGAAATCAAAGGGGAGATGTTTCAAAACCCGGGGACTGAGTCTAGTTAGGTTTTAGTCCAATCATAGAAAATTGTAATGAGTGTCCTGTCCATCTATGATGGCTTAAAAAGATGTCCATAAATTCTTTGGTACTCTTTGCTTCAGAAGGTGGAGCCTGACCCTCTTCCCTTCAGCATGGGCTGCACTGAGCAACTCACTTCTAATGACCAAGATGTGGCAGAAGCGATGGAGGGCAGCTTCCGAGATGGGCATTGTGGCTGCCTCTTTGCTCTCTCTTGGGTCACTTGATCTAGGGTGAGCCAGCTGTCATGTTGAGAGTACATTCAGGCAGCCCTACAGAGCCCCCTAGGGGTTCATGTGAGCAGACTGCCTTGGAAGTAGAGCCTGCATCCCCAGTCTAGCCTTCAGATGACTGCAGCCTCAGCCAGCATCCTGACTGCATGTTTCAAAAATGTGTTAAGATTCTTTGACAAGCTTAAATGTAGAGTACTCTACCATACTATCAGTACTCTAGTACTTGTTGAGGAGCAAGTGTGGCATGGTCCTTTTTCATCCAATTTCTTGAAATCTGTTCTAGAAAGCCAACCGTGGAAGGACTGCAACAGATGAGAATAGGACTGATGGAGTTGCTTTCATGGGAATCATTCCCTGGCTCCCTCTGGAGGCAGAGTTGTTTTGGGTCGGGAGTAACTCCATCTCCATCAGATGCAGGGACTGGTGGCTCACTTTGAAAGGAGGAGACCATACAGCAGTGTCCCAGCTGTCCCTTCAGGGGAAATTCCCTATGAGAGATGTCTGGAGCAGAGCCAGAGTCCTCAGGACAGAATTGGAAAAGTATCCACAGACTGGAGCTCCCTCCATCATGGGCTGCTTTGCCCATAAATGGCATTCCCATCTTTTTCTGGTGACCAAACATTTGTTGGTGGCTCCAGCACTGCCGATGTTTGTTCCAGATTTTCTTTCTTCCAGTTCTCAAACTGCATCAGAGTCCCCTGAAGGGCTTATTAAAACACACGGTGCTGGAGGTTAAAACACAGATGGCTGGGCTCCACCCCAGAATTTCTGCTACAGCAGGGTTGAGGCAGAGCCTGAGAATTTGCATTTCTTTTTTTTTTTTTTTTTTTTTAATTATTTTGAGATAGGGTCTCACTCTGTCATCTAGGCTGGAGTGCAGTGGCCCTGTCATACCTCACTGTTGCCTTGACCTCCCGGGCTCAAGTGATCCTCCCACCCTGGCCTCCCAAGTAGCTGGGACCACAGGTATGCATCACCACACCTGGCTAATTATTTTAAATTTTATGTAGAGATAGGGTCCCACTATGTTGCCCAGGCTGATCTCAAAGTCCTGGCCTCAAGTAATCCTGCCACCATGGCATCCCAAAGGGCAGGGATTACAGGTGTGAGCTTCCATGGCTGGCCCTTGAGAATATGCTTCCTAACCAGTTCTCAGAGGATGCTCATGCTGCTGGTCTTGAGAGCACACTTGGAGAACATCTTAACTAGTTCATCTTCACACTTCACTTAGAGGTGTTCAGTGGTCATATGTAACGGTGTATGTTAGTATACAGATTGTTCTTTTTCAGATTTCCTACAGAAAATCTACTTAGTTTAAATTAAAGAACACTCCCCAACTTTTAGCACTCCTGCTTGGCATAAATTGGTTCTACATCCTTAACTTTTAAAGGTTTCTGCTCAGGAGCCCACGAAATTAAAAATTACCTCTTCTGCTGCGAAAATTTTATTGCTGCAACTCATGCATGCATACAGGCACACACACACCATGATGTTAAATTAAGGAGCTTGAATTAAAAGCAAATTTCCCTTATGTAGAAAGTCATCTGTTGATCATTTGGCTTAATTAAAATTGGGTGTATCTTACATCTACCATGATTCACTCCCATACTGCCTCCACTAAAAATGATGCCACATTATCTCTAAATTGAGCCTGGCTTATAGTAAACTCTATAAGTGAGACTGCCCTTCATCTTTTCCTAAAGATACAACTTCTAGTACAGAATATTAATCATCTATAGGCTGAGGCCTAATCTGAGATTAACCTTCTGGTTTCTTCCTGGAGTTTCATCCAGGAGTATGCCCTGGGCCTCACATGGGGATGAGATGGGGCTTTTCGCCTCAAAGGTTTGTTCTTATTTGGTCTATTTGAGACAGAGGCATGCATAAATACAAACTATACTTACAATTGTTCCTTTCATTCTTTTCTGTTAACAGCTATGGCTGCTGGGTGAGCCCAGCTGCCTTGCACAATTTGAGTCTTCTCAGACACTCATTCCCCTGAGTTGTCATTGGTAGAAATGGAGTGATTCCTTGTTTTGCAAGGGTTGCACACTTCTCATCAAACATTTATTTGGGCTTTTGTGAACTCTGTAATAGACAATGGCCTAGTCCTTTGTTAACTGTCTGGAGGTCCTGCTGGGAGGTCGCAGAGCAGGGCTGAGCTGCTGGACCCTCAGAGCAGGAAGTTTCTGGGCTTTGAGAAAAGCAGAAAACTGGTCTGGGAATTCCAGGAAGAATTTCGGATGTTAGGCTGTGGTCCTGCCACTGGCCAGGCATGTCCGAGGTACCAGCCCTGCCTCGGAGAGCACATGCTCAGCTCCACATTGTCCAGAGGGCTCTCCTGCCCCCACACGCACTTATACATTCACACAGATGAACTCACACGCTACGCATACTCTCACACACTCTCAATACTCACATACTCCCTCTCACATCTGCGCACGCTCACACACTTAGAGCTGCGGTATCTCATGCTCCTCTTTCATGCAACTCTTTTTTTTGTTTGTTTTCTTTTTTTTTTTCATAGAACTTACTGCCCTGTGCAGCCATCTGTACACCTCTATTTATCTGTTCCCCACACCAGATTGTCACAGAGCATATGTCCTGCATGCACACACATGTATCCAGGGCACCGCCTGCCTGGCATGTGTTAGTAACTAATTGTTATTCATTTAATGAATTGATCAAAACTTGATATTTTTGTACAAAGAACATTTATCGTTCAGTATCTTCTTTCCTGCATGCTTTTCAGCAAATGAGATAAAAGACCAATTTTTTTTTTTTTTTTTTTTTTTTTTTTTTTTTTTTGAGATTTTTCGCTCTTGTTGCCCAGACCAGAGTGCAGTGGCGTGATCTCAGCTTACAACTTCCACCTCCCAGGTTCAAGCGATTCTCCTGCCTCAGCCTCCCAAGTAGCTGGGATTACAGGCACACTACCACCATGCCTGGCTAATTTTGTATTTTTTAGCAGAGATGAGGTTTCACCATGTTGGCCAGGCTGGTCTCAAAGTCCTGACCACAGGTGATCCACCTGCCTTGGCCTCCCAAAGTGCTGAGATTACAGGCGTGAGCTACTGCACCTGGCCAATAAAAGACACATTTTAATTAAAATAATGACATGTTTCTAAAATATTCTGAAATAGAAGGCACATCACAGAATTTAAATATTTTTCAATAAAATCTGTAATCAAACCATAGTTCAGCTTCCTCTGGGATATTGTGAACTATGTTTAAAATGCGACCGGAATTTTCCACTGCTGTTCATATTTTTAAATGCTTAGAATTAGAAAAATTAGCCAGGCATGGTGGCACATCGGGAGGCTGAGGCAGGAGAATCTGCTTGAACCTGGGAGGCGCAGGTTGCAGTGAGCCAAGATCACACCATTGCACTCTAGCCTGGGCAACAAAAGCAAAACTGCGTCTCAAAAAAAAAAAGAATTAGAAAAATTTTGATGTCTTAATTTCTAATAGGGTTAGACATCAGAAGTAGTAAAATTTCTAGCTACTGCCTGCATGCAAACCACTCTTAATAAATTCCCAGTTTATCAAAAAATAGTTTGGGAAATGAAAAACAGCAAATTTCTTGAGCAGTCAGGGCAACACTGTATATTCCATAGTGAAGTGCTGTATATTCCATAATGAGTTTGCACTTTTCAAATAACTAAAACGCATTTAGCACTGAAACTGGGCTAAGCAGAATTTATTTTTTCTTTGGTTCAGAATTTCAGAATCGTGGACTACCTCCAGGTCTTTCTGAACATCAGATGCCGTTCTAGATATAAAACAGAGACCCGGCTGGGCGTGGTGGCTCATGCCTGTAATCCGAGCAATTTGGAAGGCTGAGGCTGGGAGGGGGGTGGGGATCACCTGAGGTCAGAAGTTCAAGACCAGCCTGGCCAACATGGCGAAACCCTGTCTCTACTAAAAATACAAATATTAGCCGGGCATGGTGGCAGGTTCCTGTAATCCCAGGTACTCGGGAGGCCGAGACAGGAGAATCGCTTGAACCCGTGAGGCGGAGGTTGCAGTGAGCCGAGATTGGGCCACTACACTACAGCCTGGGCAAAAGAGTGAAACTCCATCTCAAAAAAAAAAAAAAAAGCAGAGACCCAGTGTTTGAGCAATGGGTGGTTTGGATTTAGACGCACAAGAGATGTGGATGGATTTAGACACAGCTCCCCGCTGTGGCCCGGCTGTAACTGTGTTCTGTTTCCTCCCCAGCCCAGCGACTTCTCCGTGTCCCTTAAAGCGTCAGGGAAGAACAAACACTTCAAGGTGCAGCTCGTGGACAATGTCTACTGCATTGGGCAGCGGCGCTTCCACACCATGGACGAGCTGGTGGAACACTACAAAAAGGCGCCCATCTTCACCAGCGAGCACGGGGAGAAGCTCTACCTCGTCAGGGCCCTGCAGTGACGGCGCCCCGGCCCCACACTCGCCTCCCGGGCCCCACGGTGGAGCTGCCCGCCCGGCCTTGTGGCAGAGGCTCCTCCCGCGGGGACGGCCCCGACGGCTTCTCTGCGAGTCTCTCTTTATGTTCAGGTCGCTTGGTCGGTTCGTCTCCCATTTGCCATCCAGGCCTCACACCCACACTCGAGCCCACCCGGCCGGCCAGCTTTAGAGGAGGGGAGGAGCAGGGCGAGTTCACATTATTCCTTTTCCATCGGAAGTGGCGCTCGTGCATTCAACTCGTTCCCGCTCATGGAACCCCTCTTTAAAAAGACGCAGGGCACCTGTGAGCGCAGGAGCGAGCCTAAGGCCACCCAGCGGCAGCGCCCGTGTCCTGGGCACTCAGCGTGCTGGGCAGAGCAGGTGCGATGGCCCCAGTCCTAGCAGCCCTCGCCCATGTCCTGTGCCCTTACATGGCTCCCGGACTGTGCAGGGAGCCGATACGTTTGCTGATAGCAATACTGGAACCACCGGGTGCGATGGCAGTGAGGAGACTGCCCAGTGCCTTTGGGGCTGTGCTTGCAATAAAGAATTTCCTGGAAAGGCAGTCTGCAAAAGAGGGAACCGGTGACTCAGAAAGACAGATGTTTTGGTAATTTACCCCAAATGTGCCATCCACATAGTGCTTTTTCCTCTTGCCCTTCGGCTTGTTTGAATCTCACAATTATGTATTTAATTCTCAAAGAAATATGTATCTGTAGCCGTTTGTTGACACTAATACAGATGATTAAGGAAAACAGCTGATCTTTGGGGAAGGGAGCTACCAACACTTTATACACACACACACGTGCACACACACACACACACACACTATATATATATATATTATTTACAGGGAAATTTTTCAGGGTTTACAAAAGAGTATGTGATTGGTAGTAAGAGACACACAGAATGTTTATGAAGAAATTGCATTTTCTTTTTCCTTTACATTTGAACTTCTTTATAGTTTAAATATAACGTCTTGAGATGGCACATTCCTACGATTGAAGAAGGGGTCTTGAGATCCCCTAAACTTGCATACCCAGTTTTTTGGATATTGTAATAAAAAAAAGTATTATGACAAGGCTCTGTGTGTATTTATCTTTGGGAAAACTCAGACTCAATCATGGGAGAGTAATTACTGAAGCATTCACTCATTGCGGAGTGGAAATCATTTTTAGAGAAGAGCTTAACATTTATTACTTGTGTGTTTTCATTTTCTACCCCCACATTTTTGTATATTGAAATAATGAGTTTTAATTAGTGAAACCCCAAGGGAACCCAGAATCTCAAGCTTGGTCTGAACTTTGCTCTTTGGAAAATATTTGTTTAGAAATATGTTGCTGAACTCTTGGCAGCCAGCGCTCTCACACCATGTGTCCCCCACGACTAACTCTCGATTTGTCCTCTTGATCGGGAGCATTTATATTGATGTGCCAGGCCCTGGGGGTGCAGAGTCACATGACTTGGCATTTGTGCCCTCCTAGGCCAATCACGTATCAAGCGCTCCCTCTGCACCATGCACTGCGCCCCCATTTGTTCCTCATCACAGCCCCATGAGGTGGGACCTGCTATCATCCCCATTTTATAGATGGGGAAAGTGAGGTCTACAGGCAGTGCACCCAACATGTGGCTGCTGCATGGTGGAGCCAGGATGCACAGCCAAGGATCTGCACTAGCGCTGGACCCTTCCAACCCCAGCGTAGGAAGGTGTTCGGGAGAAGCGAGGTGTTGCACACTTACTCTGCCATGCGAGTTCCCTGTGAGGAAATTGTATCTTTTTGCTGCTGCCTTAGATTACAATAAATTAGAACTCTGGTGTCTTGTACCTGAGGTTGGTGGCACCCAGTCATTGTGAATAGACATTCAGGTGAGGGAGATCATTACATGAGACAGAATACATCCAGGGAAAAACCAGTCCCTCCAGACTCTTTCGGGTCTCACTAATGAGAATGACATTTTGACCTGATGCTGGAATCCCACTAAATATTGAGTGCCTGGACAGCTGAATGACTTTGATGTACACATAGCAATTCAGGTATAGCCGAGCAACTAAAGGACCAAAGACAGATGTACATTTTGGCTTCAGGAACTTACTTAAGGCTCATAGTTGTAGGTGACAGTTATTTTCAGTCTTGTCACATGCTGGCTTGTGGGCGTCCTCTGTCTGCCTGCAGGAGGTCAAGATTAGTATTTTTATATTAAGGAACCGGCACCCCAGGATGTCAGATGGACCACTGGAGGGTGAATTGATAGTCCCGTGATGAGCCACTAGTCAGAGTGGGAGGTCCAGGCAGGGTCCCCACGTCGCTTGGAGTGTGGCCACTGATGCTCTGGCCAGGCGGGCCAATGCCATCAATCTTCCTGGACAGATCTTGTTTTGCTGTTCTGTTGCCTCTTTGCACAGACAGCAAGGGACAATAAAGGTTAGTCATTCTGCACTCAGGTAACTTTGCTCACTTGTTTGTATCTAAATATGCCTTTTAGGTAAACATCGTGCCATCCTGCTGGCACGTAACCACCAAGACCGTCACGTATGGTTTATGGCCCAGTGCCATTAAATGATGTTTCTTGTGAGCTACAACTGGCCAACTTTTTTCCCAAACTGCATCACAAATTAAAATCTTCTAGTCTTTATAATGGCTGAAACCAATGTTTCCAAATCATTTTCAGTGCTAGTTCAACTGTGTCTTGCTTTCTATGTGCTAACCAGTTTACAATCTACTTTTCTACAATTCCTACTGCTCAACACCAGAATACCAAAGTAATTTCTTAAGACCAAAGTTCAGAACTGAAAGGATAGAAAAGTTTGAAAGTATTATTTAAATCTTACATTTCAATAAACATGAGTCTGGTTTTGGCCTTTTCTTACTAGAATGCAGCACTGTTTATTGTTGGCATCTGTGTCATTGATGTGGTTATTTCGTTTCTAACGTCTTGCCACATGCTGGCTGCTCTCCTGAGGAGCGGCATTGCAGGCTTTGGTTACCTGTTTAAGCCAGGCACGATGGCAGTGCCTAGCTGTCCTTACCGGCCCTGGGACTTCAAGCAAATTACTCAGCATCTCTGAATGTGTTTGCTCCCGAGTCAAATGGGGCTGCCCTGTTGAGGGTGCTTGTGCAAGTGCTACCTAACAGTGACAGATGCCTTTGGGGGTGGCCTGCGTGTGTCAAGGGATCTACTCAACATTTTTCTCACTTGGAACTAACTCATTGGTGCCCTGTTAGCCAGGGGCTTCCTCAGGGCCCCCCTGAAGAGCCGACTGCCTCAGACCGTCAGTGTGATCCTTCCCTAGCAGTCTTAGGGCCAATGCACCCCTGCTTCTTAAAGCTTAAGACTCCTCGAGTGTTGAAGGGAGGTTGCTTCAACAAACTGTTGAGCTGTCTTTCTTAAATTAGAAGCCCAAACCAAAAGCCACACTCAGCCATACTCAGCACTGGCCTTCTTACCTGCAGTGGTTGGTGAATTCACATCCCTAAAAATGATCCTCTTCAGGGTAGGAAGTATCTTTGTTTTCTCCTTAGGGGTTGGGAGCAGGGTGGGATGGTGGGAAAAAGAAGTCCATTAAACCAACCAGTATTCCACAAATGTTGGGATGTTCCCCGCAGGCTTCAAGTAGATGAGAGTAGAACCCAAAGTCAGGTCTAAACCCCCTCATGAGAACCTCCCGCTGGAACATTCTCAGCCCAAGTGACACAGTGGCTATTGAGCATTGGGCAAAAGTTCAGTAAGCCAACTAGTGTCCAGAAAACCTGTGTTCCCCCCTACCCCCAGCAGATGGCATTCCCACTGCTGAGGAAGCCGGCCGTTCCTGAGTGTAGCCCATTGGACCTCCAGCCATTAGGAAATGTGCTCCTTCTTGTGCTGTTCCTCAGACTCTGATTTGCAGGGCAACAGGGCAGTCATCTTTTTTTTTTTTTTTATAACTTGTAAGTTCAGGGGGACATGTACAGGTTTGTTAGGTAGGTAAACTTGTGTCATAGGGATTTGTTGTACGGACTATTTTGTTCCCCAGGTACTAAGCCTACTACCAATTATTTTTTCTAATCCCCTTCCTCTTCCCAGCCTCCACCTTCCAGTAGGCCCCAGTGTGTGTGGTTCCCCTCTGTGTCCATGTATTCTCATCATTTAGCTCCCACTTACAAGTGAGAACATGCTGTCTATGGTTTTCTGTTCCTGCATTAGTTTGCTAAGGATAATGGCCTCCAGCTCCATCCATGTCCCTGCAAAGGACATGATCTTGTTCTTTCTTATGGCTGCATAGTATTCCGTGGTGTGTATGTACCACATTTTCTTTTTCCAGTCTACAATTAGTGGGCACTTAGGTTGATACCATGTCTTTGCTATTGTGAATAATGCTGCAATGAACATATGTGTGCATGTATCTTTATGATACAGCAATTTATATTCCTTTGGATATTTACCTGCTAATAAGATTGCTGGGTTAAATGGTAGTTCTGTTTTTAGGTCTTTGAGGAATCACCACACTGCTTTTTGCAATGATTGAACTAATTTACATTCCCACTAACAGTGTAAAAGTGTTCCTTTTTCTCTGTGACCTCACCAGCATCTGTTCTTTTTTGACTTTTTAATAGTAGCCATTCTGACTGGTGTGGGATGGTATCTCATTGTGGTTTTGGTTTGCATTTCTCTAATGACCAGTGATGCTGAGCTTTTTTTCATGTTTGTTGGCCACATGTATGTCTTATTTTGAAAAGTGTCTGTTCATGTCTTTTGCCCACTTTTTATTGAGGTGGGTTTTTTTCTTGTAAATTTGTTTAAGTTCCTTATAGATACTGAATATTAGACCTTTGTCAGATGCAGAATTTGCGAAAATGTTCTGCCATTCTGTAGGTTGTCTGTTTACTCTGTGGATAGTTTCTTTTGCTGTGCAGAAGCTCTTTAGTTTATTTAGATCTCATTTGTCAACTTTTGCTTTAGTTGCAATTGCTTTTGGTATCTTTGTCATGAAATCCTTGCCTGTTCCTATGTCCAGAGTGGTATTGCCTAGGTTGTCTTCCAGAGTTTTTATAATTTTGGGTTTCACATGTTAAGTCTTTAATCCATCTTGAGTTGATTTTTGTATATGGTGTAAGGAAGGGATCCAGTTTCAATCTTCTTCACCAGCCAGCCGGTTATCCCAGCAGCATTTATTGAATAAGGAGTCCTTTCCCCATTGCTTGTCATTTGTCAACTTGGTCAAAAATCAGATGGTTGCATGTGTAGTGGCCTTATTCTTTGGCTCTCTATTCTGTTCCTCCATTGGTCTATATGTCTGGTTTTTTTTTTTACCAGTACCATGCTGTTTTGGTTACTGTAGCCCTGTAGTATAGTTTGAAGTCAGGTAGCATGATGCCTCCAGCTTTCTTCTTTTTGCTTAGGATTGCCTTGGCTATTTCAGCTCTTTTTTGGTTCCATATAAATTTTAAAATGTTTTTTTATAGTTCCGTAAATAATGTCAATGGCAGTTTAATAGGAACAACACTGAATCTATAAATTGCTTTGGGCAGTATGGCCATTTTAACAATATTGATTCTTCCTATCCAGGAGCATGAATTTTTTTTCCATTTGTTGGTGTCATTTCTTTAAGCAGTGTTTTGCAGGTCTTCTTGTAGAGCTCTTTCACCTCCCTGGTTAGCTGTATTCCTAGGTATTTTATTCTTTTTGTGGCAATTGTGAATGGGATTCTGTTGCTCATTTGGCTCTTGGCTTGACTGTTGTTGGTGTGTAAGAATGCTAGTGATTTTTGTATGTTGACTTTATAGAAGTTGTTTATAAGCTGAAGGATCTTTGCAGAAGTTGTTTATCAGCTGAAGGAGCTTTTGGGCTGAGACTATGGGTTTTTCTAGATATGGGGTCATGTCATCTGCAAACAGGGATAGTTTGACTTCTCTCTTCCTATTTGGATGCCCTTTATTTCTTTCTCTTGCCTGACTGCTCTGGCCAGAACTTTCAATACTATGTTAAATAGGAGAGAGGGCATCCTTGTCTTGTGCTAGTTTCCAAGGGCAATGCTTCCAGCTTTTGCCCATTCAATATGATATAGGCTGTCGGTTTGTCATAGATCACTTATTTTGAGGTATGTTCCCTCAATACCTCATTTATTGGGAGTTTTTAACATGAAGTTGTGTTAAATTTTATTGAAAGCCTTTTCTGCATCTATTGAGATAATTGTCTTTGGTCTTTAGTTCAGTTTATGTGATGAATCACATTTATTCATTTGCGTATGTTGAACCAACCTTGCATCCCAGGGATAAAGCCTACTTGATCATGGTGGATAAGTTTTTTGATGTGCTGTTGGATTTGGTTTGCCTGTATTTTGTTGAGGATTTTTGTGTCAATATTTATCAAGGATACTGGCCTAAAGTTTGCTTTTTTTGTTGTGTCTCTGCCAGGTTTTGGTATCAGGGTGATGCTGGCCTTATAGATGAGTTAGGAGTCCCTCCTACTCAATTTTTTAGAATGGTTTCAGTAGGAATGGGTACCAGCTCTTCTGTGTATGTCTGGTAGAATTCAGCTGTGAATCCATCTGGTCCTGGGCTTTTTTTGTTAGATAGGCTATTTATTACTGATTCAATTTCAGAGCTCATTATTGGTCTGTTCAGGGATCCAGTTTCTTCCTGTTTCAGTTTTGGAGGGTGTATGTGTCTAGGAATTTTTCCATTTCTTCCAGATTTTCTAGTTTATGTGCATAGAGGTATTAATAATATTCTCTGATGATGATTTGTATTTCTGTGGGGTCAGTGGTAGTATCCCCTTTGTCATTTCTAATTGTGTTTATTTGGATCTTCTCTCTTCTTTATTAGTCTAGTTAGCAGTCTATCTGCTTTATTAATTTTTTTTCAGAAAACCAACTCCTGGATTTGTTCATCTTTTGAATTTTTTTGTGTGTCTTTATCTCCTTCAGTTCAGCTCTGATCTTGGTTATTTCTTGTCTTCTGCTAGCTTTGGGGTTGGTTTGCTCTTGGTTCTCTAGTTCTTTTAGTTGTGATATTAGGTTGTTAAATTAAGATCTTTCTAACTTGATGTGGGCATTTAGTGCTATAAATTTCCCTCACAACACTGTCTTAGCTGTGTCCCAGAGATTCTGGCATGTTGTATCTTTGTTCTTATTAGTTTCAGAGAACTTTGTGATTTCTGCCTTAATTTCATTATCTACCCAAAAGTCATTCAGGAGCAGGTTATTCAATTTCTTTGTAATTATATGGTTTTCAGCAATTTCCTTAGTCTTGATCTCTAATATTATTGTGCTGTGGTCTAAGAAAGCGGTTGTTTTGATTTCAGTTCTTTTGCATTTGCTGAGGAGTATTTTGTGTCCAATTATGGGGCTGATTTTAAAATATGTCTCATGTGCAGATAAGAATGTATATTCTGTTGTTTTGAGGTAGAGAGTTCTGTAGATGTCTATCTGGTCCATTTGGTCCAATGTTGAGTTTGGGTCCTGAATATCGTTGCTAGTTTTCTTCCTTGATCTGCCTAATACTATCAGTAGGGTGTTGAAGTCTCCCACTATTATTGCATGGGAATCTAAGTCTCTTTGAAGGTCTCTAAGAACTTGCTTTATGAATCTGGGTGTCCTGTGTTGGGTACCTATATATTTAGGATAGTTACATCTTCTTGTTGAATGGAACCCTTTACAATTATGTAATGCCCTTGTCTTTTTAAATTTTTGTTAAAGTCTGTTTTGTCTGAAATTAGGATTGCAACCCCTGCTTTTTTTGTTTTCCATTTGCTTGGTAGATTTTTCTCCATCTCTTTATTTTAAGCCTATGGGTGTCACTACATGTGAGATGGGTCTCTTGAATACAGCATACCAATGGGTCTTGGATTTTGTTTTGTTTTGTTTTGTTTTTTGTTTTTTTGTTTTTAATCCAGCTTGCCACTCTGTGCCTTTTATTTGGGGCATTTAGCCCATTTACATTCAAGGTTGGTATTGATATGTGTGGATTTGACCCTGCCATCATGATGTTAGCTGGTTATTAAGACTTGTTTGTGTGGTTGCTTTATAGAGTCACTGTTCTGTGTACGTCAGTATATTTTTGTGTTGACTGGTAACAGTCTTTCTTTTTCATATTTAGTGCTCCTTTCAAGATCTCTTGTAAGGCGGGCCCAGTGGTAACAAACTCCCTCAGCATTTGCTTATCTGAAAAGGATCTTATTTCCCCTTCTCTTATGAAGCTTAATTTGGCTGGATATGAAATTCTTGGTTGAAGATTATGTGTCTTGAGGAACGTTGAATATAGGCCCCCAATCTCTTCTAGCTTGTAGAGTTTCTACTGAGAGGTCTGCTGTTAGCCTGATGGGATTCCCTTTGTAGGTGACTTTCCCTCTCCCTCTAGCTGACTTTAGCATTCTTTCTTGCATTTCAACCTTGGAAAATCTGATGATTACGTGTTGTGGGATTGATCTTATTTTGAAGTATCTTACTGGGGTTCTCTGCATTTCCTGAATTTGAATGTTGGCCTCTCTAGCTAGTTGAAGAAGATTCACTCCTGTGGCAGTGTTGGATGCATGCAGACATGCTTACTGACAGGGCAGGGAAGGCAAAACCTGCTGGCACACACACTCTGGCAAAGCAATGTTGGGGGTGGCTATGGGCCTTGGGGAAGCTGCTGTTGGGGGAGGAAGCAAGCAGGTTGCTGCATGGCCGTGGGGGACACCTCACTGGAATTCTCCATTAGTCAGCCATGGTGCACCAGTGCAGGATGTGGGCCCCCAAGGTAGCTGAGGCTTTCCTGCAAGTGGACTCAGCCAGGCTGGGGCCTCAGGAGAGGCCAGCAGACCAAGGGCACTGAGGTCCAGACTGGCCCTGTCTGATGGGCAAGACAGCTCTGCAGAGTTCAGGTCTGACAGTTCGCAGAGGGCTAAAGTCTCCTATGAGAACAAGTCGAGCCTAGGAGGCTGGGCATCCCTGACCATGCTCCACTGCAGATGCTCCCACACCAAACCCTCTGGGCTCTGCATCAGTTGGCATGCCCCACTACCACTTCTCTAAGCAGCTCTCCCTGCAAACTCGAGTGTCCACAGTGGTCGAAGGGTCTCCTGCCAGGATTCCAGGTGCCCGTGGTGAGAGCAGGTTGCTCCTTGTCAGTTCAATTCACCCATTACCCCAGAGTCACTGGGGGCCAGGAGTGAGTCCTGGTGTGCAGTAGCCCTTCCATTCAGGGTTCCCAACTTCCTCCCCATTCAGCTCAGCTTCTGTATCTTCCCTCCATGTACTCTCACAGCCTTCCCTCTGAAGATCTGTTAGGACTGTGCCAGTGGTCTTGGTCCCTCAGTGGCAGCTGTTCCACCTGGCTGCATCTAGTTGGCCTTCTTGCCCCAAAAAATCTCTATCTGCATTTTTAACATGCTGCTGGAAGATTCCAATGAGGTGGTTTGGACCTGCACTTTGGGTTCTAGTCTAGTCTACTTGAAACCTCTAGGGAAACACGTTGCTCTCAATGCATGCCATCTACAGCATGTCCTTCTCCTTGGGCCATATAGAATAGGGGTCCCTAACCCCTGGACCATGGACCACTACTGGTCCATGGCCTGTTAGGACCCAGGCTTCACAGCAGGAAGTGAGCAGCAGGCAAGCGAGTGAGCATTACTCCCTGAGCTCCGCCTCCTGTCAGATCCGTGGCAGCATTAGATTCTCATAGGAGTGCAAACCCTATTGTGAACTGTGCATGCAAGGGACCTAGGTTGTGCACTCGTTATGAGAATGTAACTAATGCCTGATGATCTGAGATGGAACAGTTTCATCCCAAAACCGTCACACACACACACACACACACACACACACACACAGGTTTGTGGAAAAGTTGTCTTCCACAAAGCCAATCCAGGTTGGGGACTACTGATATAGAAAGAAATGTCTGATCTTTAAGGCCCAGAGTGATTATTTTTCTCTTTTGTTAACTGTCTTACTTGCCTTAACCTCCATCAGGTTTCCCACAGCACAGCTACTAGCCATACAAACTCACTGGAAAGACTCGTGCTGTTCTATCTTTGGCAGATCCTGCTACCTGACACTAAATGACTATTGAAGATAGACAAGCCTGACAGCTGGTGTGAAAGCTCGCCTTTGACAGCTTTCAAAAAATCCCTGAGCTCCTCTCCAGTGGCCAGCATTTGGTCAGGAACCAGGGCACCAGGGCCTTGTCCTCAAGCATCTGCTGGTTGGTGGGGGCATGTGGCCTTCCAAGATTAGGTCATGGCCCAAGGAAGCCCCTAGTCCAGAAAGTCAGTGGACTTGTGTAAAGCAAAGGCCTGTGCTCATGGTGGTGGAGTGCGCCTCCATCGGTGCACACCCTGCATCTGAGCCTGGGTGCTCCTCACCAGCGGCTTGACCTCCAGCCAGTGCTGAGAACTCTGTACCTCCAAAACACTGGTGCAGAGCTGCATTTTTTAATACAGCCATTTGAGGGGGATATTAGAGTTGTTAGGCGTTGTTGTACATTTAGACAATGTAAACTGCGTAATGTGAAATACTTAGCACATTTGTATAGCTGGTTAAATGGGCTTAATGAAAAGGAAAAAAATAGGTTAATGTGCTAAATTATTATCTAAATGAAGCTAGTAGTGACTTATACAAGATTTCAGACTACATCTACATGTAGTACCATAGAGACACTGTGTTCAAATGATTTTAACCTAGAACTCCATCCAGTCCCACAGGGAATGGGATGTCAGTAATATTCATTTCCACAAGTGCCAGGGAGGTCCTGTCCTGTGCAGTGAAGAGCAGAGAATAAAAAGATGAGGGAGGCTTGACATTGAGGTAATGAAACTAAAATACTTGCCCAATCAGAATGCAAATATCCGGCCAGGCACGGTGGCTCACGCCTGTAATCCCAGCACTTTGGGAGGCCAAGGTAGGTGGATCACTTGAGGCCAGGAGTTCGAGACCAGCCTGGCCAACATGGCAAAACCCCACCTCTACTAAAAATACAAAAATCAGTGGGGCGTGGTGGCGCACACCTGTAATCCCAGCTACTCAGGAGGCTGAGGCTGGAGAATCGCTTGAACCTGGGAGGTGGAGGTTGCAGTGAGCTGAGATCACATCACTGCACTCCAGCTTGGGCGAAAGAGCAAGACTCCATCTCAAAAAATAAAAAAATAAAAACTGCAGACGTCCAAATAGCATTCATATCCCGTTAGTTCTATGACAGTGGTGGCTTGAGGTGTTGGAGAATAACAGGTGCTGTCTTTGTTAAAGGTGCATTTGGAATTTGTCTTTGGGAACTGCCCACCCATATACTGTGGGGTAGCCTTGGATTATCTGTGGTGGAAAATCTTTCAGGTTGTGCTTTTTTTGAGGTAGGGAAAGTGATACTGGTTACAAATCCATTTAGAAATAAATCATTTGGAGGAATCTTAATTTTCTTCACTTTTTTATACATCTTTTTTATTATCTGGATGAAAAATATAGAGAAAAAAGTTGAATATTTTTAAATTGCATGGAAACCAAATTTAAGTTGAGTAAAAGTAGATATTCATATTGGTTATACTGGTGGTAGGAAAATAGGAGAAAGATTTCTTCTCTGGAATTTGTTTGGTTTCCCGGTGGTATTAGAAAATAATTTTCTGGCAGGGTATAGTGGCTCACACCTGTAATCCCAGCAATTTGCAGAATCTCTTGAACCCAGAAGGTGGAGGTCACAGTGAGCCCAGATTGCACCATTGCACTCCAGCCTGGGCAACAAGAGAGAAACTCCATCTCAAAAAAAAAAAAGAAAATAATTTTCTCTTTAGTCAATATTTTCACCAAAAGTGCTTGTTAACATGATTTGCAAATTTCAGAATGTAATGAAGTCAATGAACAGATTGGTGTTGCAAAATACTGAATTCCTAATCTAGGTAATCTAGAAAAAATGTTTTGGTTCCCTTCTTAGTGAAGTCTACCATGACTATCCCATTAATAATGAAACTTGCCCTCTTCTCTTTCGTCTTTCCCCTGTAGTACTTATCAACTTCTAACATGAATAATTTACTTACTAGGGTTATTATTCTCTCTGTCAACACACACACAGCTAGCATGAAGTTCCATACAGGCAGCGATATTTGTTTTGTTAACTGATGTAGCCTAAATAGACCAGTGCTTGGCATCTAGCAGGTGCTCAATAAATTAGTTTAAAAGCACTGAATGAATCAACCTGAGAAAAAGAGAACAGTGTACTCTGAGTCCTTTAATATCTGAAAATGCCTTTATATTGCCCTTGAAAACAAACGCTTGCTTAGCTGGACATGGTTCATGCATCACATTCTTTTCTTGCAAAATTCTACATAGTATTCTATCATCTTTTGGGATTTAGTCAAGCCAAGTCAGATGCCATGACTATCCTTGTGACTTGGGTCAAAGGCTCACTTGTGTCACTGATTCCTGCCTTTCTCATTTAGCGGCTGCCCCACACATCTGCCTCCAACTCCAGCACCACCTTTTTCCTTCATAAGGTCCTTACCCACCCGCTTGGTCCCCAGTGCATAAAATTTCCTATTCTCAACCTCCAGGCAATTGGTCTGTTTTCTTACTGCTTTCTGCCAGACTAAATAGTCATTTTTAATGGCACAGCCATCCTATAATTTCTTTCTTCTGAAGTCTTTCCTTTCTGAACCTCTGCTGTACTCTCATCACTTCACTGCCATCAAGGAAGGCTCACTGGTTCCCTCCTGTCCCATGGGGATAGAGGATGAGATCCAAACTAGCAGACAACCCAAGCCGCAGACTGCTAATGTGCTTCAACTTCCCTTCCAACCTCAGTTTCTCACATCTCCTAATTAGAAACTGTGTTTTCGAAATTCCACAAAGAGGCTTGGCACAGGCATTCACCTTTCCCTGTCGGGTTCATGCTCTTCCCCAGGCACTTTTGTGATATGGGGGACTTGCTCTGCCTTCAAGCCCTGATGTCCCAGCTCCTCCTTTCTCATGCTGCTCCTTCTCCTGGGAGACCAGCAGTATTTATATGGCACCAGGGCTACACTTGATTGTCGCTGGCCAGCTTTCCTTGTATCTCTCTGTGTCTTTTCTCCTCCATCAGACTATCAACAATTCGACTTGATATGATATTGCCATTTTTTATCAAAATGATTGAATATTCTCAATTTCATGGTTCACAAAAAACTTAAACTTTTCCCAAAGTTATTAATATGTACTCTCTGTACATGGTAGGTGCTTAACAGACATTTGTTGACTGATGAACAACAGGAAAAGAGAACCTATAAAATAAGGTAGCAGGCTTCTCTCTAGCTTAATTGGAGGTAAGCCAAACCCACTTTAAGTCACTAGAAAGGTCTTACCCACCCCTTAATTAAGCCAACGTTTAATGAAGCCAACTTAAGCATTAGCTAAAAAGTATATTCTAGGTTTCAGTGGTACTTTCATTTACCTTGAGTTTGCACATGCGAGCCTTGGAGAGGACAGACCACTGGGCCTCCTGTGTCTCCACCATTGCTGAAGACCATATGGCATCTGAGAATGAGCTCCACTGAGTTGGATCTTCAAGCCCAGGATGTCATTAGCTAGTGCTGTTATTTCTTATCTGTCTAAATCTACCACAGAACTTTTGAAAAATCCTTTAAGTTGGGTACCAGATGTGGTCCGTAATACTTTTTAAGATTGTAGGAAAATATGCATACCATAAAGTTTGCCATCATAACTACTTTTAACTGTACACAGCTCAGTGGTGGTAAATACATCCACACTGTTGTACAACCATCATCACCATCCATCTCCAGAACTTCTTCATTTTCACAAACAGAAACTCTGTCCCCATTAAACAACAACAACTCATCCCCAGCCCTGCAGCCCCCCAGCCCCTGGCAACTATCATTCTACTTTTTCTACGAATTTGACTATTCTAGGTACCTCATAGAAGTGGAATCATACAGTGTTTAACTTTTCTGCAACAGGCTTGCTTCACTTAGCATAATGTTCTCAAAGGTCATCCATATTGTAGCATGTGTCAGAATTTCCTTCCTATTTCAGGTTGAATAAT
The DNA here is from genome assembly GCF_000001405.40 of Homo sapiens. Taxonomy (NCBI): domain Eukaryota; kingdom Metazoa; phylum Chordata; class Mammalia; order Primates; family Hominidae; genus Homo; species Homo sapiens. The sequence goes on from NC_000002.12 coordinate 105,907,168, forward strand.
ATTCCATTCTACGGATAGAGCACATTTTGTTTATTCATCTTTCAGTGGACATTTGTGTGGCTTCCACCTTTCCAGCTACTGCCAATAATGCTGCTGTGAACGTGGGTGTGCAAATATCTGTTTGAGTTCCTGCTTTCAGTTCTTTGAGGTATGCAGCCGTAAGTGGAATTGCTGGATCATATGATAATGTTATTTTTAAATTTTTAAGGAGCTGCCAAACTGTTTTCCATAGCAGCTGTACCATTTTACTTCCTACTAACAGTGGATAAGCGTTCCAATTTCTCCACATCCTTGTCAACACTTATTTTCTGTTGTTGTTTTTTTTTTTCAGGGTAGCCATTCTAATGGGTATCACAATTGTGACACTTTTATAAAGTGCAGAGGAAGTGTCATTCCATTAGAACTTAATCTCACGTCTGTAACTGGATGTGGGAACTTAAACTTCAGTGTCTGCATATCCTCAAACCAACACACATCTTGGCATTAAAAAGTACATTCAACTTACATGATATAGTACCATCTTGAAAGATTAATTTGTAGCTACCTTAACCCACAGGTGACGTGCACGGAGTCCAGTTTACCCAAATTTGGAAAAGTGGAAATCTGAAAGAAAATTAGCAGAAGACTGGAGATTAGTTCTAAAAGTTGTTGCTAGAAGATAATTAGCATTTAAATTGGCCAAGTTGAGCAATAAAAATAAAAGTATTTTAAAAATTTTTGAGTATAAAAGTATAAAAGGAAAAATAAAAGTAGCCTTAACCATCACCATTTCCCCTCTGCCTGTAACTTTAATGGATTTAATCCTCTCGGATAGGAGCAGGCAACCCAGCCCCACTGGGACAGTTGGGCTGGAAAGTTTTATCTGTCTCTGCACACTTTAGACCCCCTTTCTCTTTCACGCACATCTGTAGCTCTTCATTGAGCCATTGTTGAGATGTTGGTTCCTGTGCTAGGCCATGGGTTGCAGTAGCAAAAAATATACACAGATCTCTGCCCTCAGGGAGCTTGCATTTTATGGGAATCCGTATATGAGAAAACAAATCATGCAAGTTATGGATTGATGGAGAAACAAAGTTGTGATGGAAAATGAGAGGGCCGGGTGTGGTGGCTCACGCCTGTAATCCCAGCACTTTGGGAGGCCAAGGCAGGGGGATCACTTGAGGTCAGGAGTTCGAGACCAGCCTGGCCCTGGTTCGAGACCAACATGGTGAAATCCCATCTCTATTAAAAATACAAAAATTAGCCAGGAGTGGTGGTGCCTGCCGTAATCCTAGCTACTCAGGGCTAAGGCAGGAGAATCGCTCGAACTGGGAGGCAAAAATGAGGTGGCTGCCTAACTTAATCAGGATGATTTAAAAACAAAAATAGAGAAATTTTATTCATTTATTTTTGTGTGTGTTGCCAAGATACAGACATAGAAATTTTATTTTTTTAGACAGGGTCTCACGTTGTCACCCAGGCTGGAGTACAGTGGCACAAACACGGTTCAGTGAGCCTCGACCTCCTGGGCTCAAGTGATACTCCCGCCTCAGCCCCACAAGTAGCTGGGACCAAAGATGCACACCACCATGCCCAGCTAATTTTTGTATTTTCTGTAGAGATGGGGTCTCACTGTGTTGCCCAGGCTGGTCTTAAACTCCTGGGCTCGAGGGGTCCACCCGCCTCGGCCTCCCAAAGTGCTGGGATTATAGGCGTGAGCCACCATACCTAACCCTGGAGTGAATTTTTAACACAGCCTCTTTGAAGAGTTACTATTTAACTCTTTAACATTTAGAGACTTCGAAGGAGCCAGTTATTCCCAAAGACAAAGCACGAAGCAGGACAGGCTCTGTGTGGGCCCTGAAGGAAATGGGGATAAACTTGGAGCATGCAGTGCTTGAAGGTAGTGTGGAAGGGGTCTGGCCAGCTTGAAGAAGGCTGAGGCAGAAATAGTTCGAAGTAGAAAAATGTTCATCAAGTGTTCAGTTTTAAATGTTCGTTTTGCCAAGTTTTAATCATGGTAAATCCGAGATGCTCTGAGCCCTAAAAGGGAGTTGTCAAAGACAGTTGCAATGTGCCAATCTTGGTACCAAATGTGGGACTTCTCGGGGTACAGATGGCATTTAAAGCCAAGGAAGTAAGTGGGCTGTCCCGGTAGAGGACACAGAGAAAGAGGAAGGGGAGGTTCAAAGCAATGTCCACTTAGACTTGGAGACTAAGAAGAGGATTAGAGGGACAGGAAGAGAGAGAGAGGGAGGGAGGGCCAGACGGAAGTCAAGTCAGATGAGGATAGAGACAAAACCCCCTGGGACAGCAACAGAAAAGCCAGTGACCTTGACATGAGCAGTTTGGGTGGAGCAGGGGGAAAGACAGATTGAAGAAGATTGAGGAGGGACCGGAGGATGAAGAAAAGTTTGGAACTGAGAAAGAGAAATAGCTGGAGGGCTTGAGGGGCATTTCCTGAGATGGAGACACCAGAGCTTGTTTACTCGCTTGGGCAAACAGTCCTGGAGACGGAGAAGCGAAGACGGAAGAGGGGGTTCTAAAGAGGGAGGGCATCAGAGCTGCATCAGAGGAGGCTGGGACAGTGGCACAGCGCGACTGCTGCTGCTACCTGGAAGAAAAAGGAATGGGAGATGTAGCGGCCTGGGGATTTGATGACCAGAGGAGGCTGGGGGGCCTGTCTGATGGCCTCTGGTCCCCCAGGAAGTCTGAGGCTGTCAGTGGGAGAGTTTTGTGTCCTCAAGGATGGGTTTTGAATGGGTTTTGATTACCCTAAAAAAAGCTGAGTTAAAAACTAAAGATACAATTACCAAACCCCGGTTCTTCCTTAAGTTTCTAAATTTGGCGTGCAGATCTTTTTACTCTATTTATAAACTTAGCATTTAGTAAGTCCTTTTCATTACTTGGATTAATGTCTACTTTCATTTTTAAATTGAATTAAATAAACTCCTTTAAGTATTTTAACTACTTTTATGTGTCTATTAATTCCATTTCCTTTCTGAAGCACTTAAGCTACCTTATTAACAAATAAACCTTTCCAAGTACTTAAGTAATCCTTGGAATTCTAATAAACTTAGAAATATAGTGAGTCTTAATTCTCTTAAATTCTCCAATGCTGTATATTTAGTAAGATTATAACCTAGAATAAAAAGCCTAAGTTCAATTATGCATTTTAAATTAACAGGCCCAATTATCTTAAATTTTATAAATACATGAACTACCAAATATGCACAAGATTTTTAATCTCAAAAATATTAATACCATCAGTTTGATTCTCTTAAACATTTCTACATTTAACTCAAAATCTCCCTGGAATTAGGAAATGTTTACATACAAAGAAATTATTGTCATCCCCAACAACGTTGGTATAACTTTTCTAGGAGGTTTCTGAGTTTACCTTCTCAGCTGCTGGGATTTTTCAATTAAAAACAAAAATCAGAAAGGTCCTCGACCCAGACACTGGCTGGGGTCTTGCCTACAACCCCTGGCAGGCTAAGTGTGAGCTCCTCCGAGGCTTGGCTGTCCTCTCGCAGCAGGTGCTCCCTGCCACCCCCTGGATCCTGATGACCCAGTTGCTGTTTCCCTAGTCATGACTGTTTTCTATTACCTGCACTTTATTACATGCAACTAATCTCTTTTCTAGGCCATTCTATGGGGGAGTCTTTTCATATTTGTCCTCCTGCTAGGGCCATAATTCTTAAATAGATTATCAGGCACCCAGTTGACTCTCTTATGGCATTGCTTGGCTCTAAGGTCCTTGGGTCTAATGATAGAGGCAGGGCCATCAGACGAAAGGGAAGTTCTGAGAAGGCTGAGTGGGGAGGGGCTTGCGGAGGCGAAAAGGCTAAAACGGCCTTCAGGAGCACGAGGGTTTTATTGAACTTATGGGCTGGGGTGCCCAGATGGCTCCACGAGCACCCACGCTCCACTGTTAGTTCTGTTTGTTCTGGGCTTACAAGTGTTGCAACACCTGTTATTTCAGGCTTACGTGTTACTGTAAGAATATAGCTGCACTCAGATGGCTTCCAAATGTCATTCCACGCTCACTCCATTTTAAAGAAAACCAAACTGGAAGTTGTAGAGGAGCCTTTATAGTGACTTAATAAAATAAAACAAGAATGCAGAACTAATCAGCCGACCCATTCTCAAAGGAAAGGCATGAGCCTAACTCAAAAGACTGGCAAATTAATCCCCATTTCTATGTTGTTAGCTAAAATCATGGTTCAAAGAACTCCCAGCTTTAACTTACTTTTATTACATTTTGAACTTTTTCTACTTAAGTTACCAATTGCCAGACCAAAGCACATTGGATAAAATAAACTCTATTATAGTTATGAAGATAAACTGTGGGATATAAATTTCATATGATGGAAAGTAAAGAAGAATTGATGAAAAAAAAAGAGAAAATGCCAGGGATCAATGAATTGGGAGGTCTTAGTGAGATTGAAAGATTAAGTAAACGAACCAGAAGGACAACTGACTGTGGCTGGAAAACAGGATGTATGAATTGCACATTTGGAGGTGGTGCAGTTGGTAACGAAGAAGGAAGAAAGGAAAAAGTCATTGGCGAGAAGAAAGTCAAGAAACTGGATTAATCAGGATGACCTTGAGCCAATTCTTGCTCTTTAAAAATGTACTTCAAAGATTTGCACTCATGTGATTATCAAGACTCACTGCTTCTTTGCCTGGGGAAGTTGTGTGTGATGGGTTGATTTTATGTGTCAACCAGACTGGGCTAAGGAGTGCCAGATATCTCATTAAACATTATTTCTGGATGTGGCTATGAGGGTGTTTCTGGAAGAGATTAGCATTTGACTCAGTGGATAGAGTAAAGAACATCCACTGTCACCAATGTGGATGGGCACCATCCCTTCCACTGAGGGCATGAGTAGAACAAAAATGGCAGAGGAAGAGAGAATTCTCTCTCCTTCTTGAGCTGAGCCATCCATCTTTTCCTGTCCTTAGGCCTTGGAGCTTCTGGTTTTCAGGCCTTCTAGTTCCAGGGTGTACACCAGCAGCACCCCCAGGTTCTCAGGCCTTTGGCCTCAGGCTGAATTACACCACCAACTTTCCTGGGTCTCCAGTATGCAGATGGTAGATTGTGTGGCTTCCTAGCCTCCATAATCATGTGAGTCAATTATCTATATACTATCATTTCCGTTTCTTTGGAGAACTGTGACTCATACAGTGCAGAAACACACTCATGGAACATTTTGAGCTAGAAGGTGCCTTAGAGATTGCTTGGACCCACACTCTTATTTTATAAGAAACAAAACTAGGCATAGAGAGATGGTGGGAGGGAGCAGCATAGGAAGAGCGTTCAAATGGGGAGAAGTATAAAGAACAGCTATAGCCTTCTCCAGACAAATCCCTGGGGTGGACGTCTTTCAGAGGGAGTGTGCCATGGCAAGGGGCTCTTGAGTTTTTGAAGACTCAATCTTGCTGGCTACCAGAAAAGGCCTGTGGCAGCCTGGTCTGCCAACCTCAGTACCGATTTCAGGTTGAATTTCCTTCTGTGGGTCTGCCTCAGTGGTCCTCGTGCATGTCCGAAGGTCTCTGAGATGGTGGAACTCTGCTGGCCGCCAAGCTTGGTTGCTTCATTACCATGACAGCAGAATCAAAGCCTAGGTCACAGGTCTGAGCCTGAAATGAGCACACTCATTGCTGGTGGGAGTGAGAGGTAAAGGGGTCATCCTGCAGTTGGGAGAACACAAGTGTATCCTAGGCTGATGGAGAGGAGGTTGCATGCTGCTTGAATTGCAAGGGACATCCATGAGCATGACTGGGAAGGAATAGATGGGAAACTTCCTAATAAGTGTTCTCATCTTTCACCATCAACCTGAATACTGTTATTTTACACCCCTCAGTTTCTGACCCTTGAAGGCCTGTGGACTTGAAAAAAAGCACGTTCTCAGGAAGCATCTCCAATGTTCTTGAGCGTTCTTGAATGTTATCCTGAATAGACAGCCAGGCATTTGGAGAGAGGGTCCTCCATCTCCCCTGAAGGCCACTATCAGGAGTTCATGTGTTTTGAAAGTGGGTCAGACCTATTCATCCTCTCAGGCCATAGCTCCCCCTCTGCAGTAGTCTCTAGGGAGGCTTTGTTTCTGTGGACAGCGCAGTGCTGGAGTCACTGGGAAGAGCTGGTCCATCAGTTTGTGTCGCTGCCAATCGTGAGAACAGCAGGACCTTGTGAGTTGCACTCTGGGCTTCTTCAAGGAAACCATGGCCCTGACTGATGTGGAGGGAGCACATGAAAGCGACTTTCGGATCCAAGGCCAGCCAGCTCTCCACAGTAGAGTCTGGCCCTGAAACCAGGAGCCCGGCACTAACAACATCAGCTGGAGCTTCCAGAGGGTGAGATCGTGGCCGACTGTGGCTCTATGATTTCTGAACCACCTTTTCTAACTCCCAGAGACTAAGAGACTGTGGAACACATTTTCATCTCTTCACTGTGTCATTTTCTCACTGGAATAAGTCTCCTAATGGGTCCCCTTGCCTCTGTCTCAAACTCCCCTTTCTGTCTTCCACACAGTTGCTGCCTTGGGTGGAAGTGGGGGTTACATTTCCTAAAAATGGCTCATTCCCACAGGCTCTTTCAAAACCTTGCCATTCAACCACCAAGAGATGGAGTCTCAATCCCCTGTCCTTGAAACTGGGTAGTCTTTGAGACTGTCTTTACTAATATAGTGAGGAAGAAGTGATGCTATGTGACCTTGGAGGTGAGGTCAAAAAGATGATGCAGCTTCTGCCCAGCTGTCTTGGGACATGCACCCTGGTAACACAGCTGCTGTTTGGTGAGGGAGGCCAGGCCCAGGGAGAGGCCAATGAGGAAAGGAGCAAAGTTCCTGGCCTTCAGCACTGGGTGGACCCACAGATGACCACCAGTACCATGACCTTGAAAGCAGATCCCCCCACCCTCAGCCCAACCAACTAGGAATACCACGTGGAGCAAGGACAAGCATTTCCTGATGAGCTCTGCTCAAACTGCAGATTCATGAGCAATAGAAATGACTGCCATTAATTTCAGCCATTGTTTTGGATGGTCTGTTATGCAGCAGTGGATAACCAGAGCACCAGGTACACACCGCCTCCCTGCTCATTTCCCTGGTTATAAGAACCTTCATGGAGGTAGGTAACCCAGCTCTGTCCACCTCAACGGCCTTATCTCGCCAACCCTCCAGTCATAAGGTTTTATTTTCAGACACCTGATCTTGCCACACTCTCCCTTCTGCCTGGAAAGTTGATCTTTCTGTCTCCAATTACCACTCTTTTCTACCTAACTCCCATTTGTCTTCAAGACTCAGTTCAGGAATCTCCCACCTGAGAGACTGGATCCACTCCTCATTTTGAGCTGCATACTCCTCCCATGTGTGATCCCCCATAGATCTGTGCACATTTTCATTGTAGCATTTACCACACCATGCTGTAATGTATGTGTTCCTCCCATAGATGATGAGCTTCTTGTGTGAAGGACATGTCCTATTTGTGTATGTAACCCCAGAGAGGAGCACAGCACCTGTCATAATGTACATGGTCAGTAAATATTTAATGAATAACTACTTCCAGACATAGGGTCTGATGCCATGAAGCCCTACTGTAGCTGGAAGAAGACGTGATACTGTCTGCCTGAGATAGGTCCCAAGCAGGTTTCTGCGGCCCATCTTCTTTGGTGGTTTATATCTGCTTTTACTCAGTCAAGTTCTTTCCTGCCTGTCATCAGAGCTACATTTCTTGCTTTCTAGCTCCTGCATTCAAGATGAGTCCAGGCCATATTGTCAGCACAGTCTTGATTTTAGAACCCCAGCCCCAGCAGTGTCTACTACTTAGTCTAGTTTATCCACAGGTGCCCAAGGCACTGTGTGTGGAACACAGGGTGGTGGCTTGTGGGTGCTTCTGACTCCAGACTGACAAGTTACCTAGATTCTACCTGTCACTTGAGGTAGGCTGTGGTAAACAAAAGTAGCATTCAACAAGCAGGTGACCAAACGACCAATGATTATCAAAACCTAAAGAAAACAGTCTAAAAATAGAAGAACTGACAACTGAGGAAACAGAGCTAATTCAAGAAACACTCACTTGAAAATGAATGCAACTAGTATTTTCAGATTTGAGAGAATGCTGATTCACAAAATGGAAGAAGCATAGCAGATGGAGTGGCTGCTGGCATCTGGAAATGTTCTTGACCTTAACAATGCAGAAGAGAAACTACAGATGAAAAGTTAGTCAGTGAAAAGGGGAAGACTGCTGAAGAAAAGCCCAAGAGAGCCTTTCCGTAGTTGATAAACAGTGGCTAAAAGTCTAAGTAAGTTGCCTAGAGTTAGCAAGGTAACCTATAGAGAAAGAAAAGAGTGATGTGAGAAACTGAAAGGGTGGGAAAGGGGAGGTGAAATGTGGTGTAAATAAATGAAATCCTCACCCATCTTAGCAGAAATCTCATGTCCAAAACAGATAGATCTAGAAATAGGCCAGTTAATTAAAGACATAGAAGCACCTATAAACTAAGGTTGGGAGATAAGGAAGATGAGAGTGTTTTTCCCCTTCAAATGTATTTGAATCTTCTGAGTCTTCTCACAATAAAAATGGCTTACCTGTGTAATAAGAACAAATAAATGTATAATGAAATACAAGTACATTTGCATTATGCATACATGTTGCTACTATAAACCAAAAAGTACCTGAGACAGGTCTCAAACAATTTAAAAGTTTATTTTGCCGAGGATAAGGACATGCCCAGGAAAAAGGAACACAAAGCCACAGGAACAGTCTGTGGTCCATGTCTTTTTCCAAAGATGATTTTGGGGGCTTCAATATTTAAAGGGGGAAAGTGGGCTGGAGGGGAGAGAGGGAGGGTATGGTCACGTTATTGAATCCATGGGTTGCAAGAGAAAAGGGGCCAGGTAAGGTGGCTCATGCCTGTAATCCCAGCACTTTAAGAAGCCTAGGCGGGTGGATTGCTTGAGGTCAGGAGTTCAAGACCAGCCTGGCCAACATGGTGAAACCCTGTCTCTACTGAAAATACAAAAATTGGCCAGGCATGGTGGTGGGTGCCTGTTATCCCAGCTACTCTGGAGGCTGAGGCAAGAGAATCACTTGACCCTGGGAGGTGGAGTTTGCAATGAGCCGAGATTGTGCCATTGCACTCCAGCCTGAGTGACAGAGCGAGACTCCGTCTCAAAAAAAGAAAAGGAAAAAAGAGAAAAGGAGCAGGTAGGGGAATAGTCAATTAGATATTCCTCTCATGCTCAGTAAATTGGCACTTTATGTAAGGATAAGATGAACATAGAGTAGCTACCTGGGAAGCTACTTTTTATCTGTAGCTATCTGCTTAGGAACAAAAGGAAAGGTCTTGCATTACTCCACTTTCAGCTTAGTTTTTTCCTTTTGGCATCGTTAATTGGGATCCCAAGATTTTATTTTCCTTCGACACTGCCCATGTAAATTCAAGTATGCAGGCAGAGAGAGCTGGGGAAGGAAGGAGAATGAGAGAAATGACATTGAAATCCTGTAGTGGAGGTGACTCCACTGCTCCTCTGCTGCGGGCATGGAATTTGCCTCCAGGTGAGTGTGAGGGAGGAAATGGAAGCCCACTCTTCTCTTACTGGGTCTCAGATGTTTGCCACACCGGGTGGGATCTTGATGCTTAGAGATAAGAGTTTTAGTAAAACATGGTGTCCTAAACACAGCCTTTAGGGCGCTAATAGCACTCATGGTCCTCAATATCCAGATGTTGAGTGAGTGGAGACCTCAGTGATCTGACATTGGCTTCTCACAGCAGAAGCACTTTAGATTTGTGCCTAGGTAGTATTTTAAATTCCTCTACCTAGATTAACTGTGAGTGACTGTGTTTACCAGTGCTCTCTGCAGCTGGCTTCATTAGGGGCAAGCAGAGAATGATTGATTCTCCCACGGCTCCTTTAAACTCTTTCCTTCTTTCCTGCCTGTGCATGAAATCTTGAGCAAGTCTCCCAATGTTTTTGGCCCCTTCAAGCACAAAACCAGTCTTGTTTCAATAATTGAAAATTCCCATACAACAGGATTCCAAAATCTTGTCCAGCTGAAAGTGACCCCATCTTAGGCCTGTGCTGGCTGGAAACCTGCGACAGCATGGCAGCTCCTTCCCTGCTCCTCACCTGCCTCCCCACCTCCCTCTCACTGCAATGGGCTGGAAAGGGGCAGAAAGGCGCAGTGTGTGGAGGAAATGCCTTTCCTGACTGGTTCTTTTGTAATGAGGATGTGGATAGATGTGCAATTGCTGGCTGTTCCTCCCACAAAGCACATTGGCCAATGCTTGGAATCCCCCTGCTGCGACATGTGGATCACGTCTGTCCTCTGTGTGGCTCTGTCTGACTCTTCCCATGGCCTGTGAGCTTCTGCTGGAGGCTTCCTCTGTCCCAGACAGTCCTCCTTGGTGGGATCCCCCTTATGATGACCCCAGGCCAGGTCCTCTCTGCAGGGTCCCTGACTGCTCTCCAGAACGCATCACCCTCCATGCAAGTGCACGTGCACTGTTCTCAACCCAGCTGGGAACCCACTATTTCCAACCTAGCCTGTTTTCTTCATTCTGCTCCTACCGAAGAGCTGCTGTAGCCCTTAGGCTTAGTAGGTGGGAAACAAAAGTTTCTCTTCATCCCAAACTCTAGGCAACAGGATATCCAGCTCTCATGAAGTCCAAATCACTTGTCTTGAGGGAAGGGGAAGTACTTCCTCTCTGTGGGGTATGGGCAACCCACACATACTCCCCACCGCCAATCTCTTCCACCAGAACCTGCTCTGAGGCCTTGCTGGGTGACACTGGCAGGACTGGCTCCATAGTCTCCATGCACTCTGCTTTAGGGCACAGCACCCATCGTTCTGCCTTGAGAGATGAGCCCACCACGTTGTCCTCAGCCCTGGGGGCTCCTGCCAAAAGTGAAAGATACAGAGTCCCAGTTTACATCCTGTTACACCCTGAGAGTTTCCCCCGGAGTTTAGTCCTCAAATAAATCCACTAGTAGTGGAGCCTCCTTATTTAAGATACTTAGGTTCAGACTTGTCTGTGAAAGTGTAATTGGAGGTGAGGCAGAAATGGGTTTGTATGAGGGCTCCTGACAGAACGAGAAGGAAGGAGTGGGGGTGGGGGAGGAGAAAAGGAAAAGGAGAGCATCATATCTGCCTGAGAACGGTCCCCACCCTCACACCATGGGTTCCCATCTGAGCTCACTGGGGGACGCACATGCTGAAGAAAATGGCATCCCTATACACACAACGGGGCCGGAGTAGTGGGCACAGGCAAGAAAGGCCTCCCTGGAAGAATGCAAGGGATCCACACAGATGCACCCAATGTCTCTGGAAATGACTGGGCAAGACTTTGAGTGAAACTGGAGACCTGGCATTAATGAATGGGATAAAGCTAGAAAAACCAGAGTTATCCTTGATAATGTCACAACATGGAGTCCACAGGCTGGACAAACCTGGGACCATGGAAGCTATACTTTTAAGATCTTAATACAACGTTCAGTTAAAAAACCCTTCTGCTACCTATTTCCTTTAGAATACAAGATGCTAAGACCTGGAAAGCACCCCTTGCAACATCCATGTTTGACACTTTGGACAAAAGGGTTGGCTGTGCAATTCTTAGGACCCTCATCTCTGTCTGGACATTAGTGCCTCGCTATGGCCTGTGCCAAAACATGCGGTAGCGATAGCACACCCGTAGTAGATTAACATAAGTCATAGCCGTTCAGAAATTTCACCTCCTGCAAAAATGCGTTTAAGCTTTTCTTCAGGGAAGGCTGAGCTGTTGGCCCCAGAAGACTCTCAGCTGACCTAAACAACCCTTCTTTTTTATTTTCAAACAGTCTTAAATAGGTTTCTGCATGTGATGACAACAGACAAAAAGATAAATACAGTACATTGAAATTATTCATCTGGTTAAATATTATTGCAATATCTTGAGACTTTGCTAACTTCTCCTGGAGTTCAGATTCTCAGAGTCCTTTGTGTGAACCTCCACTTAAAATGCACAGCAATTGTGCACCTATTTGATAAACTTCCTCCTGTCACTTTCCGACACACACTGGCCATCAGTGCAAGCCAGTGGCTGAGACCGGCTCTTCTTATGCTGTGCTGTCAGCCACAGCCACTCTGACCATAACCCTGGGCCTCCTTTCTGCAGAATAGATTTGCACAAAGACCTCTCTCATAGCTGTTTCTCTCTGTCCCTAGAGGTCCCTGGGCTACGTCCTTGGGTTGGAACCCAAGCCAAAGCTAAGTGCAATGACACAATTGAGCTATTGTGTGAGCTGTAAGTAGAGGGAGGATGGCAGGGGCCCAGGGCTGACTCACCAGGCACACCTGCCTGGTCTGGCCTTCAGGGATCCCAGAGGGTAGAGACTGGGCCTCCTCATTCCAGGCCTTCCACCCCCAAGGGGTTGGGGACATCTCTTCTGCCTCCTCCTACTGTCCCCTGCTGCATTTCTCCTGGCCTTGTCTTCTCTCTACCTATGCAAAGGCCCAGAGGCCAGGCCCTAGACACAGTAGCCCCAAGCCACACCAGTTCTTCAGCAGCTGTGAGTGGAGCAGGAGCCCACACCCTACCTGGAGTCTGAGGTTGGGGATAAACTGGCTGCTGGCCAGACACTGTGTAACAGGGATGAGCTCCTTTCAGCCATTCATGAAACCTTCAGCCACAGCATTTCTAGCCAGATTAAGAGGCTGGGCAGCTGGGCAGCAGCCTGGGGGTATTAAGTGGAGCCCAAGAATGCTGCTCACAGAACTAGGTCCCCTGAAGTGATCCCTGGAGGAACCAGAAGTTTGAAAGGGTTGAGACCAGGAGCAAATGCAATAACACAGATGATGTCCAAGAGGGGAAATTATGCAGAGGAGGGATGGGTGCTGGCTGGGGACCTGAGATGGAGTAAGGTACCAGGCCCTACCACCAGGAGGCAGGCTTTTGGGGGAAAGTTCCAGAAGCAACTTGCAAGAAGATGGGAACCAGGCCAGAAAGTACATTCTTGGGGATCTCAGAGCAGATTTGAACTTAGTTTGCAGGCATGGCTGGTGCAGCTCTCTGCAGACTCAAACTATACAACATGAGTCACACATAGCTACTGAGCATTTGAAATGTGACATGTTCAAATAAAGATATGCTTAAGTGTAAAACCTATACCAAATTGTTAATAAAATTAAAAATGTAAAATATCTCATTAACAAGTTTTTATATTGATTACATGTTGAAATGATATTATATTGGATATATTGGATGAAAACATTTTTATTAAAATTAATTTCAACCTCTTCCATTTCACTTTTTCCAGTGGGTCTATCAGAAAATTTAGAGTGACATAATTGAGTCAGATTATAATTCTATGGGATAGTGCTGGTCTGGGCTGTTCACTTGCCTGAATTCCCAGGTTCCCCCAGCAGGGTACCTCCATATCTTTGTAACGCTGTGCAATACTCTTCTTAGAATATAGTGTATCTGCAAAAAGAACTAGGTGCTATCAGACAAGAACAGCTAGAAAACAAAAAAGATCTGTTGGATATTAAAAACAAGATGAGTCTATTAATAGATTTATTAGAATAATTGGGCATAATTTTAAGGTCATCTTCTATAATGGAGAGAAAAGATAACAAAATGATAGGAGATGCACTAAAAATCAAACCATTAGGAATTCCCATCCCCCAAAACAGGGAAGAAAATGGTGGAAAGAAAATTATCAAAAGTCCTGGGAGATAGAGGAAGGGCACACAAGGGAAGGGCCAAAAGTGAAATCCTCGTCTGTTATCATGGAAAGTCAATTAAAACCTGAGAAAGGTCAGTCTAATTGTATCCTTAGGGCATTTGGTCTGGAAGTGACTACAAGTGCTGAAAGTGGTGGTCTCTAAAGAAAGGGAAAGTGTTGGCATTACGAATTGGCGAGAAAGAGGCAGACTACTTAGCCTAGAGTGGGTGATCCCTAACCCTGTTTTTTCTTTGTTTTTGGTTCTTGTTTTGTTTTGTTTTTTGAGACAGGGTCTTGCTCTGTCACCCAAGCTGGGGTGCAGTGGTGTGATCATGGCTCACTGCAGCCTCTACCTCCTGGACTCAAGTGATCCTCCCACCTCAGCCTCCCAAGTAGCTGGGACTACAGGCAGTTTGCCACCACTCATGGCTAATTTTTGTAGTTTTTGTAGAGACAGGGTCTCACTCTATTGCCCAGGCTGGTCTCAAACTCCTGGGTGCAAGCAATCCACCTGCTTTGGCCTCCCAAAGTGCTGGTATGTGCCTGAGCCACAGCATCTGGCTTTCTTTCTTTTAAAGACAGTTTTGGATTGTGAAATATACCTACAAAGTAGTAAAAAATTAAATGCACAGTTTGACATATAACTCAAACACCCACATAATGGCCACCCAGGTCAACAAATAGAGCATTATTAAGTTTCCAGAGCCCCTTGCCCATAAATTTCTTCCCCACCCAAGAACCATCCTTCCCTCCAGATGTAACCACTATTCTGACTTTAAAATAATCATACTCTAAACAGACAACCTACAAAATGGGAGAAAATATTCACAAACTATGCATCCAAGAAAGGTCTAATATCCAGAATCTATAAGGAACTTAAACAATTTGACAAGCAAAAAACAAATTTAAAAAGTGGGCAACAGACATGAACAGACACTTCTCAAAAGAAAATGTACAAGCAGCCAACAAACATGAAAAAAGTCTCAACATCACTAATCATCAGAGAAATGCAAATCAAAACCACCATTACTGGTGTATAACCCAAAGGAAAACAAATTGTTCTACCAGAAAGACATATACATGCGTATGTTCATTGCAGCACTATTCACAATAACGAGGACATGGAATCAATCTAGGTGCCCATCAATGGTGGATTGCATAAAGAAAATGTGTTACATATACATCATGTATGACATGGTCTGTGTCCCCAACCAAATCTTATCTTGAATTGTAATCTGAATTGTGTGTTGAAGGAGGGACCTCATGGGAGGTGATTAGATCTTGGCAGTGGGGGTTCCTGCATGCTTTTCTCATGATAGTGAGTGAGTTCTCACAAGATATGATAGTTTTTTAAGGACTTTTCCCCCTTTTGCTCTGCACTTCTCCTTCCTGCCGCTCTGTGAGGAAGGACATATTTTCTTCCCCTTCCACCACGATTGTAAGTTTCCTGAGGCCTCCCCAGCCATGTGGAATAGTGAGTCAATTAAACATCTTTCCTTTGTAAATTACCCAGTCTTGGCCTGTTCTTTATAGCAGCATGAGAATGGATTAGTACAATGGAATACTATGCAACCATAAAAAAGAGTGAAGGCATGTCATTTGCAGCAACAAAGATGTAGCTAGAGGCCATTATTCTAAGCAAATTAATTTAGGAACAGCAAACCAAATACTGTATGTTCTCAGTTATAAAGTGGGAGCTAAACTTTGGGTACACATGGACATAAAGATGGGAACAATAGATACTGAGAACTACTAGAGGCAAGAGAGAAAAAAGGACGCAAGGGCTGAAAAACTACCAATGGGGTACTGCGCTCACTACATGGGTGTCAGCATCATTTGTACTCAAAACCGCAGTGTCACACAATAACCCCATGTAAAAAACCTGCACATGTATTCCCTGAATCGAAAATAAAAGTCGAAATTATTTTTAAAAATAAAATACTGCTCTTGACTCTAATAGATTTATCACCTGTGTATGCAGTGTAGTTCAGCTGAGTCTATTTTTAAATAATATATAAATGGAACCATACTGTGTTATTTTGCATATGTTTCTTTCCCTCCACATTCTATTAATAAAAACCCTCTGGGTTTGTGCCTGTCTGTGTGTATGTGTGTGTGTGTATGTGTCTCTCTGTGTGTGTCTACATCATTTTTGTAACTGAATAGTAAATCTATTGTGTTAACATATAAAAATGCATTTATTCTCTCTACTTTTGATGACTCTCTCCTGATTACTGGAAATGAATAGTGTATCTAAAGCTTAGTGTGCTTCCCCAAAAAGTTGCCTGGCAAAAAAAAAAAAAAAAAAAAGAAAGAAAGGAAAGAAAAAAAAAAGAAAGAAAACTGAAGACAGAACAAAACTTTGAAAAGTAGGGAACATTTTGCCAATTTTATTTCAGGGAATTCACTTTAGTTCAGACAGTAAAAGTGACCTCGTAAGTGAATTTTTTTCCCATACCCCAAGCTTGTATAGACTGGTGGTTCTGGCTTAGCAGGCATCAGAAGCCCCTCAAAAGAGTATTAAATAAAGAATGCTGGAGGCCACCCCCACAGTTTCTGACTCAGGAGGTCTGGGTGGAGACCTAAAAATTTCATTTCTAATAGAAATCAAACTTTGCAAACTACTGCTGTAGACAATTCCTGTGCAGAAACTGAGAGGCATCCTAAAGAGGAAACATCAAATAAGAAACAACAGCATGCTCATTTTTGTGTCAGAAAAGTATTTTAAAGACTCCTAACCTGAAAGCTCATTGGCATCAGAATAGTGTTCTTGTCTGTATGAAAATGAACTTTCAGGCTGGGCGTGGTGACTCATGCCTGTAATCCCAGCACTTTGGAAGGCCGAAGCAGGTGGATCACCTGAGGTCAGAAGTTCGAGACCAGACTGGCCAATATGGTGAAACCCTGTCTCTACTAAAAACACAAAAATTAGCCAGGCATGGTGGCTGGGGCCTGTAATCCCAGCTACTTGGGAGGCTGAAGCAGGAGAATTGCTTGAACCTGGGAGGCAGAGGTTGCAGTGAGCTGAGATCGCACCATTGTACTCCAGCCTGGGTGAAAAGAGTGAAACTCCATCTAAAAAAAAAAAAAAAAAAAAAAAAAAAAGAACTTTCAGTAGAGCTAAATCAGATTTGACTGAGGCAACTAGATGGCCTATTGCACTCAGTTTCTCAATCTATGACCATATTGTCTCAAAAGATAATACATGGTAATAAAAAAATTAGTTCATTCACTCTTGAGATTTCAGTGTTATTTCCCTAACTCAGTGTATTATAGGAAAAGTCATTAATGAGGATCCTTATTTTAAAATTTGATTTGAGAGATTTTAGCAAGATGTATTTGCAATCTCCTTACTAAGCTCATTAATTCTAATAGCTTTTCTGCAGACTCCATCAGATTTTCTCCATAGAGAATCATGAGGTCTGGGAATAAAGAGGAGATGGTGCTACCAGAACCTGGGAGCTGGGCTCACCCGGCAGAAACTAAAGTCCATGCGGACTCCAGGAGATGGAAACAAAAGGAACAGCTGCCGCTGCTGCTGGAGATGCTGCCCAAGGCTCTCCTCAGCCTCCCACTAGACCCTCCCAGTGGCCAGGAGCCGCTGCCTGGGGCGTGGGAAACAGCCTGCAGAGCCTGCCACAGGACGGGAGCCCACAAAGGGCAAAGTGGAGAAGGGAAGCAAAGAGGCCAAGAACCAGCATGGATATTAAGACATCAGGGCTGTAAGGGAGCAATTGCAAAGACTGGGAAGGGCCACTGGTGGAGTGGAAGGGAGGCCAGCTGAAGGCAGATGAAGGAAACCTTTCAGGGATGCAGGGCGAGCCACAGTGAGGCTGAGCAGTGACCACTGAATTCAGCAACACGCAGGTTGGTGGTGAGCGGAGGGGAAACCTGATTGGAATCTGCTAAGGAGACTGCGGGAGGAGAGAAACTGGAGCCAGAAGTACAGGAGCTTCTACTGAGGTTGTGCTGCAAAGTGCAAGAGCTGTAAGAATCAGCAAGGTTGGGAGAAGTTTGCCTGTGTTTAAATTAGGAGAAATCATCCATGTGGAGGCCAGTGAGAATGGTCCAAGAGTCCTCCTCAAATCACTCAATACCTATGCATTGTGGTTAACCCTCAAACAACATGCAGGTTAAGAGCACTCACCCCTTGCACAGTTGAAAATCCCAGTAAAACTTTTCACTCCCCCAAAACATAACTACTAACAGCCTAGTGTTTACTGGAAGCCTTACTGTTGGGAGAGACACAAGGTCAGACATAATCAGGTCCATGCCCATTTGTGTCTTTCCCCAAGGTCAGGCCTTTATTGATGCTATTTCAGTCATAAAAGCCACAGGCTGCATGGAGTTCCCAAGGAGGCAATTCTCCGTACCACTTCGTTCCCTCAGGAGTCAGGGCTACAGGCTCACAGGCTCAAGCCACTCCACAGGTCAGTTGATATCGCAAACCATACCTAGTAGGATACTTAATCAATATATACACGTTATAGATTAAACATTCCACATCAAACAGAGCAACATTTAACATCAAGAGAAAAGGGGATAGGAAAGCGGTTAATTAATCAGTCCAAGGACAGTGACATGGACAAGGAGAGGGTCCTGGGCAGATCTAGGTGCACAGCAGCGTCTTGTAAGGGAGAGCCCTCGATTTGGACAGAGCCCTCAGTGACAGATGCCAGATGCTGATCACGAGTGATAGCAGGATGGTATTTCATAAAACAGCGGTGTCCAGCTGGTGGACTCCTGCTGTTTTGTAGCCCTTGAGTCCTCTGGCGAGGACTGATTGATAATAAAGAGTGTGTCTGGCTATGCTCTGGCCATAGAGACAGTCAGGTGCTGTCTCTATTGATTAGGGGAACATCTGGTCCTGTTGTCATGATGCCTTTTGAAATGTAAGATGGAGTCTTTTTCTAAGATGGACTTACTTATGTCACAGGTGCTCTGTACACTTTACCAATAACATAAACAGTGCATTACCCATATTTTGTATGTTATATGTATTATGTACTATATTCTTACAATAAAGTAAGCTGGAGAATAGAAAATGTTATTAAGAAAATTATAAGAAAGTGAAAATATAGTTACTATTCCTTAAATAGAAGTGCATCATCACGAAGGTCTTCATCCTCATCATCTTCATGTTGAGTACACTGAGGGAAAGAGGAAGGAGGGATAGGTCTTGCTGTCTCAGGGGTGGCAGAGGTAAAAGAAAATCCATATATAAGTGGACCCATGCTATTCAAACTCGTGTAGTTCAAGGGTCAATGGTATTGTGGACTCCCTGTTTCATGTGAGAGGAGGCCAACTCAAACTAAAGCAAAATAAGAGAAATGGGAACATAACAAGGACATGGAGATACCTCATGGAGCCCTGAAACTAGAATGCGGCAAGGATGCAGGAGAAGCTGAAACCAGAGATGGAAATGGCCTTGGGACACCCTCTCCAATTCATGGCTTTATTTCCATCTTCTCATCCACTGATTCTTTACTCTCATGATAGATGGTTCTATCTTCACTGGCAGAACTTGTGAGCTCTTTGCAAGGTGGCCCAAGAGGCATCACGCCCCGCTCTCCAGCCACTCTTGGAGGCCCTTACAGGACCAGGCATCCTGAGAGCTGGACGCCTGAGAGATCTACGCCTGAGAGCTCCTGAGATTCTTTTTAAAAAATTGTACATATTTTATTTTATTTTTTTTAGAAACAGCATCTCACTCTGTTGCCCAGACTGGAGTGCAGTGGTGTGATCACAGCTCACTGTAGCCTTGAACTCCTGGACTCAAGCAATCCACCTGCCTCATCCTCTCAAGTACCTGGGACCACAGGCACATGCCACCATGCCCAACAAATTTTTTATTTGTAGAGATGGGTTCTTGCTGTGTTGCCCAGGCTGGTCTCAAACTCCAGGCCTAAAGTGGTCCCCCTACCTCAGCCTCCCAAAGTGCTGAGATTACAGGTGTGAGCCACCACACCCACACTGAGATTATTTTTACCACTTCCGCCACTAGGAGAAGAGCTGTTCTCAACCATCTTGATTTCCAGCCCACAGATTCGAGAGAAAATCTGATGGGCTGAGCTTAGGGAGTTACTTATTCGTAGCACAAACAACTGCGGCCATAAGAAGTGGTGTTTCAGTTTACAGAGCAGTAACTGTGTCAAAGGGTGGTAAAGAGAAAAGGCATTTCGCAGAAAATTAGGAACTGTGCAGAGTAAATATTCAATACAAAATAGTAATAGGATTGGAATTTGTCAGCAGGTAGCTGGTTCCCAGTGGGTTTCCAGCCAATAGAAATGGGCTCCCAGAGCCCTGGGTGATTGAGCAAACTACAGAAATTTAAAAATCAATATATGCAAGGGCCAAGTTGCTGCTTGGGAAACTGACAAATCTGAGGGCCAGATCATTCAGTGTCACTTCCAACACACTTCTGGTTTTTCCCAGACTGCAGAGGCTGAGCAGGTGAAAAATCTCATTCCTTAGAGTCATCAGAAACTAAAGTTCTAGACATCATCTAGGGCCCTCTTCCTGGTGCAAATGGGAGAGATTTAATTTGCAAGCAGTCAGGTGGCCAGAAAGGCAGGGCTGAGATGTCTGCTCACTTGTGTGGGGAGAGCAGAGGTGGGTGGTTCTGAAGCCAGCGGATGTGGGGGCTGTTTGCTGATTCTGCAGGCAGCTTCCTGGTTGGAAATGTGGCCAGGTTCTGCTAGATAGCTTTGAGAGTAGCTCTAGGGGCTCCCCCTAAGGTCTATTTATTCAGCTTTTCCAAGGATTTCATAAGCCATTTAGTAGCCTGTGATACATCCCTTTCTGCTTAAACTAGGTCAAGTATATTCTGTGAAAATGAACTGGATGAATTCAGGTGCAATGTAGGGAACATCTCTTAGAAAACTAAGGCAGGAGCCTTGGTGTCTGAACTGTGGCAGAGCCAGTGAGGCCTAACCATAGGGGTGATGGAACACTGACAGCAGTGTGTCTCCTTGCCTCAAGTCTGGCTGGATCCTAGGATCTAGGGCAAGGGCTGGCCTGAATACAGCAGCCCAATGGCCCCAACAATTGGACAATGAGGGAAGC
The DNA here is from genome assembly GCF_000001405.40 of Homo sapiens. NCBI lineage: Eukaryota > Metazoa > Chordata > Mammalia > Primates > Hominidae > Homo > Homo sapiens. Next base: position 105,927,921 of record NC_000002.12, read on the forward strand.
GATGAGTAGGAAGTCATCAGGGCCTCCTATATGCTATGTGTGAACAGCAGATCTATATTATCAGGCCTGGCAGGAATCCAACCCCTCCACTTTGCAAAGAGGAAAGTAGATGATACATGACATATTTAGAATTATGGGGGCTCCCACATCTTAAACATTGCAAATAGCTCCTGGTATGTGTAGGGTGCTTCATAAATTGTGCATAAAATGGTGAGGCAAAGGAACCCAGGAAGGGTTTATTGACTTGAATATATTTTATTCATAACTGTAGACTCCCCATCACTCACTCTCCTTCAAGCACATATCCATTGAGCCATCATTGAACATGAGGATTACAGCGAGGCATCCCAGAAGCAGCAGTTACTATGATTGTAACCTGGGGAGAGCAGCAGCCGAGGAATCTTACAAAAGGGTTGTGGCCATTTTCCCATGAGTGAAACAAACATAAAAGCAGTCTCCCAAGGACCACATTTATCACTGATCGATGGAGTGCTTTGCCAATTTAGGCAGTAGGAGGTTGTTTAATTATAACAGAGCAGTGTTGCGGATTACATCAAACATTTGTTTTACATCTGAGAACCCTGGAAATGAAAATTAATAGATTGATGCAGGATCACCCTTGCTTGCCGGGGACCAATGATTCTGAGTAGGTCGGTGATTAGTCATTTTCCTTTGAGTTCATTTCTATGATGAAAAGTAAAAAAAAAAAAAAAAAAGGGATTTCAAGAAGGAAACTTTTGTATGGAAATCTGGCAAGTTTTCATAAGAACTCAATTGTTCTTTTGTTTTCTGACCTGTGATATGAGGTCGTGAGCCTGAACTGGGTCTCAGCTGCCATTCATAAGACACCAGCCCTGCTCAGGCAGGCAGACGTGAAGTCCTGCGGTGGCTGTGCCCTTGGGACTGGACGCCAAGAAGTTCCACAGTGTCCAATGGAGAGTGGGAAGGCAGGTCCTCTGAAGGGCAAGGGTATTGTCAGCGTCAGGAGAAGGAGGGAATTCCAAAGGAAAAGGGTGGATTCTGTAGGCAGCTGGCAGACATCGTCCACAACTAGTCGGGGCGGACTTTAGTTGTCATGAAGATTCAAACAAATGAAAAGGCATAATTAATTCAACCAAATGAGGCCAGAGCTTTTTATTTTTAAATTCTAAGCCCACTGATTTCCTTTACATGTGCAGACCCAGTAGAAGCAGACATTGCCACACAGTGAGGCTGCTCTGTGTAATAAATGATGGTTAAGTGAGGATGGAACCAAAAGGCTGAGCATAGAGGAAGAATATGCCCGAGATGTCAAGACCTACCTCCTATAGGTGAAATCTCTTTGTGTTTTTGTTTTTGTTTCGAAACAGGGTCTCCCTCTTTTGCCCAGGCTGGAGTGCAGTGGTGCCATCATGGCTCACTGCAGCCTCAATCTCCTGGACTCAAGTGATCTTCCTACCTCGGCTTCCCAAGTAGCTGGGACTATAGGCACATGTCACCATGCCCAGCTAGTTTTTAAAATTTTATGTAGAGAGAGGGTCTTGCTATATTGCCCAGTCTGGTCTCCAACTCCTGGGCTCAAGCGATCCTCCTGCCTTGGCCTCCCAAAATGCTGGGGTTACTGGTGTGAGCCACTGCTCCCGACCTGTTTTGTTTTCAAAAGGTGGGCCAGGTGTGGGAAGCTGGTGATAGAAGCTGGTTGCAGAAGCAGTAAGCCTCAGTGTGACCTGAATCGAGGATGTGGGAGGCATCTCAAAGGTGCAGAGATGAGCAGGATGTGGGGCTATAATGAAACATAACAGCAGCCAATGTTAGCAAGATGGAGTGGAGCAAATGAGTTTTCTGGCCCTCTTCCAGCCATGCCTCAGCCCCAGCTTCCTGGCAGCTTCCTGCAGCCTGGCCAAAGGCAGCCTTTCTTCCAGAACCCCCACCTTCTTGGAGGTTTGAAGCTTGGATATAAAACAATATAAATGATTATTGAATAAGGTCCTTCATCCAACACTTCACAAATCTTAGAGCTGTCTGTTGGAAATTGATTATATTTGTTCCCCAGAGTTAAATGAATTAGGCATTGATATAAGGCTCTCTCTCTTACTCTCAGTACATACATTATATATATATATATATATGTGTGTGTGTGTGTGTGTGTGTGTGTGTGTGTGTGTGTGTGTGTGTGTATTTTGAGATCTTCTATGATCATATAAATCAGAGGGCAATTAAGTTCTTCTGCAGTCTGGAGGGCAGAATATCAAAACTAGGCAGAGAAAAATAGTCTCACCTGGTTGAGTATCAGCAAATTCCTCTTTTATGGTTAAATCAAGGGCCATTTTGCCAAATGCCAGTGACCAAAATGCCAGAAACTAGAAGCTACTGAGACTTCTCTGGAGCTTCAGTAGTGTCTGCCTTGTAACTTGGACCATTTCTTCTAGAGAGGGAGAGGACCTGGGAGGTGGTGTGGGGACAAGGGAGGGAGAGGACCTTGAGGGACAAGGTCAGGGCAGAGGAGGGAGAGGACCTTTAGTAGAAGTGCAAAAATAAGAGTCGCTTTCAATGTATCTTCGCTGCAGGTGCTCAAAAAAGGCAGAAGGAGCTTGTCCTCAACAACTTTAGAAGTCATACAAAGTGTTTTGCTCTCAGGGAGTCACAATATTTATTAATATACACATGCTCTGAGCATTCCTGCAACAAAGAAATCTGACTTGGGTCAGCCCAGCGTGTTACAAGCTGGCCAACACCATTTTGCAGTTTACACCATAGAGTACACTGAGGAATGCCCTCCTGGAAAACAAAACTTGCTGTGGGGCCTCTGTCTGGGGAGGAGGGGGTCCATGATGCAGAACCTCTCCAGGCAGTTTCAGGAGTCCGTTTGTGAGGGGCCACTATGGGAGGCATATTTTGACTACGGTAGTTGCATGGTCTCTGACTCTGAAGACCCAAGAGGGCCTGAGGGTAGAGAGTAGAGAGACCAGAAAAGAAGATACTGGACTCTCTTTAGGGTCCTCCCAAGCGTATTGGATTAAGAAAAAGTGTGGGTCAGGTGTGGTGGCTGATGCCTATACTCTCAGCACTTTGGGAGGCTGAGGAGGGTGGCGCACTTGAGGTCAGGAGTTTGAGACCAGCCTGGCCAACATAGCGAAACTCCGTCTCTACTAAAAATACAAAAATTAGCCAGGTGTGGTGGCATGCACCTGTAATCCCAGCTACTCGGGAGGCTAAGGCATGAGAATCTCTTGAACCTGGGAGGTGGAGGTTGCAGTGAGCCAAGATCGCGCCACTGCACTCCAGTCTGGGCAACAGAGGGAAACTCTGTCTCAAAAACAAAAAGAAAAGAAAAACTGTGAAAGGGGATCTTAGGTCTCTTTCCAGAGCAGTGCTGATTCAATAGAAAATAATGCAAGCCAAGATGTAATTCTAAATTTCCTACTAATAAAAGTAAAAAGAGGCCAGGCACGGTGGCTCATGCCTGTAATTCCAGCACTTTGGGAGGTCGAGGTGGGCAGATCATGAGGTCAGGAGTTCAAGACCAGCCTGGCAAACATGGTGAAAACCCATCTCTACTAAAAATACAAAAATTAGCCAGGTGTGGTGGTGTGCACCTGTAGTCCCAGCTACACAGGAGCCTGAAGCATGAGAATCACTTGAACCCGGGAGGTGGAGATTGCAGTGAGCTGAGATGGCCCACTGCATTCCAGCCTGGGTGACAGAGCAAGACTCGGTCTTGGGGGGAAGAAAAAGTAAAAAGAAATATTTGAAATTAATTTAATAATATATTTCATTTAATTTGATACACTACAAATTTTTATTTCAACATATATTCAATATAAAAATTATTATTGAGGGTTTTTTTTTTAGTAAGTCTTTGAAATTCAATATGTATTTGATACAAGGAATATATCTCAGGGCTCTGAATCCACAAAGTGACCTTGAGGCAGAACTGTAGGTGTGTAGGGAGGCTTCCAAGATCCCGTGCTAGGACCTCACCTCAGGTAATTACAGGGATCCTCATCTCTGGGGAGGGAGACTTGCTGGGTAAAGAAGGAGCCACAGGCCAAGAGACCCACCTATCTGCTAAATTGCAGGGAGGGGAGAAAAAAGAACCTGGTTACTTCCTCAGGTGATAAAGCTGGCCCCACGCCCCACTTCATTGTTTAGACTTCTTCCCAAAGGAAAAAACCCCCTCTGTCCCATGAGTATGTGGCAAAAAAAGTGGACCTTGGTTTTTCTCCTTCTGAAAGAGGAAAAAGGAAAAGGCCACATGGCCAACCTGGCCAGCATCTGGTTCTGCCCACCTCCTTCCCATTGCCCATTGGGCTTGAGTTGGGCTCCGGGTGGTGGCAGATGTCCCCCCCAGTGGTGGCTGCTGTCCTCATGGACCTAGGCAACCTACTGATGTCACCAAAGGAAGTATGTGTTTTTTCTTTTGAGACGGAGTCTCGCTCTGTCGCCCAGGCTGGAGTGCAGTGGTGCCATCTCAGCTCACTGCAAGCTCCACCTCCCAGGTTTATGCCATTCTCCTGCCTCAGCCTCCTGAGTAGCTGGGATTACAGGTGCCCACCACCACGCCCGGCTAATTTTTTTCTATTTTTAGTAGAGACAGGGTTTCACCGTGTTAGCCAGGATGGTCTCAATCTCCTGACCTTGTGATCCGACCGCCTCAGCCTCCCAAAGTGCTGGGATTAGAGGCGTGAGCCACCACGCCTGGCCAGGAAGTGTGTGCTTTAAAAAGCTTCTGTTCTCTGAAGTTCCATGGGAATGACACTGAAAAGCAAAGCCAAGTTCACCAACCCTTAAAAAAAATAACAAAGCTGCAAGAACAAGATTATGTGTTTTGGAGGCCTGATCCTGCTCACACGCAGGGCAGTCAGTACAAGACAGCTCCAGAAGACCCATTTCACTGGGGCCAGGGTCACGTGGGTGCAAAAGCTGCAGAAGAACAAGGAAGGATTGGCCACACACAATGACCTGCTCAAAGGGAAATAAGGAAGACTTGAGGCATTAGCCTTGGCAGGACTCAGCGTGAGTGGATCCAGTGCACTGAATTCTGTGCTTCCAGTGGTGCCCTATTCTCTCTTTGGAGACAGAGGTCAGCACAATGAGCAGAAAGGACAGACAGATTTACTTGGTGGCAACAAAACAACCATTCTTCTTCCCTGGACTTGGAGACATTCTGAGAAGATTAGGAAATATTCCTGAGAAGGAATGCCAATGGGAGTGATTGGACTTCATTTGTTCCTTACTCTAGAAGACTGCACTAATTGAAAGACCGCCTTGTGCCAAGTGATGTGCTTGGTACTCAGGATACAATAGCTGGAGCACCCAGACTCCAGAACCTCCCTTGTAAAGCTTACTCTCTGCAATGGAGGTGGCCGGCAATCATGTCTGCCCCTCCAGTCTGGGAATTCTAAAGGGAGAAGCTCTTGATCCTCCAGCAACACAGCTTTGGGCAAGACAGTTAACACTCTAAGAAGCTGGTAGAACAACTCAAGGCTTTCTTATTCCAACAGGTCAAAGAGGCAGAAGCACAAAGAGATGACAGTTTCAAGTTGTGGAAAAGTGCTGGTAACTCCAGGTTGGGTGCAGACCCTGAGACCAGTAAGGGGCCAGAAAAGAGAAAAGGGGCAGCGTCTTTGCCTCTGGGTGGCCACAGCTTTCGTGTCTTCAATAAGCGATATGACCAGTTGGATGTGCTCCTAGATCCCTTTCGGTTTTACAACTCTAGATGAACTCACGAATGATAGATCCATAATCAGGAGTTAAGGGGAAAGTAGGGACCCCTGGATAAATTTCAGAAATTTTCAGCTCATCCAACAAAGTCATTAATGTCCCCGCACAGAAATCATCATCAGGCTACTGGGTCTCACCTCCTGGGGCCCCCACTTCTGGAGCTGGTCTTTTCCATTAAGAAAACCAAAGGTGTCAGGGTCAGAAGGTGGTATTGCAAGATCTAAGAACTCCACTAGGTGCTGTTTGTGAAGCAGCATCATTGTCTGGGGTAAATACCAGGGGTTTGTTGTCTCACGCCAAGAAGATTAAGGATACGAACACATGTGGGTGGGTTAAGGAGCAGAACATTTAATAGGCAGAAGAAAGGAGAGAGAGAGAGCAGCTCTCTCTTGTGAGAAAGAGGTATCTGAAAGGGAAAAGCCAGCCCACAGTGGACTGCAGGCTTGAGGAGGCGGTGTCTGATTTACATAAGGCCCCCAGATTGGTTTGACCAGGTGTGACGTTTACCTGGGGAGGGAAGGCTGGTTGCCCCACCCTAATCTTATTATGTAAGTGGAACTGCCACTTGGACAGTGCCATCTTGTCTGCTCCTTACTATACACATGGCTGGAAAAGAGAAGAGAAGGTAGAGCCACCATTTTGATCATGCCTAGGCACAGGTAGCCTTTTTCTATTGGCCCAACTGCCAGCATTCACCCATGCAAGCTTCTAGCTTGCTTGTCTATGTCTGCAGCTCGATTTTACAGGCTGCTATTTGTTAGAAAATAAAATGATTTGGGGGCTGCTTTTCACTAAAAGGAAAACCTTACTGAGGACTTCTGTACCCTCACTATCTGCTTAAGTACTTTCTTATTAACTCCTATATCACTTGGGCACTCTGGAAGTTTCACAGCTGAACTAAATGAATCTAGGGCTGTCGCCTTGCCTGTTGCCTGCCACACAGAGCACGGAAACATTGGCACTAAGGAAAGGCTCCCAAGGGCATGTCTGCTAGGGATCCTTAGCAGAGAAATTGCAGCTGAGCTCTGGACCTCCTGACGCCCAGGCCTGTGACTTGCCAAGCTGGGTAAAATTGCTGCTTGCAGTGAGATCAAAGGAGAATCTGCAACCTTATGACTGAAAAGTCAACCTCAGGGTTAACCCGTTGAAGGCGTGCTTTCAGCAAGGGGACGATTTTCTCGGCCAACTTTAGATAAATGAAATCAGCCTAGAGGGAAACAAATCTTTCTGCCAAACTCCATTTGAAATAACAAAGAAGTCTTTTAAGACTATGAGAAAAGACAGAATACCTTTAAAACATTTTAAATATAATACAGCTGGATAAGAAATGTTAAAAGCTAGAAAGGCTGCTCAAAAACAATAGGACAATTAGAAAGTTGTTTAAGTAATTAGCATGCCAACCATGATGTTTTAAAATGCCCCTGGATCTCTTAGTTATCTGAATAAACTTAGAACCTAGCCTGAGTCCGATTTTCTTCCTGAGATCAATACACAGCATCTTTCTAACCTAAAAGCAAATCACTTTACAAGTGCTCAGGAAATGACTGCTAAATGGGTTAAGTGTAACTCTTAGTTACACATCTGTTCCTCTGAGCTTAGAGTTCCTTGTACTTGAAAAAACAAAAAATTCTCCCTCCCTGACCAACCTATCATATAGCTAAGCTCTTAATATAATTTGCATTCGTCAAGCCTGTCAAAATAACTTCTAAAGCTTCCCCTGTCTGCCCTGAGGACTCCATCTGTAGTGCGACTGCCAGTTTCTGGTCTCCTGAAGTGGGTTTCATACCTTTTCCCACCTCACTACATGCCCAGTGAGATCCCAGAGAGTCAAGGTAGAGAAACCCAACCCTGTTATCCTTGCCACCTCAAATCTTTAGTTGACTGGGGAAAGGAGTGTGTGTCTACTTGCAAAGTAAATCCCTGTGACCCCAGGCAGACGACAGGATTTTATTTTTCTTGCTGATTAGAAAGCTGGATATTCAGAGTTGAGGGGCTCTATTACAGGATACCTTTCTTGGGAAGTTCAGCTACCAAAGAATGGAAAGGGAGGTTTCATTCTGAATATTCACTTCCAGATGTAATCATGCACATGCTCCTTGTAAGTGTTCTGTTCGGACGCTCCACTCAGCACACACACTCACACATATGTCACAAACACACTCCTACCCACCACACATACACACACAAACTCCTACCCACTACACACACACATCCACACACACACACCCCTACCCAACACACATCCACATAAACACAGCCCTACCCAACACATAAACATCCACACACTCACACCCCTACCCAACACACAAACATCCATAAACACACACCCCTACCCAACACACATCCACATAAGCACAGCCCTACCCAACACAAACATCCACACACATATACCGCTACCCAACACACATCCACATAAACACAGCCCTACCCAACACACAAACACCCATACACACACATCCCTACCCAACACATAGCCACATAAACACAGCCCTACCCAACACACAAACATCCACACACTCACACCCCTACCTAACACACATACATCCATACATACTCCTACCCAACACACAAACACCCATACACACATGTCCCTACCCAACACACACCCACATAAACACAGCCCTACCCACCACACACACATCCATACACACACACCCCTACCCAACACACGGCCACATAAACACAGCCCTACCCAACACACAAACATCCACACACACACCGCCACCCAAAACACATACATCCGTACACACACACCCCTACCCAACACACATCCACATAAGCACAGCCTTACCTACCACACACACATCCACACACTCACACACCTACCCAACACACACTCACATCTACACAGAGCCCTACCTAACACACACACATCCACATATACACCTACCCAACATGCATACATCTACACAGAGCCCTACTCAACACACACATCCATACACTCACACCCCTACCCAGCATGCACACATTCATACGCTCACACACCTGCCCAACACACACACATATCCACATAAATCCAGCTCTACCCAACAAACATCCATACACACACCCCTACCCAACACACACACACACTCACACACAAACACTCCTACTCACCACACACACATACACCCACACCCCTACCCAACACACACACACCCACACCCCTACCCAACACAAACACACATCCATACACACACCCCTACCCAACACAAACACACATCCATACACACACCCCTACCCAACACACACACACCGCTACCCAGCACACATACACTCACACCCCTACCAACACACATACATCCATACACTCAGACACCTACTGCACACACCCCTACCCAACACACATACACATATACACACACCTCTACTCAACACATACACACTAACTCATAAACACATTTTTACACACTTGCACAGACACGCACACCTCTACTCACATAGCCTTTCTCACGCATACACACACACACACTCACACACACACCTACCTTTCTGCTCACAGCCCCACCTTGTTGTCCCATTAACCTAGCCATTTTTCTTATTGAGTCACACTTATGAATGGGATCTGCCCAGACTTCTTCAAGGCCGGGTGACCCAACTAACTGGTAGCTTAGCTGAGAAGTCACTCCCAGACCCTGGGAGCAAGTGTGCCTTTCGCCAATATTGGGATGATCTTCCCGTGACCCCACAGAAGCTCTACGTCATCTTACAGTCTCTTCCTTATTCCCTGGCCAGTCACCACATTCTGCTCCTGCTTCCTTTGCAAGCTCTTCAGAACTCATCTGGCATTTCCCTGGCTAACACCCCAACCTGAGTCCAGCTTCCTATTTAAATGGAATCTTAGTGGGTCTCCCTGCCTCTAGCTTCTGTTCGCTGAAATCTACCCTGTGCTGTGCTACCAGATGGGGTTTCTTAAGTTATCACTTTTTTTGTTACCCCTCACCCAGCTATTGATGGCTCCCACTTACCTGCAGCTGATGAGTAATTTTGTGGGTCCGTCTAGCACTCGAGGGCTCCACAAAGGAGCCCTCTGTCTCTGCAGAGGCACTGTGCCGGGTGAAATGAGGCCAAGGTTTCCAGATCAAGCTGAGCTGGGGTTTTTCCCAGTTTTGCCACTCACTGATGGGTAACTTGAGGTCAGTTACCTGACCCTCTGAGCCTCAGGTGTCTCATTTATAAAATAAAAACAACTGCTATTTATTGAGTGCCTCCTGTCTGCCAGACACTGGGCCAAGCCCCTGTGAAGAACTGACCCAGCCGAGTTGCCCATTCAGAGTGTGTTTCAATGCTAGCCATTGTTTCAATGGACACAGGCAGGGGGCTTAGAGGTCATCCCAAGGTTACAGCAACAGCAGTTATCAGGCTGACTTCAGAAATGGTTTTCATTCGTAAGCAGGCCCAAAGGAGTTGAAATAGTTTGGATATTTGTCCCTGCGCAAATCTCATACTGAATTGTAATCCCCAGTGCTGGAGTGGGGGCCTGGTGGGAGGTGTTTTGATCATGGGGGTGGATCCCTCATGGCTTGGTGCTGTCTTAGTTACAGTGAATTCTCATGATATCTGCTCATTTTAAAGTGTGTAGCACCTCCCGTACACTCTCTTTCTCTTGCTCCTGCTTTCATCATGTGACATACCTGCACCCTCTTTGCCTTCCACCATGGCTGTATGTTTCCTGAGGCCTCCCCAGAAGCAGAGAAGATGCCAGCATCATGCTTCCTGTACAGCCTGCAGAACCATAAGCCAATTAAACCTCTTTTCTTTATAAATGACCCAGTCTCAGGGACTTATAGCAATGCAAGAACCACCTAATACAGGAGTCCTGTGAGCTCTTTGTATAAGTTCAGGGAAATCCAGGCTCCCTGTTCCATGAAGAGTTTCCTGAAGGCAGATGTGACAGGGTCCCTGAGTGACTGCATGGATTAAGGCTCCCCGTCAACCCATGTCAGATGTACTGCAAGTACAGAAGCAAACTTAGGTTGTGTTAAGCCTTTCGGATTTAGGGTCTTAATTTTTACCAGATAGATGATCACCTAATATGGTTTGGATATTTGTCCCCTCCAAATCTCATGTTGAAATGTGATCCCCAGTGTCGGAGGAAGGGCCTATTGGGAGGTGTTTGAGTCATGGGGCCCGAACCCTCATGAATGGCTTGGTGTCATCCTTGAGGTAATGAGTGAGTTCCTGCTCTATGAGTCCACTTGAGATCTGGTTGTTTAAAAGTGTGCGGCATTTCCACTTCTCTCTCTTGCTCCTGCTCTTGCCATGTGACACGCTGGCACCCCCTTTGCCTTCTGCCATGATTAAAGACTTCCTGAGGTCCTCACCAGAAACAGATACCAGTGCCATGCTTGTACAGCCTGCAGAACTGTAAGCCAATTAAACTTCTTTTCATTATAAATTACCTAGCCTCAGGTGTCCTATTAGCAAGGCAAATGGACAAATACATCATCTAATCCAACCTAACTAACACATTCCATACTGATAAGACAGATGAGAAAAGCAATAAGAGATAAGTTCACAATTTTCATTTAGGACCACTTGCTATGGCAAGGACAACAATAAAATCTGGATTTTATGACAAGGTGCTATGTCCAGAACTGCCTTTCTGCTGAGAATGCCTGCATGGGGGTGTAGAGCAGGGAGTTGGTCACCAGGTAAAATTACTCTGAAGATGAACTTAAGGGGGACACTGAGGTATCCCCATGCATTGACAATGGCAGTGCCTACAAAAGTCACCAGCCTCTAGGTCCTCCATGCAATATAGGGTGACTGACAATTAGAAAGGAATAGTGTCAATCATGAAGGCCCCTGATGTTGAGTTCTCCTCTCTTGTTTTGTCCTATAGCTGCCTGCCTGTCCAACCCACCCACAGGTGGCCACAAACTTGGGATCATGGCCCAGGATGAGGCCTGTTTAGAAGAAGGTATTATTCTTCATGAGATCGTGGATCCAGACAATAATCAACAACAGATGCTAGAATACTTAAGCAAGGGATGAATGGGAAACTTGTTAGGTGGAGCAGGCTAACCGCATCTGAGCCCACTGGGCCAAACTAATGTCACCAAGCAAGGGGTGACCAGACATCATGTGTCTCTTCATGAGATGCAGTGTGAAATGCCCAGCACCACCCATGAGAATACTTGCCAGAAGAAATCAGCCAGAATCTAACCAAGCGTAGAGCTCTAACTACCAAGTTCCTGGAAATACAGGAGAAAGAGGAACATAGTAAAAGGCACCAGGAGGATACAATCAGCAGGACCCTGAATATGAGAAATTTTGAATAACTAAGATGAACATGAGTCTGTTTGAACTATCAGATACCATAGGCTGGGTGGCTGAAACAACCGAAATTTACTTTCTTATAGTTCTGAAGGCTGGGAAGTCCAAGATCAAGGTGCCAACTGATTTGGTTTCTGATGAGGGCCCTCTTCCCAGCTTGCAGACAGCCACATTTTTGCTTTTCCTCACCTGGTGTCTCTTTATTTTATTTTTTTTTTTGAGACAGAGTCTTGCTCTGTCGCCCAGGCTGGAGTGCAGTGGCGCGATCTCCACTCACTGCAAGCTCCACCTCCCAGGTTCACACCATTCCCTTGCCTCAGCCTCCTGAGTAGCTGGGACTAAAGGTGCCCGCTACCATGCCTGGCTAATTTTTTTTTTTTTTGTATTTTTAGTAGAGACAGGATTTCACCATATTAGCCAGGATGGTCTTGATCTCCTGACCTCGTGATCCACCCGCCTCGGCCTCTCAAAGTGCTGGGATTACAGGCACGAGCCACCACGCCCGGCCAGTGTCACCTCTTAAAGTGACACAAATCCTGTCTTATTAGAGCCCCATCCTTATAAGTTTATTTAACCTTAATTATCTCCTCTAGGTCCTATTGCCAAACACAGTCACATTAGGGGTTAGGGCTTCCATGTATGGATTTGGGAGCAGGGGGTACTCAGTTCAGTACATAGCATGAGTCATGCAAGTGCCTCCTCACTAAACAAAGAACACCTGCATCAAGGGGACATGTTGTTGCTGCCACTTCCCACCCTAAACTTGAAAGATGCTGGCAGGATAAGTCTCTTTCTCAGTGGGGACCAATCCCTGTTTAAGTCTCTTTCTCATTGGGGACCAATCCCTGTTTAAGTCTCTCTCTCAGTGGGGGCCAATGGTTGTGACTCCTGGGCATATTCCTATACCTCATTCATTTCAAGATGTTGACTGAACACTTCTTCTGTGCCAGACTCATGTCAGGAGCCTGAGGTGCCCCAGTGAGAAGATGTGGCAAAGAAGATACCTGCCTTCAAGGAGCTTACAGTCTAGCTTGTCAGGGAAGGTAGAAAACCTAGAGTTGATTGAAAGGAAAGAAGACAATTGCAATTAAAGGGAAGAGGACTACTATCTTCAGGAACATTTAAATACAGCCATGTGTTGCTTAGCGACAGGGATACATTCTGAAAAATGTGTCCTTACATGATTTCATCATTGTGCAAACATCATACAGTGCACTCACACAAATGCAGATGTATAACCTCCTGCCACCTGTATAGGGCACTTACCATGAATGGAGCTTGCAGGACTGGAAGTTGCTTTGGGTGAGCCAGTGGGTGAATGTGAAGGCCTAGGAAATCACTGTAGACTACTATAGACTTTATCAACACTGTCCACTTGGCCTATAAAAATTATTAAAAATTTATTTTTAAATACTTTTTTCTTCAATAATAAATTAACTTTAGCTTATTGTAAATTTTTACTTTGTAAACTTTTTAATTTAACATCTTGACTCCTTTGTAATAACACTTACCTTAAAACACAAACACATTGTACAGCTATATAAATATATTCTTTATGTCTTAGTCTATCAGCTTTTTCCTATTTCTAATTTTTTTAATGTTTTAAACTTTTTTGTCAAAAACTAAGACACAAACACACACATTAGCCTAGGCCTACACAGGGTCAGGGTCATCAATATCACTGTCGTCCACCTCCACATCTTGTCCCACTGGAAGGTCTTGAGGGACAGTAACACGCATGGAGCTGTCGTCTCCTATGATAGCAATGCCCTCTTCTAGAATCCTCCTGAAGGACCTGCCTGAGGCTGTTTTACGCGTAACTTGTTTTGGATTAAGTAGAAGGAGTACACTCTCAAATAATGAGAAAAGTATAGTATGGTAAATACATAAACCAGTAACATAGTTGTTTATTATCATTATCAAGTATTATGTACCATACATAATTGTATGTGTTAGACTTTTATACAACTGGCAGGCAGTAGGTGCGTTTACACCATCATCACCACAATTACATGAGTAGTGCCTCGTGCTACCATGTTCCAGCAGCTAGACACCACTAGGTGATAGAAATTTTTCAGATCCATTATAATCTTATGAGACCACCGTTTCATATGGGGTCTGTTGTTGACTGAAACATTGTTATGTGGCCCATGACTGCACAAACACAGAAAGGCTGAGTCTACATTCCTGTACTTCTGTATTTTAAGATTGCTTGAGACAGATTAGTCAACATCTGTCAGTCTTCAATAATGCATTTCATGGAATGGAAAAGTTTATAGTCCACCAGAGTGGATCAGCAAAGTTAACACTAATAAGATTTTTTCTTTCTAGCCATTTCTAGACCAGTGGGTCTCTGTCCTTATTTCTGTTGTCTGTTTTCACAATATCACTACCAACCTCCATCACTTTTTTTTTTTTTTTTTACATAAACTCTGCTTTCCAGGCCCAGCTTCCCAAGTCACCTTCTGATTGATCGAAGTCATTGAGACCTTTATGGAGGAGGACAAACTCCAAGGAGGACCTTCAGGGAAATGTACTCAAGTCTGAGTCACTCAGAAATGGACCAGTGATGCTCGGGGTTCCCTGCTTTCCCTCTCTCTGCTGTCCCTAACACTTCCTGCTGTTACAGGAACCGGACAGTGGGTAGACCTGGGTCGCCCAGGGCCCACTGCTGGCCCGCCTGATATAACCAGTAGTCCCCAACCTTTTTAGCACCTAGGACCAGTTTCATGGAAGACAAATTTTACATAAACGGGGGAGGGGGATGGAGCGTGCAACCTAGATCCTGTGCGTGTGCAGTTCACAATAGGGTTTGAGATCCTATGAGAATCTAATGTCACTGCTGAGCTGAAAGGAGGCAGAGCTCAGGTCCCCTACCAGTCCATGGCCTGGGGCTTGAGGACCCCTGCTATAGGCCACTTAGAGCATCTGCCCAGAAAGCAGCCTTAGAGACTGTGCCAGCATGTTCATTTTTGATGAAACCTGGCCTGCCACGTTGCATGAGCTTAAAGGAACGTTACTGTAATTACCTGGCCCTATACCTGGTTTCCAGGATCAGCAGCCAGAGAGGTCTTGCTGTTTGCTTTTGAGCTACTCACATGTGCTCACTTCCAGCTGCTGGATGAGCAGTGAAATCAAAATAGCTTCTGACAGTGATCATCCTTGCATGGGGGATCCCATGCTCAGGGTGAAGGCAGACATTCTTTTTTCTTACAGCGAAGAGCAAGGTTTACTGTCATTAATAGAAAACCATCTGTGCTACCTAATGAGGTTCTAAGGATTGGATTCTATGTCAAGGCTAAGGCAAAGTGGCAGTTGCTCCCTGCGTAGGTGACGTTAGGAGCCTCAACCTGTCAGCTGCTGCGAGAGGCCTGGCGTGGCAATAACGCAAAGGCAAACTCTTAAGGAGCACTGTAAGTACTACTGTAAATCTTATCTCTATATTTCACTACTAGTGTTTTAGTTCAGGCTATGATAACAAAAATATCATAGGCTGGGTATATTTGTGGCTTAAACAACAAACATTTACTCTCACAGTTCTGGAGGCGGGAAGTCCAAGATGGAGATGCGGGCTGGTTCAGTGTCTGGTGAGAATTCGCTTCCTGGTTCATAGATGGCGCCTCCAGGCTGTGTCCTCACATGGCAGAAGGGGCGAGAGAACTCTCTGTTCTCTTCTTATGAGAGCACGGATCCCATTCGTGAGGGACCCACTCTCCTGACCTAACCACCTCCCAAAAACCCCACCGCTCCATACCATCATGTTGGGTTTTAGGATTTCAACATAGAAATTGTGGGGGAACACAAACATTCAGTCCATGACAACCGGATTCTGTCAAAGGATCCCCTCAGAATCTTCCCTGGGCTTCATGGTGGTGATGCTCAGCTGAGTGGATCTCAGCAAGCCACTGTATCTTCTGGAGAGACAGCTGTCCTTTGCTATTTTTCAATAGCTGGAGGTGGAAGGTGCCATTATTGGTCCAATTCTTCAGCCCCCTCTGTATTATATCGTTTCCCCGTGACTTTACCGTTTTTCCCACAAAAGGTCGAACATACTTCGCACTTATTCCCCTTCCTTTAACTTCCGCTATGGGACTAGCGTTGGCCAATAAATGAAAGCGGAAATGAAGGCGCACCTTTACAGGCTTTGCTGCTTCCACTCGTGCTCTCACTCTATGTGCCTGTGCCTGGCCACGCCGAGAGCTTCCCCCAGACAGCGCTGGCTCCTTTACCAGGATCTCAGAGTAACCAGGAGCCCCGACCCCCTAGAGAAGCCACGTGCCGCTGAGGCTCAGAAGCAGATGGCCCAGCCAAACCCAGCCCAGATCAGCCACGCCCCAGCCAACCTGGAGGCTCCCGGGCTGAGGAACCGCTGACTGCTGCGTGTCCAACCCCGAGGCTCCTAGCTAAGAAACCACCCACTCCTGTAAGCTGCGCGATTCGTGGTTTCGTGTTACACAGTAGAATCGTGACCCTAGTCACCTGATGCACAGGCATCTTCTTTAACAATTTTTTGGGGAGTTGTCAACCTGAGTTGCAGTTAAGAGATGAGCGTTTATAATTTTTTTTGAAGCAAGGTATCAAAGATTTTTTTTTAAGGTTCCTTATAGCGCTAAAGGCACAAAGGAGACTTCGCTCTGTTTTCCAGGCGTGTTGTTGTCTATTTATTAACAATCTCACGGCTCCCATCCCGCGATGGTTGTTACAGAAAATATGTTCTACAGCTAGATACACATTAAAGTTTGGTTAAAGATAAATTTGTTTAAAAATGAATAGATCAATACAATCAATTGATTTTTAAAAGTTCCCCCCCCCCGACCTTTTTTTTTTTTTTTTTCATTTATCCACCAAAAAAAGAATGTACAGAGAGTCTCTTTGGCCAGGGACTATCTTAGGCTCTGGCACAGCAGGGAACCAAATCACACCCTGTCCTTGGGAGCGACATTCTGCAAGGGCTGAGCCACTCTTCAGCCAATTGTGCCCACTTTGTCTTTATGTCTTTGGTTAGACTAAAGGAAGAGCCACAGCCTGTGTTTGTAAAGTCACCCAAGCAGGGTAAATAGAATAGAAACAGATCATAAAATGGTGACAGCCTAGCTCAAATATCAATTAGGCTCCACCAGCAGAAAATGCAATTTTATATTTTCTAAAAATCAACTTAAACTTAGAAATTATCGTTAAGGCAGAGTGTGGTGGCTCATGCCTGTAATCCAGGCACTTTGGGAGGCAGCGGTGGGCGGATCACTTGAGGTCAGGAGTTCGAGACCAGCCTATCCAACGTGGTAAAACCCCATCTTTACTAAAAGTACAAAAATTAGCCAGGCATGGTGACGCACTCCTGTAATCCCAGCTACTCTGGAGGCTGAGGCAGGAGAATGGCTTGAATCTGGGAGTTGGAGGTTGCAGTGAGCTGAGATTGCACCACTGCACTCCAGCCTGGACAACACAACAAGACTCTGTCTCAAAAAAAAATTATCTTTAAATTTACAGAGATTTTTGTACACCCATGTTGGCCCATAGTCCCAGTTGAGTTACCATAGCAGTATTATTCACAATAGCCAAAAGACAGAAGCAACTCAAGAATACCTTGATTAATGAATGGATAAACAAACAAAATGTGGTGTGTGTGTGTATATATATATATATATACTCACATATGTGTGTATATATGTGTATATGTGTGTGTATATATACCATATTTTGTTTATTCATTCATATGGATAAACAGAACTTCTTCATCTATATGTATACATATAATTATGTATATATATATTATACATATAGCATATATATATATGTGAGACATATTATTTAGCCTTAAAAAATAAAGGACATTTTGGCACATGCTACATACAGCATGTATGAGCCTGAGGTCATTATACTAAGTGAAGTAAACCACTCACAAAAAGGCAAATACTGTATGATTCCACTTATATGAGGTACCAGAAATAGTCAAATTCATAGAGATGGAAAGTAGAATGGAGGTTGCCAGTGGCTGCAGGGAAGGGGAGAATAAGAAGTTAATTGGTTCAAAATAGTTGTGTGTGTGTGGGTGTAGGGGGATGGTGGACAATGAAAACGAAAGCCTGGGTACAAAAGCTCTGTGTGATGTCGACTGGGGCACTTGGCCTCTCTGATCCTGGGTGAAATAATCTTAATTTAAGGGATTGGCCCCAAGGATAATGGGGCCAGAGTTAATGGAGACTGAGTTTCAGTTTGGAAAGACGAAAAATTCTGGAGATGGATTGTGGCCATGGTTGTACAATGTGAATGATCGTAATGCCACTAGACTATATATTTAAAAATGGTGAAGATGGTATAGTCTAAGTTATGTATATTTAACCACAATTTAAAAAAATTTAAAAATGAATTTTAAACATTTAATCCACCACATCGTAAGCCAAAAAGCTCTGTGTGACCTTGAGTGGCGCACTTGGCCTCTCTGATCCTGGGTGGCATAATCTTAATTCAAGGGATCAGCCTCAAGGATAAAGCCTCTGTTTCTCTCTGGCAGATTGAGTTAGGTTATATGTCATCCTTCTTTGGCTGACCCATGTACAAGGTCAATGCCAGTCCAGGCTGCCACAGGCAACAGGTCTCCCTTCTTGCAGTGTGAAATCGCTTTGCAGACTTAGGACAGCAGGACTCGTTTCCTGTTGCTCTGATCCCATAGCTTTGGGCTTCACAGTTAACCTGCTGTTCATTGTTTTCCCTTGACTCTAGCGCGCCTGCTCCTCTATCAGGAAAATATGATTTTTTGGAAAAGGAAGTTCCACGCTAAAGCCATGCTAATTAGTACTTGTTTCACAGAGACAATAGCTCATTTAGGAATCTCTTTCTTGAAACAAAGGCAAAATAAGTATCTGCTAGATTTGGTGCCAAGGGTGTCACGCCTTAAAGCATGCCTGGGGATACTTTCCTGTCAAGAAAAAAAAAAGATATGAATGTTCGTCACTGAACGAGAAGACACAATTGGTTTCCCTATGCCATGGGCAGCAGCCTCTGTGTAGCTCTATTAGGATGATCTGTGCTCTGCAGAAAGCCAATAGGATGGAGTGGAGCAACCACCTCACTTTCCATATGGACAGCTGAAGGATAGGTAACTTGAAAGGTGTGCGCTGGGTCAGATCTGAGGTCTTTTTTGAGAAATGCTGAGATGATGCAAGCTCTCAAAAGGCACTGCAGAAACCAAGCATTTCAAAGGTCAAAGGAAGATTTTCAAGGGAAAACCAAAGCCTTGGATGGCTAGAGGAGTTCTAGATTTGCAAGCGGCAACCTGAAAGCAGGTTAAATATATATACATACATATATACATCTATGTATGTATAGATGTATATACACAAAACATTTCTCTCATAAGAGGGGCTTTACATAATTGATTTTTGTTTTCAGAGGCATTGCTCAGTCTATCTTGCCTTGGTATCTACCAAGCAGTGTCAAAACTTCTAGAGAATTGGGTGTGTGTGAGCATGTGTGCACACGCGAAAGTGTCTGTGTGTGTGTGTGTAAGTGAAGGTACTCAACTAAGTGTCACGTCAGATGTAAGCAGGTTGACAGCAACAGCACAGGTTTCTTTCATTGCAAATAACAACCAATGTCAGTTTGGTGCCTGCCACAGTTGGGGGCCCTGGGAGGCTGACACCGAGAGGGTGGTCAGCATGCCAGATGCTTGTTAGGGGCATACGATTGACACCAGTGGAGCTTCTGGAGGGGCTGGAAGCCAAATTGCAAAGAGGGAGGAGGTGGGCTGCCATGCCAAGGCTTCAGCTGGTCACAGAGAGTTCTGAGCAGCATGGCCCTTCAGACGTGTGCTGTATGGGGAGGAGGTGCCAGCCAGGCTCTTACACCCCTACATCCATCACTCCCTGCAAGGGGGCTGCCATAGGGCAAGGGGACTGTCTTCAGACAAGACAGCCCCCAAAGAGGGCTGATAGCTGAGGGTGATCTTCCGGCCACTGGGAGAATAGACCTTCAATTCCTGAAGGGGAATTTGGGCTACACATCACTATGTCTACCAAGGGAATGAATGACTGGAAAGAAGGAAGGGAGGGACAGAGGAAGGGAGAGAGAGAGGTGAGAGAGAAGGGACCGAGAGGCAGGGGAGTGTAGGGAGGGAGGAAGGAGGAAAGAAGGAAGAAAGGAAGGAATGAAAGAGGAAGGAGGGAAGGAAGGAAGGAAGCAAGGAAGGAAGGAAGGAGGGAGGGAGGGAGGGGAGGAAGAGGAAAGGAGGTGGCTGTACTGTGATGTGTTATGATGGGAGGGATCACTAGGTCATTTTAATCTTTCTGAGTCTCAACTTCTCAATTTGCAAATGAGATCATCCTTACCTGTTTTACAAAGCCATTATGAGGATCAAATTTATGCAAGCCCTTAATGCATTGCACAGAACTATACAAATATGAGCTTGTACGATTACATAATGCTCCAAGAGTCAAGGAGCCCCACTAAAAACAACGCAGACTTGTAGTCTCTAGGCCAATGGTTGTCAAACATAAATGAGCATCACAGTCACCTGGGGAATGATTAAAATGCAGATTTCTGGGCTGTCTCCAGAGGATCTGATGCAATGGATTTGGGTTGGAGTCTGAGAATCTGTATTTCTTTTTTTTCTTTTTGAGACGGAGTCTTGCTCTGTCGCCCAGGCTGGAGTGCAGTGGCGAGATCTCAGCTCACTGCAACCTCCGCCTCCCGGGTTCAAGTGATTCTCTAGCCTCAGCTTCCCAAGTAGCTGGGACTATAGATGCATGCCACCACACCCAGCGAATTTTTTGTATTTTTAGTGGAGTCAGGGTTTCACCATGTTAGCCAGGATGATCTAGATCTCCTGACCTCTTGATCCACCCGCCTCAGCCTCCTAAAGTGTTGGGATTATAGGCATGAGCCCGGCCGAGAATCTGTATTTCTAACAAGCTCCAGGTGATGCTGGCACTGCTGGTTCCTGAACCACACACTCTGCAAAGCACTGCTCTAGGCTACCTGAGCACCACCACGCAGTTTTTCATGATTACTGTGATGGTTATTCTTAAGTATCCACTTGACTGTGCCATAGGGGGCTGAGATACTTGGTTAACCATTGCCTGGGTGTGGTTAGATGTTGTTCATAGGAGGGGGTTCTGGATGAGATGAAGGTTTGATTCAGTAGACTGAATCAAGCAGATGGCCCTCCCCCGTGCGGGTGGGTGGGCATCACCCAGTCTGTTGGAGGCCTGACTAGAACACAAAGGCTGAGCAAGGGACGATTCAGACTTTTTGGCCTGACTGTCTTCCAGATAGGCCATTGTTCTTCTCCTGCCTTTGGACTCGGACCCGGAATGTAACTATATCATTGGCTTTCCTGGGTCTTCATTGTGTGGATTGTAGATTTGGGGAGTTTTCAGTCTCCAGAATCTTGTGAGCCAATTCTTTATAATCTCCCTCTCTCTCTATATATATATGCATATATATATACACACAAATATTAGCACACATATGTGTGTATGTATATATTTATATTAGTATAACATACTTATACTAGTATTAATATATTTATATATTAGTATATATACTATTAAATATATATAACAGTATAGTATATGTATACTATAAATATTGGTATACATACTAGTATTAGTAATATATTAGCATATTAGTATTTGTATATGTATTAGTTATATATGTCATATATGCCAACATTTAATATATATATAAAATGCTATATATATAACATATATAATATATATAATAAAATGTTTTTATATATATATATATATCTCCATCCTGTTGGTTCTGTTTCTCTGGAGACCCCTGACCACAACCACACATCCAAATATGTCAATCCCTCTAGTTGAACAAAAAGACAGGCTAAACAGAGCTTTCAGAAATATATTAGCTGTTGGCCGAGCACGTTGGCTCATGCCTGTAATCCCAGCGCTTTGGGAGCCTGAGGCTCCGGATCATCTGAGCCTGGGAAGCCGAGGCTGCAGTGGGCTGAGATCGTGCCACTTCACTCTACCTGGGGTGACAGAGCAAGACCCTGTCAAAAAAAAAAGAAAGAAAGAGAGAGAGGAAGGAAGGAAGGAAGGAGGGAGGGAGGGAGGGAGGGAAGGAAGGAAAAGAAAGAAAGAAAGAAAGAAAGAAAGAAAGAAAGAAAGAAAGAAAGAAAGAAAGAAAGAAAGAAAGAAGAAAGAAAGAGAAAGAAAAAGAAAGAAAGAAAGAAAGAAAGAAAGAGGGAAAGAGAAAGAGAGAGAAAGAAAAGAAAAAGAGAGAGAGAGGGAGGGAGGGAGGAAGGAAGGAAGGAAGGAAGGAAGGAAGGAAGGAAGGAAGGAAAGAAGGAAGGAAGGAAATATATTAGCTGCTGCTTACATTTTAGAAAGTATAGAAAGCAGGCCGGGCATGGTGGCTCACGCCTGTAATCCCAGCACCTTGGGAGGCTGAGGCCAGCGGATCACCTGAGGTCAGAAGTTTGAGACCAGCCTGGCCAACATGGTGAAACCCCGTCTTTACTAAAAATACAAAAAATTAGCCAGGCATCATGGTGGATGCCTATAATCCCAGCTACTCGGGAGACTGAGGCAGGAGAATAGCTTGAACCCAGGAGGCAGATGTTGCAGTGAGCCAAGATCATGCCACTGCACTCCAGCCTGGCCAACAGGAGCGAAACTCTGTCTCAAAAAAAAAAAAATTATAGAAAGCAGTCAGCACCTGTCATTAGAAACCACAGGGATTGTTTTAAGAGGGAGATGAAAGCCAGGATGATTTGGGGCTGAAGGAGAATTTAGAGCCATCGGGCTGAACCATACTATTGTGATCCTGACCATTCCGATATTCTCAGTCTTATCAACGAAGACATGATCTCAGGCGAGATAAGCAATTTGTTTCCAGGCCCACAGAACAATGTTGCAGAGAAACGCAGCCTTTGCCTCTGTCCATCCCTCTTCTCATCTCTGATCTTGCTTTCAGCGCAACCTTCCTCTGTGACCTCCTCTCCTGGTCTCTCCCTCTCTTTTTTTTCCTTGCTTTTTCTCTGCAACCAGCCTCATTTGGGTCTTTAAGCATCAAAACACCTCTTAGACCCTGTGGTGCCTTAGCAGCATTGTTCTTAGACAAAAGCCTGAGTCACTGGCCCTGTGTCAGCTACAGTAAAAGGCTGCCCCACCCCCAGCAGCGCCTGTTAATCCTATAATCCAACACCGATTTCTACAAGACTATACACAATTTTCATTGGTCCAAATTTCAAGTAGGTCAGGCAGCTGATGTTCAGCTGATTAGAGGCTCCTAGGGACCCTACAGATTCAGAGGCAGCAGGGTGTCTTGTAACTTCAGAGGCGACATCTTTCTGAATCAACACAGGCTGCTGAAGAATTCTAATCTTGGTGGCGCTTGAAGCAATTGAGAGTAATGAGCCTCTGTCAATTTGAGAGCAAGACATCCTTTGAATCTCACCCCCCTCTGCTGAGCCATTTTTGGATACAGTAGAGCTTTTAGTCTTTCTCTAAAAAGGAAGTTTAACAAAATGTGTTTTCAAGAGAGAAAGTACAATCATTTTTTCCATGGGAAAGTAGAGTTTGTTTAGTAAAAGCGTTTTGACCAGATCAAAATATGAATTCACTAGTAGAATCTGACAGTCCATGTCACAAATCACTGGTTGTGATAAAGGAGGCATCATCCCAGGAGTTCATGTGTGTGTCGTGCAGTGAGCTTTCCCCAGGAAATGAGATTAGAATTCTGGTTCTCATTGCTATCTGGAATTTCTAGATATACATAGGTAGACCCAGTGAAGGATTCCATTGCTCTAGAAGAGGGGAAGCCATAGATGGTAGCAGACTGCGTGGAGCAGTTCCCTCCCCCTGCCCACGTATCCCCAAGTCTCCATTCCCATTGCCACCAACTTGCACTGGTCTGAGAAATAACATTTGATTGTATTAGGCCACTGCACCTGGGAGGTTGTATATTGTAGCATTTAGCATGCATGGACTACATGGGGTGATAAGACCAAGTTGGGAATGAGGTAGGGGAATTAAGGACTAGGAGACTGCCATGGACTTGCTCAGCATCCACCACCCCTGTAGGGAAGGACCAGGGAGCTCAACAGATCTGCCTGGAATCTCCTTGAAAGAGAAGCAAAATTTAATGAGTAGGGAGAGAGAGACTTCTTAATGTTTGTTTTTGGTTTTCTAAACCAGATGAGCCTTAAAATGATATATATCCTGGTTGGAAGGAAATATCCCTTTAGGAATATCTAAATTCTTTTGTATATCTAATATGCTAAGAATATCCAAATTCCTTTTCCCTGGTTAACTGGGTGCCTTTTGACTTGATCTCCTCCCACAGGGAGGATCCCTGGGTCCCACTGCTCCTGACCAGTCCATCACCCACAGAAACAAATGAAGTGGAATTCTCACTAACCAATCAGGCTCATGCAGGCTTCCACCCTTGGCCAGCAGCTCCCCAGGCTCCTCCCCTGAGAGAGATCTGCATGCCACCAGCTGAGGAAATGGCCTTGGCCACAGGAAATCACCAAGTTCCTCCCTAATTGCCCAGCAGACACCTGCTGGATGCCCCTGTGCTGTTGTCTGGGAACCGTACCTGGCTAAGAGTAGGCAGCTGAAAATATTCACAAAAAGTAAGAAAAGAAAGAAATGGAAAAAGAGAAGAAAAAGCACCAGAAAGAGGGAAGGAAAAGGAAGGGAGGAAGGAAAAGAGAAAGAAACAGAGGGTATGGGGAAGAGTGATAAACTGACCTGACCAATAGGCAAAGAAGCTAAGAAGCTCGGACACCAGGCACCAGGGCAGAATTCTCTTGTCTGAACATCACCACAATGACACTCTGCTGGGATAAGCACCGGGAGGTGCAGATTAAGAATGGCAGCCAGGACGCTGAGACTCTGTCTTCATTTTCCGATGACAACGAGGAGCATCCTGGTGCTGGGGCTGGTGTTTTGCACAAGCGCAAGATGAACATCACTTCCCCCAAGGGACAGAGCCTAGACAACCCCAGGGCTTTCCTTCTTGAGCCTAAGATGGGTCCCTCCTCTTTCCCAAGCATGACAGTCATCAGTTGTGCCTTTACCAGCCCTGGCAGCTCCATGGCCAGCTCCCTTCCTCCTGCCTTCCTCACCCCTTCTCCTGCCCAGAGCTCCTTTCCTCCTCTCTCCCTTCCAGGGAGGCAGTGTGGGAGTTGGGTGAGGGGAGCAGAACTCCAGATTCAACCACTGGGTCTCCTGCTGCCACCAGGGGAGGCCTGATCAGGCAGGTTACTAGGTTACTATGGTCTGAATGTTATGTCTCCCTAAATCCATATGCTGAAACCTAATCCCCAAGGTATTAGGGAGTGGGGCTTTTGGAAGGGGACTTGGTCATGAAAGTTGGCCCTCATGAGGGCAGTCAGTGCTCTTATAAGAGGCCAAAGTGACCAGAGTTCTTCCCTTCCACCAGTGAGGACTAAAGAAGACGCCATCTATGAACCAGGAAGAGCACCCTCAGCAGACACTCCATCTGCTGGCACCTTGATCTTGAACTTCTAGCCTCCACAAACCCATTCCTCTTGTTGATAAGCCACCCAATTTATAGTATTTAGTTATGGCATCCTGAACAGACTAAGATATAGGTCCTGACTAGATATTTATTATTATTGTTATTTGGCAAAACTCCACTCACAATTCACCTCCCTTCGTTGGTTTCTTCACATAATCCCAGACTTTGGTTAGCGCTATATTTTAAATGAGCAGACGAAAGGAATGGAAAGGTAAATATTCCCTGCCTTCTTTTGCTCCTGCCTGCCTGTGGGAGGGGAGTATGACTTTCCCTGGGGCTGGGGGAGAAGATTTCCTCGGAGACTTTCTAGAGTAAGGGATGTGAATCTCAAGGAAGAGAGAAATAAGGAAAAGTAGGGGTGTCTTCGCTTTGTGCTGCCCCAGAAGCAGACCCAGATACAAGAATGGGAGTGCAAGTTTACTATGAAGGTGGAGAAAACTCTGATGGCGGTGGGAATGGGAGAGAGAGGAGGGAAGTCTGTCAGGAAGGAAGTGAAGCCACTTACTGCCCTGGACACTAGGAGCTTAGTCCCTCTTGGAGCTCAGGAAGCTGGAGTGGAACACACACCTCTGAGTCCTCTTGCCCTGGGGTGAAGATGCTGGGGTATTTCCTATACGACTCCACCATTCGGCATGGGTTGGAGGCTGTCCCACTCCATGCCTCTGTGTAGGTTGCAAGGAGAAACCCACTTTCTCAGGTAAAAGAATGCAGGTGCTGCCCTGGGGTGCTTTGAGGTGGTAAGGGATGGGCAGGGTAGGAAATCAACACTGTCTGCTACAGATTTTAAGAAAGGAAAGCTATGATCTTCAGTCCTCCTGATGGCGTGTGAGACACCTAAGCAAGGAACATCGGTTCTTTGGAAGTTGCTTCCTGATTGCCACAGTTTATCCTTTTCAATGAGCTGCTCCCAAAGCCTGGGCCACAGATCCTCACCACCTGGAGGCTGCAATGTCCTTTGCCCAGCTAAGCACCGCCGTCTCCTGAGCCTGGATCCACAGCTGGACTGCAAGCTCCTCAAGCATGGAGCTGCTGTGTGATTGCTTTTGTGTTTCTGAATCCTGCCTGAGATGTCTTATTTACATGCCCAGAGGAGGAGACAGAAGAGGAGAGCATTGAAAAAGATCCCTTTCATCAAGGAAGGGGTTTTCAGAGACCACGCTTGTGAGAAGCTTTGCATAGGGGCTGATCACTCTTCTGCTGAATATCATAAATCTCTTATTGTCCGCTGCTAAAGATGCAAATCGCAGAACTTTTGTTTGGGGCTACTGGCCAGATAGCCTGTAACTGCCTAAGCAAAGCAGTCTCTGAAACACCCATGAGGCCTGGGGATGAAACGGTGCTTCCTAAGTGATCTTGGCCCAAGCGTCACCCGGAGGGCACCCCTAGAGTTTGTTTCTCCCTGTCGTTGAGTGTTTATTGCACTCCAAGGCTAAGGTTCAGCTTAGACTTGGAGGTGGGGACTTTGTTTCTGCCCTGTCCTAATCCTGGAGCCATTTGCTCATCTTTAGGAGAATGATCTGCGGTCCCTGTGCTGTGCTGAGGCCCCCCGGCTTATTCAGAGAGAATGAGCCTTAATAGATGGGAAGGATGAAAAGGAGCAGCTTGCTTCAGGGAGCTGCACTAACCTGGCAGGGTTCTTAGGGACCATTGAGTTTTGTTCCACTTCCTGAACTCCAAATGGCCCCCCAGGGCCCTGGAAGAGTGATTTCAGCTCCAGGGAGCCAATGTGCTCTCCTCATGCAAAAGATCAGACCAGTGTCTTTGTAATCCTAGCTGCCTCGGGAAGGTGCTGGCTGCCTCAGCACCTGCTGCATAAATGCCCATAAATATTGATATTGTTTTAAATTGCCTATTAAAGAGAATGGCCAACTCCATGAAACCATTTTAAATAAATGTAGATTGCCTGACTCCCTGGCTCTTTTTTCATCCTCTGATCCTCTGGAGCTTTTTCTTCTAAAACAAGCTCCCTTCCACCCACAGCACAGGAGGCCCCCGGGAGTGACATGGGCTCCCTGCTCAGCTCCCTCTCTGCAGAGAGGTCCCAGCCTAGTTCTTCCAAATACTTATCTTCTGAAGTAAGTGGCAAGAAGAATGGGGTCCGGAGGAAAGAGAAATGGAGCAGCTGAGGAAGGGCAAAGATGAGCAAGGAAAAGGAAGATCTGGGATTGAAAGAAAAGAAAAAAAAAGATGAAGACATAACAGGAAGAGAGATGACATTAAACTTCCCCAAAGGTCAGGGATGTCATAGCCCAGTGCCTCTCCTCACTGCCTGGGCTGGCCAAAGCATTCCCTTTCTTTCATAAAGATTTCCCTAAGCTTCCAGCTGCCAATCAAGCTTCTGTTCTGCTTCCTAATTCCTCCATCCTTCCCTGTGGCACTGATCACTTTCTAATATTCAGCTGTTGTGGACAGACTTTGAGGGCAAGGAGTTGTCATTTATATATCTGTAAACCTTTCACAGCACAGAGTATAACTTTCAAAAAGTCAAAAATGTGATGTCATCTCAATTGCTGTGGTTTAAATGTGTCCCCTCCAAAATCCAAGTGTTGCCAATGTGATCATATTAAAAGGTGAGGTCTTTAAGAGATGATTAGACCATGGCAGCTTTTTTCCCGTAAGTGGGATTAAGGCTCTTATAAAAGGGGCTCCGGCTGTGTTTGGCTGGCTTGCTCTTCTGCTCTTCTGCCACATCAGCACACGGCATTTGTTCTCTCTTGCCCGTCCACTTCTGCCATGTGAGAACAGAGCAAGAAGGCTCACACCAGATGCCAGTGCTTTAATCTTGGACTTCCTAGACCCCAGAAAGAGTAGAAATAAAATTCTGTTCTTTATAAAGTACCTACCTTTCTGTGGTATTCTGTTACAGCAGCACAAGTAGACTAAAACACCAATCTAGAATACATGTGTCAAAGAGAGATTTCATTACAAAAAAGGGAACACATATAATAGTAATGCCTGTTCAGAAAGCATTTTTAAGAATTGGGTATTTCTAGAAGGTTTTTGGGAACAGAGTGTTAGAATATGATTGCTAGGTTATATAGAACATTGGTTAATGTTCTACCGAGCAATGAAACCACAGCTTCTCTAATGGACAGAAATCTACAGGTAACATCACAGAGACTGGGCTCTAATCAGTAAGCAACAATGTCAAACACAGATTTATTCTCCCAGAGGTTTGAAAATCCTGGCAGGTCATGGCATGACAATGGAAGGACATGCTGTCAGTCACTTCTTATTTCCAAGTTTGGGATGATGTTTCTAAATATAAGTGTTCAATAAATGCTTAGTGAATGACTGCATGAATAAGACAGGAATCTAAAATCATGTCCTATAGGTAAACAGATCTTTTCTATTTCTAATTCCCATGATTTGTTCAGTGTAGCTCTTGGGCCCTTTATTGAACTGTGGAAATTTGAAGGAAGTCCATTGACATGAGAATGGCTTTTCATATTGTACGATTAAACATGACTTATATTTTAATAAAGTCCTGGGTCACATGCGTGGCATGAAAATACAGCATTCAATGCTGTTGCCCGAGTCATGTGAATATGGTGTTATTAAAAGTCAGAGCGTATATAATGTAATTGCATGCAGGACCCTGGCTTTCCTTCCCACTACATCTCCTGTTTTATTAAAAATAAAACTTTCTATGTAACCAAAATATTAAATGGGGATTGTAATATTAGCTCTTATTTAACTCTAAATTGACTCTGGATCATTTTACATGGTTAATGGCTTACAAAAAGCAATGTACTAAAATCCAGGTCTCACATAAATAGTAAGGTCCAATTTAATGGCAACAAGCTAGGAGAGTTTTTAAATGACCATTTAAGAAACATTTTGCTAAGTCCTTGTTTTACTCCTCCACCTCCAGTTCAGTGCTGAGAGCCCAGAGCTTAGCTCAGCTAAGTGCAGAATGAAAATGTTCAAAAGTCACCCTCACGCATCCATTCAGAGACCTATGCATCTGCCTCCTTGTTGACAATGTGTGCCAGTGAGGGTGGCACGGCTACGTGCCCAGCTGCCCTGCACTACATCTGGAATCTAGCCTGGTCTCTGGCATTCCATGTGGTGGGGTCACTGAGCAAGCCTGCTGGGACCTGTGGCCATGGGGTCTCTTTCTCCAGCTCTCTTTTCAAAGGTGTGGAACTTCAGTTCCCCAGGATTACTGTCATGCTGCAAGGCTCAGCCAGCCCTGGAACACAAATTAATTCCTTCTTCTTAATCTTTCAGGGGCACAGACATCTTTGAGAATCTGTAGAAAGTTAAGCCTGGGTTCCTTCCTTCAACTGCAAGCACACATGTATATGCCTCCCCTTTCCAATATAATCTAGAGGGTTGAGGTAATGAAACCCTGTGAGGGACATTTGGAACCTGTAAGGGCCCCACAAGAGTGACAGATGTTCCTTTCAAGTGTTTGCAAACAGACAAGCCTTCCCTGGTCAAAGAAATGTTATCTCTCTTTGAATATAAAGAGGTGAGCTTGGAAATGGGGGTAATGACAAGATCGGTTACTCTGCTGGCATGTGAGGCTATCTCTGGGAGCCACCTCTTCTCCAGGATGGGGCAAGCCCCTGAGAACCTATCTTCCCACGGGAGTATTGCAACAGCTATGTGCCAGGTCCCCACTTCCGTGTGTCTGGTCCACCAGCTTTCCAACTCATCTCTGATCTTGTGTGCAGTGGACTCCACTAGTCACTTACAGCACATGTGCATGCATATGTGCTTCCCTCCTGAAGACTGCTCTTTTTTTTGCCCACTTAGATTCACACAGTGGTTTCATCCAGTCCTTTGTGTAAGAATTGAAACTCAAACCAGTACAAAGCAAGCACAGACCCAGAACTAAGGGATCACCAGCTTAGCAGAAGTCCAGGGCTGTTTGGGATGTGAACAGGGAGATAAGTTTGGAGAGGTAGACTGAGGCACTTAGGCAGAGGGGCTCAAATGCTGAGTCAAGGCCTGGGGCTTGTGCTAATGGAGGTAAGATAAGACATCACTTGTAAAGTAAATCATCACCAATTTTACATCTGTTTTGCATATTCTGATTTTTGTAGATTAGCCTCTGTGCCAGACTTTCTCCCCTTCTCTCAAAATAGTAACACCCATATTGCTGCCCAACCCACAGACATGCCCAGCCTCCCTTGCAGCTACTCATGGCCATGGGTGAATGTTCTAGCTTAGAAGACGCATGAGCAATGCCTGTGATCCCCTTACAGTGAAGCCCTCATGCCATTCTCTCTGAAGAGCTCAGCCAAAGCAGCTCAAGCTCCAGCTCTGTTCTGGACCACGAGGATGGGGACTAGGTTGAGTGTGACAGCGTAGGTCCCTGGCAAATTCATAGAGCCACCAACACAGCTGGCTATCTCATCCCCTGCTTGATTTCTTCTATGTGTAAGAGAAATCAATATCTATCGCGCTGAGGCCACAGTTGCTCAGGGTTCTTGATTATGTATGGAATCCTATAAATACAGCTTCTCTGCCTCTTATCTATTTGTATTCCTTCTCCTTCTTCTTCTTCTGGATACAGGGTCTTGCCCCATTGCCCAGGCTGGAGTGCAGCAGCATAATCATAGCTCACTGCAGCCTTGAACTCTTGGGCTCAAGTGACCCTCCTGCCTCAGCCTCCTGAGTAGTCCTATTTTGTTTAAACTCCTCTTCTAAAACAATTCATTAGGCTTTAGATTTCTCAACTATATCTTTAAACATCTTCAGCTTCCTTTATTCACTTTCAATTTTTCTTCCACTGTACATGGAACATCCTCAATAAAGATAAATTAAAGGAATGAATAAGCACTTGTCCTTTGGAGGTTGTGGCTGTATTTTCCCTTGTTTAGGAACACAGAGTCTACAAACACAGGAGAGCTGGAAGTGAGAGTTGGGAGACACCACCCCAGAGTTCATTTACTTCGCTTTCCACCTAATAAAAAAAAAAGAAATCCCATTTACAAACATTTCCCATCACACTACAGCTCTATCCTTTCTTCCTTGTTTTCACTCCCAGCCCCAATAAATACGTCTTTCACAACACCTGGAAAACTTTGCACCAAACAACTTAAGCCACATCCTCCCTCCTTTCAGATCCACCCAAAGAGGTTATGGCTTCCAGAAAATTTCCCTTTGGCTATAAAACAGAGAAAGGCTAGCATTCCGTACTCATCCCACATCCGCTATTTAGAGTTTTGTGGGAATCAATGTTCCTGCTACCACCACTCCCAGCAAGAGGGCATGTTCAGAATGTGAATGGTGGCTGTGAGGCCTCAGCAGCTCAGAGCTTCTCCCTCTAGGGTCCAGGGTATGTCCCGTGCCCTTGAGCTGCTCCTCTGACTACAGGTGGGAACATAGGGGACTGGCAGTGAGAGCTGCCAGCCTCCTGGAGGGGTTAGGAACCCCACACACGTCCCCAGACAAGACAGGGAGTGCCACCTTTAGCACCCTGCCTCACCCAATTCATTCCTCCACAGCCTCAGTTGGGGTTCCACACCCTCCATCCACTGAAACCCATGTCAAGTTCACCTTCAACCCCATGCTATAACTTGAGAACATTGCTCTGTTCTCCTCAGACTCCTGGCTTCATGCAGGGCCCCCGCCCCTCGCTCTTTTGGAAGCCCTCCCCCTGGGCTCCTGAGACAGCACGCATCCCGTCTTTCTCCTGCATCGGTTGTTATTTCTTAGTTTCCTGTGCTGGCTTCTCCTTGGCATGGCTTTAAAGGTTGGAGACCCTCGTGGCTGGAGTCAGGCCTTGTTCCTCTAAGGGAGCTCACCCAATATCCTAGGCTTTAAAGGTGTCTGTGTGGAGAAGTCCCAAATTTCTGTTTCCACTCCCTCCGCTGAGCTCCCAGCTAGAATTCCTACCTCCTGCCTGAGTCCACCTTTGTCCCCTGCCAGCAACCAAACCTGCTGCTCTTTTCCATTTGAGGCAGCAGCTCTCATCCTCCTGGGTGTCTCCATGGTCTGGGAGCCCTCTTTTCTTTCTCCTTTCCTCATCTCCTGTCTCTCCTACCTCAGAACCACTCTCCAGTCTGTCCATGTCCCTCCGTCTCCTTGACCTCCATCCTCCTTAGACTAAGTCACCGCCCCTCCTCCCAGGATAATCGCAATCACCTCATTCATGCCCCTCCATTTGCTCTTCTGCTGGCTCTTCTCCATACAGTATCCAAATCAAGGGGCCTAAAATGCCAGTCATATTACATCACACCAGCTGAGAGCCAGCATAGCCTTCCTTCCTGCTCAGCGCCAAACTCCCAAACTCCTCACGATGGCCTCCAGAGGCCCTGCCCCAGGGTGCGGATTCTGCCTGATCCTCTAGCCCCACCATCCCCCATCCTCTCCACCGCCCTCCAGCCACACTGACCTCCTTTCTGTACCCCACAGTGCCAAGCTCTCTCCTATTCCCGGAGGTTGCCCCTGCATTTCCTCTGCACCCCAGTCCCCATTCTTCATGGGATTAGTTTGTCCCTAATCCCAGGGCCTCAGATCACCCTGACTTCTCAGAGACACCTCCCCAACCCACTGTGTCAAGTGGATGGAACTCCACCATTCTCTTCATCTCACAACCTTATTTATTTCCTTCACAACCACTCGTCGTATTCAAGTAAAGTATGTTCATGTGTCTGCCTCCCTATTTGCTGCCTTCCGCCCTGCAGTGTGTAAGCTCCAGGAGGCAGGGCCTCGTGTGCCTCCTCCTGGTGCATCTCCTGCGTCCCCAGTGCCTAGTGGGTGCACATCCATGTTTGCTGAATGCATGAAAGACCAGGGGAATATTACTTTTTTCTTTTTTCTTTTTTTTTTTTTTGAGACAGGATCTCACTCTGTCTCCCAGGCTGGAGTGCAGTGGCACAATCATGGCTCACTGCAGCCTCGACCTGCTGGGCTTGAACAATCCTCCCACCTCAGCCTCCGAAGTAGCTGGGACTACAGGTGCATGCCACCATGCCAAGCTAATTATTATTATTATTGTTATTATTTGTAGAGACAAGGTGTCATTATGTTGCCCAGGCTGGTCTCGAACTCCTGAGCTCAAGCGACTCTCCTTCCTTGGCCTCCCAAAGTGCTAGGATTACAGGCGTGAGCCACCACACCCGGCTGGAATATTATTTCTAAGAGGAGTTTATGAATAGCTCACTATGTGCCAACCTTTATACCAATCCCTTTCAATATACACTATCTCCTTGAATCACCCAAAGTAGGGTTACTTATCCCCATTCTAGAGTTGTGGAAACTGAGGCTTGGAGGTCACTGACTTGCTTCTGCTCACCTACCTGGTTTCGGGGCAGAACTGAACTGAGTCCCAGGTTTGTTTGGTTCTGCTACACCTACTGTCAGCAGTGAGAACAGAGCATTTTAATAGAAACGCTGGGACTATTTTAGTCTTCCTCATTGTTGAAAAACAGCAGGTGATCTAAGACAAAGCCCTCACCTGGAAAGACTCTTCAATGACCTCTTCCCCAGAGCTGCTTTCAGGTGGTTGCAACTGGTTACAAAATCCGGGGGCAGTCCTCACTCTCAGAACAAGTCTTTTTCTTAGCGGTGTGTTATCCCTCTCCAACGAGCAAAAGCTAATGGAGGACAGGCAGACCTGGGTCAGTTGCATTTGGAGGAGACTTGAAAGCCAGCACCACCACCTTCCTTTCATTCTGAGCGCTGTTGACCAAAGCCTGCCAGTTGGGGAGGGGAGACCCATGGACCAGAGCTCTCCCTCCTTCTGGGTCAGTCCTGGCCAGTTAGATTTGCATGTGTGAGGCCTGAAATAATAAAAATGGAAGGCAAGTGTTCCCTGATCCTAGAAACTGAACAAATGGGCGGATTCTGTGAGATCCGCAAAGGCAGGTACAACCTACTGGAAACCAAGAGGCTTTTGAAAACTTAGGGTAAGTACAGCTGAAAGGATTTCCAAAACGGAACACGCTGGTGTTCATCCAGATCAAGTGACAAACTGTTACCAGTGCTTCCAGAGTCCTGCCTGGGCCCTTCAGTCACCACAACCCCCGGTCCGTTATGTTCACCACTCCCCTGACCTCTGACCCCAGAGAGTCGGTTTGCCTGTTTCTGCTCTTATGTAAATGTAGCCATGTAGTGTGTATCCTTTTGTGCCAAGCTTCTTTCATCCAGTGTAATGTTTCTGAAAGCATTTGTTCATATTGTGAGTTGTCTATCGCATTTCACTGTGGGCAGACACCACAATTTGTCTGTTAGCTGTCTGGTTTTAACATACTTCTGATTAGTGTCACTTTCTAGGCTGGATGGGAACCAAATATGGTTTAATGCAGCCACCTCTTTAAAGATGGGGCCACTCCATAAATTTCATTTCATGCAACTAATGTCTAGGAAACATTCTTTCTCCTTCTTTATCACTCTCTTTTATGTGGATATATTTGTAGAACTATTTAGGCTCTGATCAGCCTTCACCGTGCATGGTTCTGGAAAAGGTACTGGACCAAGCCTTAGAAAGAGGAGTTTCTGCAACTGAATGTTATCATTGATGAATCCATTCCAATGGCATGGAATTAGTAACACCTGCCCTGCCTCCTCCCAGGGCTACTCTGAGGATCAAATGAGATAGAGCAGATATTATACAAGACCATATGATACAGCTTCATAAAAAAAAGACACACATGTATTCTATTTGGGAAAAAAAGGCTATAGTATACCATTATGAGTAGTAATGTTATAAAAGAATTTTTCTTATCTTTGCATTTTTAAAAATCCATATATTCAACATGGAAAATGTTTTACTTTAAAAATAAGAAATATGCTATCAAAGTCAAATAATATCTCTAGAAAAGCATTGAGATCTATAAATTACAAAATAAATGAAAGCCATTATATATTGCTTGATTGGCTCATAAGGAAGACTGGCTGGTTTTTTAAAAATAGAACTTTACTTTTTTGTAATCTATTTGGCAAAGCCAGAACAAAAACAGCTCCTGCTGAAAGATTAAAAGAAAAATAAAGTGCTTCACAGTTCAGGCTGCCAAGAGATAAATGGGGTCTACAATTCCTCACATTACCTTTCTTAACAAGGAGGCGGTTGTTGAACATGAGGATTGGTTACCTGTCTGAGAAGTGCCTGTGGGCTGTGCTTTTTCATCCTCTAGGTGGTTCTTAGGCATTATGATGATATGGGAACAAAATAAGGTCTCCCACGAAAGCAGAGTCGACAAGAGTCACGCCTTGAATTGAAGGTGAGTACACCTAACAATGGGTGGAAAACTCTTCTCATCTCAGTGGATAATTCAGAACAAAAGAATAGTCTCACTCTCTAGGGCTTGACGATCCCAGTTTCCATTGACCTTTACTTGGAAAATCCAAGTGAAGTATGTAAAAAGAGGTGATATTATTGAACTTTTTTGTGTGTTTTTTTTTTGGCGGGGGAGTATGCTTTGGCATTTGAGACTGGTTTTTCAACCTAAGAAACCTCTTATTATTATTCCCAAAGGTCCACTTTTAAAATAATCATTGTTTAAACATAGTGTCTCTTATATAACAGCCGCCTCTATGTCATCTGGGAGCTCCTCAGAAACACAGAATCTTAGACCCTGCCTCAAACCTCAAACCTACTGTATCAGAATCTGTATTTTAAGATCACCAGTGGATGCATGTTAAAATTTCAAAATCCCTTCTCAATAACAAAATTTAGGAAAATATAGGAAAGGTAGAGAGAAGGACAGTTTTGGTGTATGTATTAGTTCATTCTCACACTGCTATAAAGAACTACCTGAGGCTGGGTAATTTATAAAGAAAAGAAGTTTAATTGACTCACAGTTCCACATGGCTGGGGAGGCCTCAGGAAACTTACAATCATGGCGAAAGGCAAAGGGCAAGCAAGTACATCTTACCATGGCGAAGCAGGAGAGAGAGAGCAAGTGAAGGCAGAAGTGCCACACTTTTAAACCATCAGATCCAGATCTCATAAAAACTCACTTACTATCACGAGAATAGAATGGGGGAAATCTGCGCCCATGATCCAATCACCTCCCACCAGGAACCTCCCCTGACATGTGGGGATTACAATTCAACATGAGATTTGAGTGGGGGCACAAATCCAAACCATATCAGTGTTTGCCTCCTGTTTTTCCTCCATGCGTTGATTTCTTTTTACATAGTTATCGTCACCCTGCTGTACAGTTTTGCAGCTTGGTTTTCACTTAACCTCATCATAAGCATCTTTATGTGTTATCACATCCTTTTTCATAAACATTTCAAATAGTTGCCCAATCGTCCATTAAGCAGAGGTTCTCTGGTTAATTATATTTAATTTCTTCTAGTGAGATGCTTGGGTGATTTAATTTTTTTATATTGTAAGTAACTTAGCAATAAAAAACTTTGTGTCTAGGAAATTACATATTTAGGATTTCTTTTTTCTTGGAGAAATTCCCAGAAAAAAAGTTGAAAAGTAAAGCCTTCTTCTTTATTATAAAATGAGTATATTCTTATTATAAAAAGTTATTAAAATCTGAGAACATGAATTTTTAAATGTGATAAATTTGCATAAACCTACACACAAATAGGTGTGTGTAAAAACTCATGAAATCTGAATAAGGTCTATAGTCAAGCTAACAGCATTGCACTGATGTCAACTTTCTGGGTTTGATGCTGTACAATATTATGCTTCTGAATGTATTCATTCATACTGTTGTGAGTAGTTGGAGAACCTTTGTTCTCATTAGACTATCATATTCCATTGTGTGTCTATACCACACAAGATGTAACCATTGGAAGAATCTGGGAGAAGGATACATGGGGTTTTCTGTATTATTTTTCCAAATTACAGTGAGTCTGTGATTATTTTAAAATAAAAGGTTAAAAAATATGAGAGAGAGAAGGAAAAAAAAGCCCATCACTCAAGCACAAACCCTGTTAAAGTTTTGATATATTTCTCTTCAACCTTCTGTTATGCATGGTCAAAAATTGTAATGCAGGCCAGGCGCAGTAGCTCACGCCTGTAATCCCAGTACTTTGGGAGGCTGAGGTGGATGGATCACAAGATCAGGAGATCGAGACCATCCTGGCTAACACGGTGAAACCCTGTTTCTACTAAAAATACAAAAAATTTGCCAGGCGTGGTGGCAGGCCCCTGTAGTCCCCGCTACTTGGGAGGCTGAGGCAGGAGAATGGCGTGAACCCAGGAGGCGGAGCTTGCAGTGAGCTGAGATCACGCCACTGCACTCCAGCCTGGGCAACAGAGCTAGACTCCATCTCAAAAAACAAACAAACAAACAAACAAAAAACAAAACAAAAAAAACAGTAATGCAAAATAAAAACCATTTTAAGGCCCTTGATCTGTGCTGTACTTTATTAGGCATAGCTTTGAGAAGATACTAAAATAACTAGAAGACAGTGATGAGTTCTGAGAGGACTGTGGCTGCTGTGCAGACAGGCTTGAGGTGGCTGAGGAACCCCTAAGGAAAACATGCAGCGCCCATCGACTTTCCAGCTCTGCTCCCTGCAAGCCATTTGTTCACTTGCTCCATGCACCCGTTCCATTTCTTCACTGAATTGCTCTGAGGAACCTGTGAAAATGCAGGGTTTTTTGACAACGGTATAATTGCTTTCAGGGGGTGTACACGGAAGCCAAAACAAACAAACAAACAAACAAAGGTCCTTTAGCTAAATGCCTAGCTCTAGCTCATAGCTGTATTTGCAGAAAGGATACCAAGAAAATGACTGAGGTGGTTGCATTTCATTAATGCCCCAACTCCTAATGGGAAGCACTTGAGTCAACAGCACTGGAGAACACGCAAATTCCCTTTCAATTCCACATCTTGTGCATGCTCACCTGCCAGCCTCATCTCCATGACAACCAAAGAGCCTTCTTCAGAAATCAGCTCAAATGGCACTACCTATGAGACCCTGGCTTCAGCAAGCCACAGGGCCATGACATGCCCCCTGCCCTGTGCCCCCTGCCCTATGCTCCCATATATCTGACCTGCTGCTGATGTTCTGTAATTTTTCTACGTGCTGGGCTTTCTCCCCATAGACCCTGAAGCCTTGATGTGTTTCTTCCTTGTTAGACACCTCCTGCAGTCTCCCACGCATTTAGAAATAGGTTCTCAACAGGTGTTTGTTGATGCAGGGAAGGAAGAAAGGAAAGAAGGAGGGAAAGAAGGAAGCAGGGAGAGAGGGAAAGTGGAGAGGAGGGAAGGGATTCCATGGGTGTGAAGGCAGTTAAAGCAGCTGTGCCCCATCTTTCAGAACATCTGCAGCTCTCTTGTGGCCATCACTAACATTCATCTCCTCCTCCCTCTGAGCCTGGCATCAACATATCAACATGGTGTAATAAGCAGCCTTCTGGTGTTGCCTTGGAGGCTTCCACTTCGGTTCTTATTCACCCTATTCTCAGACAAGCTATAGCTAATGCCAACCAGAGAGCAACTGGCCCCTTGTGGTTTCACCACTGGGCCTGCTCTTGGGCAGAGAGAAGGACCAAGCAAGTTACACCCTCAAGAGAGCATACTGGTTTTGCCCATTTGGGCGATGAGGTTCATTCCTGAGGGATTGCTTAGCGTGAGATGTGGAGATAGGGCTTGGGCCCAGTTCTAGCTTTGGCCATTTCCATGACCTTGAACCAGGTGCTACAGTAACAAGACTGCTTCTGCAACTAGAAATTACATGGGTCTACAAGGTCCTTCTGTTTTTCCAGCTCTGAGATGGAGGATTCATTGGCAGCAGGTACAGGTCAGAATCCCAAAGGTGGGAGTCAAGGATGTTTGATTTCACCAGAATTCCAGGGCCTGGGGCAGGCAGGGCCAAGGTCAGGCCGACCTTGGCTGGACATGGTCCATTAGAACTAAAGGAACCAGACCTCTCCAGGCTATTTTGGATCACCAGGACCAGTCCAGCCAAGTAGGCCTTCTGTCCTAGATGGTTGAAAATGGTTATCTACCTTGACTTTGCAATAGGATGGCCTGGGGGAGCTTAAGAAAATGCTGAAGGCTGGGTTCACCCCATAAACTCCTTCTCTGCAGAGTTGACTTACCCACTAGGCACGGTGCCTAGAACACACAAAAGGTTTACATTTCCCTTGAAATCAAATGAAGAAAACAGACTTTTACGTCAAAGAAGAGGTTTTAATATGCAAAATTAACATATTTTTCTTTATACCAAAGCAGTCATAAAATGTCTCAATATATTTTTACAGATGAAGGAGCCCTGGAAACTCATACTGTAGCCCT
Organism: Homo sapiens; assembly: GCF_000001405.40. Lineage (NCBI taxonomy): Eukaryota > Metazoa > Chordata > Mammalia > Primates > Hominidae > Homo > Homo sapiens. Next base: position 105,967,562 of record NC_000002.12, read on the forward strand.
GGCCAGGGGTGCCCCACTGTGGCATCGGGAGTTTTGAAAGCTTCCCAGGTTGTTCTAATATGTAGCCAAGGTTGCAAACCACTGGTTTTAAGGGTGTCCAAGTGACTTCCTATGCTTAAATAGGTCTACCTGGCCTCCCCTGAGTCTTGCTAGAAATTTCAATTTTAGAGAAATTATAATTAATTGAAAGTAAAAAGTTTTAAATTAAATTGGAACCTGGTTTCTAAAGTCCTCATTCAAATACTTATCAAATGTTGCAGTTACCAGAGACTGAGTAGGCTTTGAAAAAGTGCATTTAATGTGTGAATAGAGGCAGGAGAGATTACTGGTGGTAGTACAGGCAGTTGGCATCCCCAGGCAGCTGGGGGTGTCTGCTCAGGCTAAGAAGGGGGGCTGCTGATGGAGAGGAACCCAAGTGGCCACCTGGACAGCCAGTGGGCCCTCCTATGTCCATGGGCTCCAGGGACTTCCAAAGCTTTCCTTGTTAGATCTGAAGCAGCCTCAAGGCAAGCAGGGTGATGGATTGATCATTATTACCCCACTTTCAAGGTCAAGTTCGGGCCACACATCACAACAGGCCGACTGCCCACCAGCCAGGCAGTGTCCTGCAGCACGGGTGACTTTGCTAACTTCAGACCCTGTATTTCAGTTAAAGCAGAAGATACTGTTAGACTGTGTTTGGGGAGAAAATGAAAACATTCTCTCACTCTTCACCAGCTTTTGAAGACCAGCATTGAAAATTGCCATGATTTTCATAATGGTACACTGATCCCAGGGCAGCCATGTCTGAAATGTTCAGGTAGAAGAAGCAACAAGTGATTTTGTGTGTGTGTGTGTGTGTGTGTGTGTGTGTGTGTGTGTGTGTGTGTGTGTAACAACATGCTGTTTAATGAGCCCCTGGGTGCAGGTGGGCTGAGGCCTAAAATGACATCAGCCCCAAGGAGGACGGGACAGGGGTTTTATAGTCCTCTGTAAACAGGAAGTGTCCCAGTCTGATGTGATTGCTACGTAGTACCCGGATGGCCTCCTTCTCAATCTTCAGGGGTACGTGTCTTCCAGCCAGGGTAGGTATCTTCTGGCTGGCTCTCTTCCTGATTCTGCTATCTTGCTGACACACGCTGCTGACTCACGTGGACTTGTGCCTTTGGACTGGGCCTGAGAAGGGAGGAGATACTCATCCCTTCAAACTTTCAGGCCCCAGAGAGAATCTTTCATTCCTATTTGGTTATAGAAAAAAGGGAAAAGGGGCAACTTTCTCAATAACTACTGCAGGTGTGACATAGGGGGTGGCGTGGGCACCTTGGAAAAAGAAAACCTTAATTTTTTGGGTATTCTTGAGAGACGGGTTGGTATCCACTGTGTCACTGTAGCAGAAGCAACGTCTGAATTGTCTGGTGGTTAACTGTAGTTTCAACAAGTTTTAATGGCTTTTATTATCAATGTTTTAATGGCTATTATCAATGTTTTAATGGCTATTATCAATGTTTTAATGGCTATTATTTAATTATTATCAATGTTTTAATTATCAATGGGATAACACAGGAGAAACAGGAGGAGCCCAATGATGAAGATTACTGTCCCTACCCATGTTTTAAATCCTCCTAAATTAGAGAACCACCCTCCCAGAAGGTTTGCCAGGTCCCATCCCTTCCAGGTTTGAGTTGGTACTTGGGCTACTTTTCTGATGTTTGAAGCAATTTCTAGAACTGCTTTTTCCATTATCATCTATGTTAAAACAGCAATTAGAGACATTAAACTTACCACAGACCCCACCTTCTTCTGCTAATAAGTAGTCTAGTGCTAGTCTGTTTTGATAAATTGTCAGGTGCATTTGGTTTTGTTGTTGCGTGAGCATTTCCAGGGCTGAGGTGGTTTGGTTAGTGATTATCTCTAGAACCACCTGTAGTCTAATTATTCTATTTAGCATAAATATGAGAGTATGATAACCCCATGAACCATCCTCTGCCCAAGTGACAGAACTGTAATATTTGAATATCCGCTGCGGAAGCCATTCGTCCTCTTGCCATCTTTGGCTTCCTCCTACCTTTAAGGATCGTTTTTCTCTGTTTAAGGTATCATACACAGGGACTCCCAGTATGAGCAACAAGTGATTTTTGGCCTTCCCTTTAGGAACAGGATCTCCGGCAGGGTCCACAGGGCTCCACCCTGGCTGCAGGACAACAGCTCCATCTTTTGGACAGCGATGGGATTTGCTTAGGGGCCCAGAGAGTATAGACACTGCCCTCTGTCTCCTCACTTCCACTGCCCCTACCCACTGCCCAAGAAATGAAAAAGAAAGAGAAGAAAAAGGGAGACAGGCAGCTCTCCAGCGTGGAGATCATCAGTCTTGCTTCTCCTTCCCTGCAAGACTATATGACTTGCATTTGCCATTGTGGAAAATTTTACAACATAGTGGAGAGAAAATAAATACTTCAACTTTTTTTTTTTTAATTTAAAGGTGAGCATAACACTAAGAGGTTAGTGTGAAGTGTGATGCCATTCCCAAAGACCTGAGGGCCTCGTGAAAAAAAAAAAAACTACGTACATTTGAGTAAACCTCTGTCATGAGAGCAGAATAATCACAGAATATTGAAAGGAACTAAATATGGTATTTCAGCCAGTCAAGAAGTTACCTCCTTGATCTCTAAAATAGCCATCTCCATTTCATTCTGAACACAATTTTTATCATTAAAAATTTCTGAAGCTGTAGTTCCATTATATGTATCTATTTCTTTAGAAAGTATATCAATGAACTATGGCACACATGTCTTGTGTACACTGTAAAGCCTACAAAAACAGAAATGAGAATGTGACATAGAAAGAAATACAATTCTTCTTTCCCACCACGCCCCAGAGGAGAGTCTGGCACCTCCCGCAGAGTGTGCCTTTCACGTGGAAACCACAGGGCAATACTGTGTGAGTCCAGCCAGCCCATGGAGGATGGAGTGGCAGGCCCTCTTGCATCTTCACTAGAAATGTGGGACATATGGATGCACATTTAGCAAGAAGATGTTGCTGGAAGAAAGGCAGGCCACTCTAGTTTTGCCAGTGCCAGGTCTCTGAGATTCGGGGGCTCACCAAATACCATGCCAGCCCTCCATTTGCCAGCCTGGTACAGCTGGGCCAGGTCGCTGCGTCCCCCATGGAAGGCGGGGGAAGCACTGGTGACCAAGCGGGAGCCTCAGGACCCAGAGTGCACAGAAGGGGCCTCTGCCCTGCATTAGGCTGGAAGTGAATGACAAATAAACATTCGTTGTACTAACCCACAGAGACATGGGGAATTAATTGATAATTGGAGCAGGATCACACCTATTCTGACAAATACACGCAGCAAGTCTAGCTGATGAGAACTGGAGGCCAAGCTTTGGAAGATCAGTTATGTCCACTTGCAGCACGTAGAGGTGCTAGGGACACAAAGGAAGTGTCCCTAACCAGAAAGAACCAGGAAGACACAAACTATCTGCTAGTACAGTGCACCACCAGTCTGGTTATTCATAGGTTGGTGTGTCTGCACGTAAAAACAGTATCTTTCCTGAATATGAATGTGTTGGTGTTGTTCTGTTCAAAGCATTTCCATGTTTATTGTTTCATTTGGCTAGCAAGTATATATATTCATTCACATGCAAAAATCCATGCAGACTTGGGAACAAATTGTATGCCACCTCTAATGAAGACTTCATTAAGGTTGTGACAAGTATGTTGGTGACTCCGCTCTTTCACTGCCTCCAGCTCCCTTCATGAGGACCACCTTGGGAACCCCTGAAATCCTGCTGATGCTGAAAGCTGGAAAGTGACCCTCAATATCAGTCACATGGAAATCCCTGTGCAGTTATGTTGGATCGATCCTGCCAAATAAACATTCTGGACTTCTGAATTGAAGGTTCCCCTCTTCTAGTTGTCAGCAACACCACCATAATAACAGCAGATACAGTTACATGCCAGGTACTACATGAGTGTGCTCTCTAACTTGCAAGAACCCTCTGAGGTAGATGGTATTATCTTTATTTTATAGATGGGAAAACCAAGACTCAAAAACAAGAAGTAGTGACATAAAAGGTGAGGTTCACTCATATCCAGGGTGATGGGATATGAGGGTGGCGGGAATGTAGTTGGAAGTCCCATTACAACCCCTGAGCCCTAGGTGGCCACACCACCCCCTTTCTCCTCTGTCCCCAGCAAGAGCCTTTCTCTACGTAAGTTTCTGGAGAGATGGCCACCTCTTCTCGGCATTCAGTGTCAGGATGCCAGAGCCCCCACCATGCAGAAGCCCACTGAGCTGGGGACTTGAATGAGCTGGAGCAACAGGAGCTTCCCTAGAGAGCGAGGTAGGCCCTCTGCAGCCCATGTTACCTCCACCTTCAGCTGCTGACTCAATGTGCACAGACAGCAGAGGAAACTAATGCACCTGTCCTTTTTTTTCACTTGCTAGTGTCCTGTACAAAAATGATAACACCTACTTTTGAAAGCTTTCTAAGGCAAATGCTGAGAAGATCAATGCAAAACGTTACCAGGAGGAAGTCTCCCTCACTAAGGTGTCTGAGGGATACATTAGTTCCAAAAGAGTCTCCAAGTATCTCTTTAGAAGTTTACATTGCCCTAGTGGTTATAGTTTTTTAAAACCATTCAAAAATAGCACGAAAGGAAGTAGATGACTTCTAAACAAATGGTGAAAGTGAGTTAATTGAATGTGGTTCCTGTTTGTTTACACTCAGGCTTAAAGGGGAAAGAAAACCAACATTGATTTGTAGGGGGGCCACCATGACAAGATCTGTGCTGTTCATTTTGTGTGCATGAGCTGATGAAACCATGCTGAGTATTGGCTATTATCACCCCCATGCTACAGACAGGGGGAATCGAAGCTGCCTTGCAGGTGGTGGAGCCGGTATTGGAATCCAAAAGCAGGCACTGTGGTTTGCCAAGAAGCAATTCAGCTGCAGCCCCTTTCACAGCAAAATGCCAGGAGGTGTCATCGAAGCCTGAGTTCTGACTGCCCTTGCTGGGTGCATCTCAGACCAAGAGCAAAAGAGACATGTGAGGAATCAAGGTCTTCCTGGCTCCCTTTGCTGCACCTGGGTTCAGAGGAGAGCAGGGTCATGTCACTGTGATATGCAGGAGGCTGATGCACAGGAACAGAGTGGAGGCAACAGGCAGATGGATACCCTATCCCCTCCTGAAGCCCAGGAGGGAGCCCATGGGCAGGCGGGGGAACAGGGCGCCCTGAGGTGTTCTGGGCTCATTCCGAGGACAGGTGCTTTCTTCAGGGGGAAGATAACATGCACAAGTGTTAGATGTGACATTTTCACAACATTCGCATTCTTGCGCAGGGCATGGCATGCCCTGGCTTTGAGAGGAGCAGGAGCCCAGGGCCCCCACATTCTGTGGATGCCTTCTCTCCAGGTCCGATGCCATTGCCTTTTCTATGCCAGAGGGAAGAACTGGACCTAAAAGGAGAAGTCTTTCCATGGCTCGTTGGACAGCAAAACCCAAGCTGACCTGACGTAAGACTATTTCTCATTTTCACTGATCCCACTGGGAGTGAACATGCAGACATTTCCCTGCAGCATATTCATGAGTTTGGTGATGCGTGCTGCCCCAGCCACCCCTCCACCAGGGTGTCATGTAAAATAGCACATGCAGCATGCTACTCTTCCAGAGCTGCAGTGTTCTCGATTCCGAAAATGCTTAAGGCTTTGGGTAAGGGCTTGTGGACCTGGGTGGGAAAGAGGTACCTAAAGTTCCCATTTCACAACCCAGGAATCAACTTCCAGTAGGCTCTTTACTGAGGAAAATCAGGGCACCTGGCTAGAAAGCCAGCTCCGGCTGGCTCCCTCGCAATGGTGCTCCGTCCTCTGGATCCCAGTTTCCAACTTAGAAATGGGGACTTGGGCTTTGAGAAGGGTGGGGAGTGTGCCCAAGGTCTCTGGAGAGATTGTGGCAGAAGCAGCCCTAGAACCCGGGTCCTAGCTGGCAACCACGGCTCCTCCCACTCAAATGGATTCCTTTCCACGTCTGGGGTTTTCTCTCAAGATGCTGACATGCGAATTTGTCCTTCTCTTCATAAAATGCTGTGCTTGTGAGCCTGAAATCAGTCCTCTCCACTCCCTCTCAGGTGTCCACCAGGAGGTTGGCAGATGTCCTATATTTTCAGTTCCCTAGGTTGTCAGGCGGCCTTCATGCTGCACAAATCATCATGCCACAGAGGAACAACCCATGCAGTCACTCTAGAGACCCCTGGGCAGGGTTCTAAAGAAAGTGAGCCCCGATAAAGGAGGATGTGGGAAATTAAACTGGATTGCAAGGCATCCCCCTCAGGGCACGGGGCTGCAAGCAGGCTGCACCTTCTCGGCCCAGTTGTTAGCGGGCAGTGGGCAATTTGGAGGCCCCAGGTTCCTGCTTCCCATTTGCCTGGCCTTAATGGGCACTGTAATTATTAACAAAGATGGTAATTTCAGGATTGCTTGTAATGACAAGAGGAAATCTGAAACAACCTCAGTGACCTTCAAAAGGAGACAGTGAAATGCATCATGAGACACCTATGAAATGGGAAATGAAGCAGCTATAAAAATGAACTGTGACATTAATTGTGCCTATGGCTTGTAGAACAGTCTGTATCAAATGAGTCCCTCAGGTCTGGAAGTGGGCGGGGGTCCTCCAGGCTCCTCAACGCCACTTGCGACCATTCTCCCTCAGTGCTCCCTAAAATCCTCCGTCTTTGAAGTTGGAACTGCTAGAATTCATGATTAGTTTTCTTTGCAGCCATCAAATTCCTACCCTAAAGTCATTAGCCCCCTTTTTCTGGACATTTGAGCTCCTGGCCAACTCTCTCCATGCATGGAATCCTTCTACAATCTGGCCTTTCAGTTTTTGACCTCCTTTCCTCCTGTAATCAAGTTCTCCTCCCCACC